>NC_000005.10:153658102-153958419 GCF_000001405.40 Homo sapiens | reverse complement strand
TTATACCAAATATTTTCTGATTGTATGCACCTACTCTGTCTCATTGGTGGGCTCTCCATGTTCACCCTTTGAGTTTCCCTAGAACTGGCTTGGAAATAGTGCAAGTCTTGTCTTGGCCCCTTGGTGTGTGTCATGATGTGGAGTCATTGCCATATGTGCAAAGTCCCTTGAAGTTGGGCATGCTGCAGTTTCTGTGCCAGGCTTGCCAAGAGAATCTTTGCCAAGATGGGGAGAGGGGGCTGGGACTTAGGGTGGAATGCCCTGGGACACACTGCCACCATTCCCCTGAGGACCGTCATCAGGCTGTGGCGCAGAGGGGATTGGGTGGTAAGAGAGGCAAGGGGATAGTCCCGCAAATCTTTCTCCTGCCCTCTCTTCTCTCACCTCAGTCTCTCCCCATCAATAGTTTCTCCCTATCCTCTGCAAATTGCCCCAGTGAATTTAGAATTTGGAACAAAAACCCAGAGAGCAGGTTTCCCTGCAATACGTATCTCCCCTGAGACCAGTGAGCACAGTCACATATAGGAGAGAAGAAAACTCAGAGAGAACAAAATACAACAGCTCCCATTTTTCCTGATTCTTCTACATAGTAAAAATAAACACCAACTAATATCTCAACTTATTATTATATAGTGACATTACACAGTGACTATATTTAAATGTCATTAAGAAATCTTTTACTGGGCAACCTTTATTAGCTGCAAGAGATTCCAATGTGTCAATTATTTCCCATTTTCCCAAAACTACATATATAACTGTAATGAACATCCTGATACCTAAATTGTGGATGGATCTCTGATGTTTTCTTAGAATTTTTAGAATTGACCTCACTGAGTCAAAGGCTCTGGCTTGTGTTTAAGGCATTTGGTCTTTTTTGTCCTCCAGACTGCTGTGCAAACACCAAGTCAATCAGCAATCTACAAGGTCCTAAGTTCTTCTCACGAATAGGAGAGAACTTCTTATCAGGCATGAGGGACTTTGTCAGACTTGGCTTTGGGGCACGAGTGGCCTTCTATTTGCAACATGTCCTGATAACTTTGTGGAATCCAGCGGGGAAGCTCCCATGGTTACTTTGCACCAGGCAGAACATGCATCCTTCCTTGGCTGGCTTCCCCAGCAATAGGGGAGTAAACGTGGAGATCACCTTACCTGGCCCTACAGATGAGGCACAGAGACACTTTAGGTCTTAGGAAGTGATGCTGCTTGCACAGCCCTGGGGTAGCTTTCTGGTTGGGCGAGAGGGTCTTGAAGAATGTGGGCATATGCACAGGACCACACACACCACAGGCCATCTGGTGAAGCTGGCGGATGGGGAGTGACAGGCACTGAAGTGGCAAAGGCCTCTCGGACTTTGTATCAGTGCCAAAGGAGGAAAGGTCTTGCAAGAGGCAGAAGTGGGCAGAGATTGAGTTGGTCAGAGGGAGAGAAGTCGGGAAGGCAGAGACAAGAGGGAGGGGTTCATGTTGTTTATTATCAGCAAGTCTCATGCCACAGCGGGCATCTCTCAAGAGGCTCCCTTGTGTTCACTCTCAGTGGGTCCTGGCAGAAGGCTGCAGTGGCTGTGTTATGGGCAGAGAAAGGGTCATAGGATAAAGCCTTGGAGTTCTGATGGCCTTTGGGGCATTTAGGGGAGGGGGAGACTCTCCCAACGACAGATACTCTCTTCCTTATTCCTAGAATGAAGTGGCTTTTTCCCTTCCAAAATTTTTTCCCTGCAGCTGCTTTCAAATGCCCATTTGCAAACTGGTGTAGGTCTGTGATGGAATTTCATTTGTGGCAAGCTGAGAAAAAAAAAGAACTGCAAAGTGAATTTTTAATGAGGCTGGATTTATTTAATTTTAAACACTGTCCTTTATTCTAAAGGAATGATCTTCCTTTTGGTGCTAAAATGCTCTTTCTTTTATGAAATGACTATTAAAATAAATGACATTTTCTTTTACTCTCCTCACTTGGCAATTGAAAAAGCTGGAAGTTTTATGTGGATACCTGAATATGCATATCCCACCCCCACTCTCTGCTTTGTGTTTGTGTGTAAGTTCATCTAGTCAAAGAGAATCTAAAAATTTGGGTTCTACTGGGTGAAGTCCTCTCAAGGGTAAGCCCAGCTGATAGCTCTAGTTCTCATCATATTGGCCCTTATCCAACAAAGTCTTCATTTCACAAACATTAAGAGCCCACTGTGTGGCAGGCCTCATACTAGGGGCTGTGGTGGTGGGTTTGTCTGGTGGTGGAATGAGCCCTACCTGGCTAAGCTACCCATGGCCTTGACCCTCCTGTGGTCTACTGAAAATACCAGCCCCTCACCAAGATATCCATGCCAACTCACTGGAACCTGTGAATGTTACCTTATTTTGCAAAAGTTGTGATTAAGTTAAGGATCCCAAGAGAAGCAGCTTATCTTGGATTGTCTGAATGGACTCTAAATACAATCACAGTGTCCTTATAAGAGAGGCAGAGGAAATTTTGAGACAGACACACAGAAGAGGAGAAGGTGTTGTGAAAACAGAGACAGGGATGCAGCCCTAAGCCAAGGAATGCTGGCAGCCACCAGAATCTGGAAGAGGCAAAGAACAGAGCCCCCTACAAGAGTCTCTGGCGGGAGTGCACGCCTGCTAATACCTTGATCTTGGACTTCTGGCCTCCAAAACTGTGAGAAAATAAATTTCTGTTGTTTTCAGCCATCAACTTTGTGATATTTTGTTATAGCCACCACAAGAAACTAATATACCTCTCATCAAGTCAACAAGAGGGGCAAAACAGGGTGAATTATTGGGGCCTAGATGTCCTGAAGGGGTCAGGTTGGACTGCATTGCTTATCAATACAAATCCTGTCTAATAACTTTTAGCTGGCCCTCCCTTGCTTGGAATCTGCCAAATCTTTTTTACCAATATCTGGACTGGATCTTAGAGGCCTGGCCTCCCACCCATCCTGCTTACAACTAGTGACATCAGAATGTCAGCTGTAAAATTTCCTCCAAAATGCAAAGTGTGGGCCATGTTTATTTTATTTCTCTAAAACAAACTTAATCTGCTGCAAGATTTCATCGTTATGGATGGTGGGAAAATAAATTTCTGTCATTCCTGGGCTCTTTCTTATTCCATAGCATGGGAAAATGTCCTGAGGTCTTGTGCACTTGGTGGGCAGCCTGGACTTTGTGTCCACACAAGTCATTCCTTGCCCAAATCTATGTGACCTCGTTGCAGGTGGCTTTGTGCCTTCTGTGCCAAGCTGGCCCATGGAGTCATGCATGGTGTCAGGGCACAGCCTCTCCAGATGTGCCACAACCTCCCCTTTGATGTCCTAGCACTTCCTAGGGCTCTGCAAGGAGCAGGATATACCCACAGACTACAGTCATTCATCCACTTAGCCCTTGAAGACATTTCTTTTGCTTCTTCCTCTGACTCTTTCTGCTTCTTAAACTCCCAAACTCACATCTCTCCTTCCCTCTCTGTAGCAATCCAGAGGAATCTCCCTGTTTTATGGACTGAATTTTGTCTCCTCCACATTCCTACATTGAAGCCCTAATCCCCCAAGGTGACTGTATTTGAAGATAGGGCATTTAAGGAGATCATTAAGGGTAAATGAGGTTATGGTGAGACCCTAATCTAATAGGATCAGTGTCTTTGTAGAATAGGAAAAGTACCAAAGGTCTCTCTCACCCATGCACAGAGGAAAGTTCATGTGAGGACACAGTGAGAAGAAGGCTCTCTACAAGCCAGGAAGAGAGGCCTTACCAGAAACAAGCCCCGGTGGCACGTTGATCTTGAACTTCTAGCCTCCAGAAGTGAGAAAATGAATTTCTGTTGTTTAAGGCACCTAGTCTGTGGTATTTTATCGTGGCAGCCTGAGAAGACTAAGGCAGCCCCTCAGTGAGGTTAGGTTTTTCCAAAACAGCAGCCCAGTGGGGAGTTGCTCTTCTGATGGTCTTGCTGCTCTTTCGATTTGTCCAGAAACACCTGAGCCCCTGAGGAAAGGGAGCATGCTGCAAGGACCTCTACGGTGATGTTCAGGGAGAGGGATGCACCTGCAGCCTCTCCATAGCATGAAGGGCAAAACATCAATACACAGTGAGTTCATCATTCTGCCATCTTAGCCCTGGTTCTGTTTGCAAACACAGATAGCCCACGTCTGCCTCTGCCTGCCCACTGTCTAACTTGCTGCTTTATGCTCCTTTAATTAAGGGCAGAGTCCTCAGGGTTTCCCGTGTCAAATGGAGCTCTCCAAGTTCTGATGTGAGTGGGGAGAAGAGACACCATTGATGACAAAACCCCAGAGGTGAGAAGGAAGGAAGGATGGACTTTTACTGTCACTGTTTCCCGAAATACATTTCACAGGGTAATAGTACATTTAAAAAAAGAGTGTACGGTATAAGATTTGGGAACTCATTGGTTGAATTAAATTAAGCTTTTTAAATCTCAAGGGGAAGCTCACATATGCAGTCTTTACCAACAAATGGGACCACTGAACTGCTTTTCCACTGAGCATCTTGCAGGATCAGTGCTTGGTGGAAGCCATTTTGGAAACTGCTGATATTCACTGGAGAACTATAAAATATAAGACCTAGAAAGGGACCACTGAGATCATGTAGGCTCAAGCCCTCAGGTTTAAACTCGGGGAAATGGAGGGTCAGGAAGGTCCAGGGCCCAGGACTTGCCAAGGTCATCTGGTTGAACTGGGGCTAGAACCAGGTCTCTTGATTTTCAGCCTGGAATTCTTGCTTCTACACCCCTACTGTTTCTTATGCCGATTAACATGGCAATCCACTGGAAAATGCTAGCTCTGGAGGGACTCAGCCAGGCATCCGGCTTTAACCTGACTCTGACTCATGGGCAATGGCTGCCTGGTGGTGCTTGATTTTGATAGTGAGAGGGCTTGGAGTATACTCAGAATCTTACCCACTTTTTTAAAAAGAAAAAAATATTTTGCATTTGATAAATCAAATCCAAATCTATTTTATCCAGCACATTTCCTGCTAAATTGGAGGCCTCAGAAAAATTTAATCCTGTGTTTCTGATTCATCTTTATTTGAATTCATCTATTTTAAGTTTCAAAGTTATTTTCCTGGCCCCAGCCCTCTGAGCTTTCCTCTAATCTCTCTTCCCTCAGAAACAAGCCATTTTATTTGGATAGATGGAAAGGTTTCCTATCCCTGACCATCATGCCTCTCCCAAGTCCCTTGGAAAAAAAATAAAAAGCCCAAAACAACTCTGGAAATTCTTAAGGACCTTTCAAAATGGAGAGTGCATGTCAGAGGGCTGCAGAGAATGAGAAGAGTGTTCAGGAGAGGAGAATGGAAACAATTAATCGCTCAAAATATGAGGCCTAGGAAGATCTAGAATGATTCATCCTGAAAGATGGCCAAAGAGTGTTTTAACAATTCTGGCAAAAGAACTATTGCTTCCAAGCCTGGGGACCAGTTCCTCCAAGAAGAGAACAGGAAGAAAGAGTGTGAAGCTGCAACATGCAGGAATTAGGTTAGATGTCAGGACAGAGTTCTTGACTGAGACGGTCACTGTGAAGGATTTACAGAAAGGCCCATGGGGTGGTGCTTTGCAGGCAGAGGCTCTACATCTGGCCCTGTTACTTTGAAGGTATGCAACCTTGAGCGAGATACTGACCTTGAGACTCTGTGTCTCTGTCTGAAAAAGTGGAGATGATATACTCACCTCACAGCATTGTCACATGGATTGGATAATTCGTGTCGCATTCTTGGCCCACATGAGCAGCTCAAAACTGGTGGTGCTTAATATGATATTATGATGGTGATCCTGATGGTTATGGCAAGTGATCAAAAAGCATTGGTTCCCATTCCCTTACCCTTACAATCTTGCTGAGGGTGAAGCCCTATGGTTGTAAATGGTGGATAACCAAGGGAGGGGCCATGGCTACCTGGGATGCTTAAAAGAGCTACACTCCTCAGAAACTCCTGGGCACAGACTCTACTTTTCTCCCTCCTAGGGGAAGATGTAGCTTCATTGAGGCTGCAATTGTTTCAAGAACCAGGAGAGTCTAACATCTAGAAATATCCCCTCACAGGGGATTATTAAATACACAGACTATTGGGTAAATCCTTCCTGAATGGTAAGGTGGGCTTGGGTACAAAAGGACTCTACTACTGTAGTCTCTGCTTAGCTGCAGTTTCAATTACCAGTGGTCAACCACAGGCTGAAAATAGAGAGTACAGTATAACAAGATATTTTGAGAGAGTTACCACATTCACACAACTGTTTTACATCATATTGTCATGATTGTTGTAGTTTATTAGTAGCTATTGTTAATCTCTTACTATGTCGAATTTATAAATTCAGCTTTATCATAGGTATGTATGTGTAGAAAAAAACACAGTAAAATATAGGATTTGGTACTATCCACAGTTTTAGACATCCACCGGGGGTCTTGGAATATATTCGTTGCAGGTAAGGGAGGACCACTGCACAGCCAACACTGAACCTTGGAGATAGGGGAGACCATACCTGTGGTGAAGGAAGTCATGGGCAGCTACTGGTTCCCTACTAGGAGACTTGGGGAACATTTGAAAGGTGCTGCCTTGGTTTTTGCCCTGCAAAGGCCACTTTTCTCTGCCTTATGTTTCTGATTTATTTTAGCAAGTAGATGGAAAATGTTAGTAGGTGCTCATGTGTAGTGTCTCTTCCTGCCAATACACAATCCACCTGAAAAATACTGTTCCAATTAGCTACAGAGGGCAGTGTAAGGCAAAGGTTAAAGTGAGCTCTTAAGTGGTAGAGACTGAGTTAGAGAAGGGTGAGATGAGAGGACGCCAGAGTAATCATGGGAAGCTTCCCAAAGGAGTGGGGTTGGTCTGAGTCTCGTAAGGAGAGAGAGCTCTTGGAGAGGCAGAGGTGATGGCGAAGGGCCATTCGGGTGGGGAGACAGCCTGGATCAAGGTTCAAAACTAGGAATGAAAATGGTCAGAAATGAGCATGCAGGTGCCATTTAGGAGAGGAGTGAGAAATGAGGCTAAGTTGCGGACAGCTTATTGAGTTTTTGAAAGTCATGCCCACATGGCATTTGAACTTGGTATCTTAGGCAATGGGGAACTACAGGAGGTTTGAGAAGGGCATGATATGATAAAAATGAGCTATTGGGCAAGACTATATATGGCAAGCTGAATATTTAAGTGCTGTAGCTTCATGGAGTAGAAAATCTACCAAGCCTAGTGAAGAAAATTGGGGGAAAAATTCAATTATAAAAATAATCTATATTCATGATTTAACATTTAGAAAATACAGGAAAGTATAAGAAGAAAAAAATTACCCTTAGTCCTACTACTCGTAGATATTTTTAAGAACTTGGTATAGATTTTCTTTTTCTTATTTATTTTCTTTTACTTAGTTTTTACATATACATATGTAATATGCCTATGTAAATTATATATATTTAACTTTATATATTTAAAAAATATAAGTGCTTTTGCATTATCATGAACTCTTTATAAATATAATATCCAATGTCACATGATATATTACATATATATATATTATTTTTCTTTTCGAGACAGAGTCTCACTCTGTCGCCCAGGCTGGAGTGCAGTGGTACCATCTTGGCTCACTGCAACCTCCGCTTCCCTGGTTCAAGCGATTCTCCTGCTTCAGCCTCCCAAGTAGTTGGGATTACAAGTATGCGCCAACATGCCCAGCTAGTTTTTGTATTTTTAGTAGAGATGGGGTTTCACCATGTTGGCCAGGCTGGTCTCGAACTCCTGGCCTCAAGTATCCACCTGCCTTGGTCTCCCAAAGTGCTGGGATTACAGGCATAAGCCACTGTGCATGGCCATGATATTCTATTGTAAGATACACTAAATCATTCCCTGGTTGATAGATATTTATTTTGTTTAAAAATTTCTGTTTATAATAAACATGATTTGCTAAACATGGCATGTGTGTGTATCTGCATTTAATTTTATTTGTTTTGAAATACTATAAAGTAGAAATATTGCATCAAAGCGTATGAATAAATTAAGGAATTAAATATTTCTAAAAATATTGAAAAATTGCTTTCCAAAAGGGTGGTACCATTTTATATGTCTATGAACAATGTTTGATCATGCTTGTTTAACTACTCCTTACCTGCACTGTGTATTTTAAATTTTAAAAAATATTCACTAAAATTAAAGGCATATTTTAGTTTTCATCTCTTGTAAAGTTGAATATTTTTCCATGTTTGTATGTGATTTAAACTTCTTTAATGAATTGCTAATATATTTTGGCCAATTATTTATATTACAATTATGAAATTTTCTTATTATTGAATGAAATCCTTTTATAATAGTATTTTTAATAGCTATATTTTTCTGATTGTAAGATTTCTCTTTGGAAAAATCAGAAAATGAAGTTGCATTTTAAAAGAGAAAGTCAGTATCAGCCATTATCCAATCACCCATAACCCTTGTTGATATGGTGGTGAATATTCTTTTCTTTCTTTTTTTTTTTTTTCCAAGAGCTGGGGTCTCACTATGTTTCCCAGGCTGGTCTCGAACTCCTGAGTGCAAGCCATCCTCCTGCCTTGGCCTCCCAAAGTGTTGGAATTACAGGTGTGAGCCACCATGCCTGGCCAGGTGGTGAATTTTCTTCAAATACATGCATGTAAATAGGGACATATGTCAAAAAAGAGAAAAATGGGGCCGGGCGCGGTGGCTCACGCCTGTAATCCCAGCACTTTGGGAGGCTGAGGCGGGCGGATAACGAGGTCAGGAGATCGAGACCATCCTGGCTAACACGGTGAAACCCCGTCTCTACTAAAAATACAAAAAAAATTAGCCGGGCATGGTAGCGGGCGCCTGTAGTCCCAGCTACTCGGGAGGCTGAGGCAGGAGAATGGCGTGAACCCGGGAGGCGGAGCTTGCAGTGAGCCAAGACAGCGCCACTGCAGTCCAGCCTGGGCGAAAGAGCGAGACTCCGTCTCAAAAAAAAAAAAAAAAAAAAAAAAAGAGAAAAATGGGGCCCCTATTTTCAAACTATTTTGTAACTGCTTTGTTTCATGTAGTAGATTGTGAACATCTTTTCCATACCAATGAATGTTATATAAACCTATATTATCATCTTTACTATGTGGCTAGTATTTCATCGTATAGGTAGATATACCTAGTTTATCAATTCACGTATTAACTGATGTGTTGAAATGTTTCCATTTTTTCTATTGTAAACGTATCTACAGTGAATATATTGTTGTTGTAACTATATTCCATTGTCTTTCTATTTCCTAAAGAAAACTTCTGAGAAGTAGAAATGCTGGGCCATGGAGTGAACACATTTAATGTTTTGGCATGTATCACCAAACTGCTCTCTGTGAAGTGCGAAGAATCCTCACTTCTGTCCACCACAGTTTTTTTTTTACCTGCATTATATATGTTCTTTTTTTTTTTTTTTGCAAATTTGTCAATGTGATAAGTGAAAAATAAGTTTTATATTTTGATTTACATTTATTTCATTATTGGAGAGATTGATAGGCTTTTAACTTACCAATTACCTGTACCTATTTTGTATTTCCTTGTCCCTATATGATCCAATTTTCCCTTGGGGATGTTTATACTGAGATATTTATCTTTTTTTTTGTATGTTTTTATTTTCAAATATAGCAGTAGTGACTAAACTTTGTATAGCAGAGTTCAAGTTATAGATGGATTTTCTATATATCATCTTAATTATACAGCAGCTTTTTAAATTATTATTATACTTTAAGTTTTAGGGTACATATGCACAACGTGCAGGTTTGTTACATATGTATACATGTGCCATGTTGGTGTGCTGCACCCATTAACTCGTCATTTAACATTAGGTATATCTCCTAATGCTATCCTTCCCGCCTCCCCCCACCCCACAATAGGCCCGGTGTGTGATGTTCCCCTTCCTGTGTCCGTGTGTTCTCATTGTTCAATTCCCACCTATGAGTGAGAACATGCGGTGTTTGGTTTTTCATCCTTGCGATAGTTTGCTGAGAATGATGGTTTCCAGCTTCATCCATGTCCCTACAAAGGACATGAACTCATCATTTTTTATGGCTGCATAGTATTCCATGGTGTATATGTGCCACATTTTCTTAATCCATTCTATCATTGTTGGACATTTCGGTTGGTTCCAAGTCTTTGCTATTGTGAATAGTGCCACAATAAACATACGTGTGCATGTGTCTTTATAGCAGCATGATTTATAATCCTTTGGGTATATACCCAGTATTGGGATGGCTGGGTCAAATGATATTTCTAGTTCTAGATCCCTGAGGAATCCCTGATATGGCCACCTTGCAGTTTGATCGTAGACTGCTGTGCTAGCAATGAGTGAGGCTCCGTGGGCGTAGGACCCTCTGAGCCATGTGCGGGATTTAATCTCCTGGTGTGCTGTTTGATAAGCCCATTGGAAAAGCACAGTATTAGGGTGGGAGTGACCCGGTTTTCCAGGTGCCGTCTGTCACCCCTTTCTTTGACTAGGAAAGGGAGTTCCCTGACCCCTTGCACTTCCTGGGTGAGGCAATGCCTAGCCCTGCTTCAGCTCACACACGGTGCACCGCACCCACTGTCTTGCACCCACTGTCCGGCACTCCCCCGTGAGATGAACCTGGTACCTCAGTTGGAAATGCAAAAATCACCCGTCTTCTGCGTCGCTCATGCTGGGTGCTGTAGACTGGAGCTGTTCCTATTCGGCCATCTTGGCTCCACCCCCTATACAGCAGCTTTGTAAAGAGCAATATTTATCTTTTTATATGACCTCCATATATTTTTATTTTCTCTCCTTTTTTTTTTGAGACAGAGTGTTGCTCTATCATCCAGGCTGGAGTGCAGTGGCATGATCTCGGCTCAGTGCAACCTCTACCTCCCCAGTTCAAGTGATTCTCCTGCCTCAGCCCCCTGAGTAGCTGGAATTACAGGTGCCTGCCACCACGGCCAGCTAATTTTTGTATTTTTAGTAGAGATGGGGTTTCACCATGTTGGCCAGGCTGATCTCAATCTCCTGACCTCAAGTGACCCGAAAGTGTAGGGATTACAGATGTGAGCCGCCTCACCTGGCCTGTTTTTCTTTTTAAATAGTCAATTCTATCAGTTTTTATCTCTATTAATATTTACTTTGATTTTATGATTAGAGATTATGATTAGATTTTATGATTAGAGATTTTATGATTAGAGATTCGGCCAAGATGGCCGAATAGGAACAGATGATAGTTTTTGAATTACCTTTTTGAAATATAGGGAGAACATAGATTAGTTGAAAGAATGAGGAAGGCTGATAATTTGGAAAAAATGGTAAAACAATCATACTGTAAACAGAACCCAGCAGAAGATTAGTTTAAGTTTTTCCTGACTTTTAGTTTTTCTTTTTGTTAAGTGTCACCTTCATTCTCCTGGGCAATAGACATAAATATAATATTTTCTTCATTGCATATATTTAATGGGGCAACAATTCTTTCAATGTCTTCTGTTGAAACATATCTTGGATTTGAATTTTCTTTCCTATTTTTTCCTATATCTTGTGGTTCTGGATTACTGCCGCATTGTGTGTGCATGTGTGTGTGTGTGTGTGTGTGTGTGTGTGTGTGTGTTTGTACACATAGATCTGGGAAGGCAGACCTTTGGTCACCTTACTGACTACTGCATCCCAGCACCCCAAAAAGATCCTGAAACAAAGCAAGTGCTCAGCGGACATCTTGCAGAATAAATTGATGGATTAGTAGAACAGGATGGGTGATTTTGCTGCTTTGCCCATCAGTGACTGCACTCTCAGGAAGAAGTCAATCTGTCTTCTATCCATCTGGCTATCCATGTTTTATTCATGGGTGTCTGAAATTCCTTGTGAAAAGAGGCAGGTTAAAAAAATAAAGTATTTGCAGTACTAGCTGATATTATAGAAACTGACTTGAATTGGATCAAGTAAAAGGGGGGAAATTATTAAGGATATAGCTTGTTTTGATGGAGACTGCAGGCAGAAATGCAGCTGGACTCTCGGAAGGGGCTAAAATGAAGATGATGAGATTTTTCATTCTCCTTACTTTTGTCCCTTTCTGAATATCTGTTTGATGTGGTTTGTCTGTGTCCCCATTCAAAACTCAACTTGAATTGTATCTCCCAGAATTCCCACTTGTTGTGGGACGGACCTAGGTAATGGAATCATGGGGGCTGATCTTTCCCATGCTATTCTCATGAAAGTGAATGAGTCTTATGAGATCTGATGGGTTTATCAGGGGTTTCTGCTTTTGCTTCTTCCTCATTTTCTCTTGCTGCTGAGATGTAAGAAGTGCCTTTCACCTCCTGCCATGATTCTGAGGCCTCCCCAGCCATGTGGAATTGTAAGTCCAATTAAACCTCTTTTTCTTCCCAGTCTTGGATATGTCTTTATCTGCAGCAAGAAAACAGACTAATACAGTAAATTGGTACCAGTGGAGTGGGGCATTGCTGAAAAGATACCCAAAAATGTGGAAGCAACTTTGGAACTGGGTAACAGGCAGTGGTTGGAACAGTTTGGAGGGCTCAGAAGAAGACAGGAAAATGTGGGAAAGTTTGGAACCTCTTAGAGATTTGTTGAATGGCTTTGACAAAAATGATGATAATGATATGAACAATAAGGTCCAGGATGAGGTGGTCTCAGAGGGACATGAGGAACTTGTTGGGAATTGCACCAAAGGTGACTCTTTTGTTATGGTTTAGCAAAGAGGCTGGTGGCATTTTGCCCCTGCCCTAGACATCTGTGGAACTTTGAACTTGAGGGAGATTATTCAGGGTATCTGGTGAAAGAAATTTCTAACCAGAAAAGCATTCAAGAGGTGACTTAGGTACTGTTAAAGGCATTCAGTTTAAAAGGAAAACAGAGCATAAAGTTTGGAAAATTTGCAGCCTGATGATGCAGTAGAAAAGAAAAACCCATTTTTTGAGAAGAAATTCAAGCTGCTGCAGAAATTTGCAAAAGTAGCAAGGAGCCTAATGTTAATCCCCAAGACCACGGGGAAAATGTCTCCAGGCCACGTCAGAGACCTTCACAAAAGTCCCTACCATTATAGGCATAGAGGCACAGGAGGAAAAAGTGGTTTCGTGGGCCAGGCCCAGGGTCCCTGTGCTGTGTGCAGCCTAGGAATTTGGTGTCCTGTGTCTCAGCCGCTCCAGCCATGGCAGAAAGGGGCCAACAAACAGCTTAGGCTGTGGCTTCAGAGGGTGGTGAGCCCCAAACCTTGGCAGCAGTGGTGTAGAGCCTGCAAGTGCACAGAAGTCAAGAATTGAGGTTTGAGAACCTCTGCCTAGATTTCAGAAGATGTATGGAAATGCCTGGATGCCCAGGCAAAAGTTTGCTGCAGGGGTGGAGCCCTCATGGAGACCCTCTGCTAGGGGAGTGTGGAAGGAAAACGTGAGGTTGGAGCCCCCACACAGAGTCCCTACTGGGGCACTGCCTAAGTGGAGCTGTGAGAAGAGGGCCACCATCCTCAAGCCCCAGAATGGCAGATCCACCAACACTTGCACTGTACCCCTGAATAAGCCACAGATACTCAATGCTAGCCCATGAAAACAGCCAGGAGGGAGGTACTCTGCACAGCCACGGGGGCGGAGCTGCCCAGGATATGAGTCAAAGAAGATCACTTTGGAGCTTTAAAATTTGACTGCCCTGCTGGATTTCAGACTTGCATGGGCCCTGTAGCCCCTTTGTTTTGGCCAATTTCTTCCATTTGGAATGGCTGTATTTACCCAATACCTGTACCCTCATGGTATTTAGGAAGTAATTAGCTGCTGTTGATTTACAGGCCCATAGGCAGAAAGGACTTGCCTTGTGTCAGATGAGACTTTGGACCATGGACTTTGGGGTTAATGCTGAAATGAGTTAAGACTTTGGGGACCTGTTGGGAAGGCATGATTGGTTTTGAAATATAAGGACATGAAATTTGGAGGGGCCAGGGGCAGAATGATATAGTTTGGCTGTGTCCCTATTCAAATCTCAACTTGAATTATGTCTCCCAGAATTCCCATGTGTTGTGGGAGGGACCCGGGGGAGGTAATGGAATCATGAGGGCTTGTCTTTCCCATGCTATTCTCGTGATAGCGAATAAGTCTCATGAGATCTGATGGGTTTATCAGGGGTTTCTGCTTTTGCTTCTTTCTCATTTTCTTTTGTTGCCATGATGTAAGCAGTGTCTTTCACCTGCCATGATTCTGAGGCCTCCCGAGCCGTGTGGAACTGTAAGTCCAATTAAACCTCTTTTTCTTCCCAGTCTTGGGTATGTCTTTATCAGCAGCATGAAAACGGACTAATACACTGTTCTTGTCTATTATTTTTTATTAACCTTAAACACCACTTTTCTCCTCTTAGATCACAGGGATTCCAGAATACAGCCATGTTACAGCTCTTGAATTTGTATCTACCCCATTGAAGAGACTAGCCTAGACTGAACAAGAATCTCTCAGCCTCATTTCCACATTCTCCAAAGAAAGGTCCAGGCAACTGTGACTTAGGGGCAGACAGGGTCATGTTGTATAAGTGTGGCTTGTGGAGCTAGTGGGCTGAGGAATTCAGAGGACCTTGGGTAGCTTTGCAGACACCTATCATTAGCCTGACTTTGGGGTGGGTGGAACAGGCTGTCTTTATCAGGTAAGCTCTATTGCACTTTCTTCCTTAGAATATCCTATCTGGGTTCAATTCATTTTGGTCAACGATTTTATAAGAATACCTAGAAGAGAGCAAATGTTTGCAGGACTAATGGAATTCCAAGGAAATAGGACTATATGGGAAACTTTGAAACTGACTCTAACACCTGAACTTTGGATATCGTGGCAATTTTTATTTTATTTTTATTTTTTCTTTATTTTATTTCATTTATTTATTTTTAAATTATGCTTTAAGTTCTAGGGTACATGTGCACAACATTCAGGTTTGTTACATAGATATACATGTGCCATGTTGGTTTGCTGCACCCATTAACTTGTCATTTACATTAGGTATTCCTCCTAATGCTATCCCAACCCCTGTGCCCCACCCTATGATAGGCTCCCGTGTGTGATGTTCCCCGCCCTGTGTACAAGTGTTCTCATTATTCAGTTCCCACCTATGGGTGAGAACGTGTGGTGTTTGGTTTTCTGTCCTTGTGATAGTTTGCTCAGAATGATGGTTTCCAGCTTCATCCATGTCCCTGCAAAGGACATGAACTCATCATTTTTTATGGCTGCATAGTATTCCATGGTGTATATGTGCCACATTTTCTTAATCCAGTCTATCATTGATGGACATTTTGGTTGGTTCCAAGTTTTTGCTATTGTGAATAGTGCCGCAATAAACATATGTATGCATGTGTCTTTACAGTAGCATGATTTATAATCCTTTGGGTATATACCCAGTAATGGGATCACTAGGTCAAATGGTATTTCTAGATGTAGATCCTTGAGGAATTGCCACACTGTGTTCCACAATGGTTGAACTAGTTTACACTCCCACCAACAGTGTAAAAGCATTCCTATTTCTCCACATCCTCTCCAGCATCTGTTGTTTCCTGACTTTTTAATGATCACAATTTTAACTGGTGTGAGATGGTATTTCACTGTGGTTTTGATTTGCATTTCTCTGATGACCAGTGATGATGAGCATTTTTTCATATGTCTGTTGGCTGCATAAATGTCTTCTTTTGAGAAGTTCTTTGCCCACTTTTTGATGGGGTTGTTTTTTTTTTCCTTATAAATTTGTTTAAGTTCTTTGTAGATTCTTGATATTAGCCCTTTGTCAGATGGGTAGATTGCAAAAATGTTCTCCCATTCTGTAGGTTGCCTGTTCATTCCAAAGGTAGTTTCTTTTGCTGTGCAGAAGCTCTTTAGTTTAATTAGATCCCATTTGTCTATTTTGGCTTTTGTAGTGGCAATTTTTATTAAGGACATACCTCTTTGCTCTGTTTACCTTAATTCTTCTCCCTCCAGCTAGGGCTGCCACATTTTACGTGTGTCTAGGGTTATGTATTTTCCATGCAATGTTGAGGACACACTTACACTAAAAAATTATTTATTGTTTATCTGGAATTTCAATTTAACTGGTATCCAGTATTTTATCTGGTAACTGTATCCCCAGCCCCATTAATTATAAGTGGAGAGGAAGGTTTGAATAAATTGAAATATGTTAATCATACTTTTTGAGGTTCTAGTGTTTTGGCACCCCTCAATTAAACTAATGTGCTTGGAGCATTAAATTATAAATCACTTGTTGCCTTGGTGCATATTGCTGGAAGGCAGGAGTGGTGGTAATGCAAAAAAGGCAGTAATAATCAGAACTGAGACTGAACATTTCCATGTACCCATTTCTACCTAAAGCCTAAACAAACCAACCCTCAGAAACCTCACTTGGTTATGTCTAGTATTTTAACATCAGAGATTTATTCCCTTGACTGGAAGTTTTCTGTATCCTGGTAAGATGAACAAATTCCTAGAAAGAAGAGTAACAAGTGTCATCAGGCATTTCACAGCTTATCAGAGTCTCCCTATGAACAAATGGTACAGTTTCAATTGCTTTCTCCCCCACCCACAAACCAGTCAAAACTAACTGCTTTTCCTCCTACATTTCCATAAGTTTATTCATTTTACAAATCTATATTGAGCATGTGCTATGTTACTGAAGTTTTGCTAGGCACTAAGTAAAGAATAATGCCCAAGACATTCCTGCTTCAGCTCTGAGAGTCCTCAGCATTTTACATTATAGTGGGTATTTTTTGCCTACCCACAGGCCAAGGCCTTCTTGAACTGGAGACTCTGCTTTGCTCACCTCTGTACCCTTGGCTTCTAGCATAGCATCTCATACAGCTGCCAAATTGATACCTGGTGCTTGAAGAGTTTAAGACAAAGAGGTTCCAGAAAGTGTAACTGGATGGCCTGAAGATACTTTTTTTTTTTGCCTTGTTGGAAACAAGAGCTCAGAGTCACAAGAAAAAGGAGCACTCAAACAAAGGATTTCTCAGCAAGGCAAATTTACTTCTGCAGAAGGGTGCCACTCGCACTTCTGGCCGCTGTGAGGGCACACCAAACAAAGGAGGGAAGGGGTTTTTATGCCTAATGCAGTTAGTCCCTGCTTCTGTGTCCTGTCCCCATTGGCTGGAGTTGGACTGCACAATCTAAACTGACCTGATTGGCTACTGTTTAAAATTGAGTATGGCTAATTAGGCGAGAAGGGAGAGGCTGTCCTTTACAGTACAAGGCATGTTTGGGCATGTCAGGGTGTGGCAAATGTGGGAAGGGTGGTTTCGGTGGGAAAATCTCTTTTGGTGGGAGGGGCAGTTTACAGAATGGGTAGCTAGGAGTAAAAGAGGACTCTTTCCAAATAAGGAAGAGATGTGAGTTACAGATTGCGACTGGTGGGAGAAGTTGTTTACAGAGCAGGTAGCTTAGGAGAAGGGACAAGGAAGTTAATCTCAAAACAAAGAACAAGGGAGTCAGAAATTAAACCTTTGAAGAGGAACTTACTGTATCTGACAGCCCCATTCACGAATTCCTGATAGGTTGACCTTTTCCAGGGAGTTGGCTGCCAATCAATCCCAAATCTGAGCCCATAGTTCCTCTATGTGTTCAGGGAGATGCTGAATTTCCTTGCTTATAGTAGTGTTCTAGTGCTGTGGACAATAAAGTGTGTGTGCATGTGCATGTGGGTGGGGGGAGGTATACACTGTCAATGAAAAGAGTAAAACTCTATGAAATCTTTGAAGAGATTTATTCTGAGCCAGATATGAGTGAGCATGGCTCATGACACCACCCTCAGGAGGTCCTGTGACCAAGGTGGTTGGGGTGTAGCTTGGTTGCATTTTAGGGAGACAGGAGATTTCAGTCAAATACACTTAAGATGTACATTGGTTCAGTCCAGAAAGGCAGGACAACTCAGAGGTAGGGGGACTTTCAGGTTATAGGTAGATTTAAGATTTTCTGGTTGACAATTGGTTGAGTTTAAAGACCTGGGTTCAATAGAAAGGAATTGTCTGGGTTGTGATAAGAGATTGTAGAAACCAAAGTTTTATCATGCAGATGAAGCCTCCAGGTAGCAGGCTTTAGAGAGAATAGATGGTAAATGCTTCTTATCAGACTTAAGGTCTGTGTTGATTTTAATGTAGGAGAGGTATAATGAAGTCTGTCTGACCCATACTTCCTGTCATGGCCTGAACCAGTCTCTCAGGTTAAATTTTAAGAGTGCCCTGGCCAAAGAGGAAGTCCATTCAGATGGTTGTGGGGCCTTAGAAGTTTATTTTTGGTTTACAACAGAAGCAAAGTGAAGAGTTTCTAGGGGGAAAAAGCGATTATTTTCAATGCAAGATTTGGACTTCTGTTTTCTATGGCCCAGAAGCTATCTATCTCAGAAAGTATCTGGGGACTGAGACATGGCTTGGAGTGGCATTTTGCCAAGTATTGCATTTGCTTTAACACAGGAAAAGGCATTTCACCCTTTCCAAAGGTGTTGATGGCCTCTCTGATTTCCAAGGAGAGTTCTGCACACTTGTGATAGTTTGACTCCTTCCCTCGAGATACTCCCGTCTCCATCAAAGCATCAAAACTTCCAGAGCTGGAGGGACTTTGGACAACAGAAAGGCTACCCCTTTTATTTAGCTGATCAGGTTAAAAGGGTTTAGAGGGGTGAAGTTACTTGCCTGAGGCCACATAGGAAATTAATTATTTGATTCTTAGTTCACTACTTCGTCATCTCCAGCAATAGTTCATAAACTGTTAAATTGTTTTTCTAGGTAACACAATCCTTTTTTTCAGATCAATCATATGAGAAATACATATATGCACATTCCTATGCATAGACACATGGGTATACACATGTGAGCACATACATGCAGATAAATAAGGAAGGAGCAGCTCTGACCAAAGTAGGGGTAGTCGCCAGGTCTACCCTTGGTTTTCCTTTCACCCACTTTGGAATTTTCCACAGAATCATGGGGTATGGCCCAATTAGATAACCACTTCATCACCCCATATTGTATCTTAAATCTGACCCTGTAACTTTTTTCACAAGAAATCTAATAGATTTCTGGCCATCATCATTCTAATATGTGAGAGTATACCAGGCTTGTTCCCTTTTGTCTCTAAAGCAACTCAGAAATCTGGTGCGGGGGAGAAACTACAGACAGGAAGATGTCTAATACAGTTTGGGAACCAAGAGGGTGATGGGAAAAACTGTCATCCCCCAGCCTAGCTGCAGGATGGAGAGAGCTCGATCAGTGTCTCTGCACCCACCCACTGCTTTTCAGCAGGAGCACAATCTAGTTTTCTTCCTCCGTGTTTTGTGTTTTTACACTTAGATTTATGAAAGATAGAATCATCAAGTGCATTTTAATATAAAAAGATTTTCCCCCAAAAGTACAAATCAAATACAAGTATTTCTACCGCTTGTTAGTGATAAGGAAGAGGGAGGAAGACTCAAGATGCTTGCAATGTTGAAAGCTTTTAGAGTATCTTTCCCATGAGTGTGGGACATAGCACTATGTATTGGATGATTACATCTGTGGACAGACTCCTTTATCATCCATAGACTTGGGCAGAAATTTCACATTTTCTTTGCAATTTCCTAGATCCTGTCTAATCCAACAAAGATGGTGGGTCCCCTTGACTTCAGACATTGAACTTTTCAGTCTGTTAAAAAGTAAGTTACTATTATGTAAATGACTATCAGTATAATAGAATCAGAGAGAGGGAGAAAGATGCTTCTTGGAAGACATTGTTTATGTCCTCCCCAGGCTCTGAGCCTTTCCTATTAAGCTAACAGATGGGCTCATCTTGCTTTTCAGCCTTCCCCTGGGGTTGGTATCTGAAGAATTTTTATGGTTATAAGAGATATTTACATGTTTAAAGGGAATGTCCCTTTAGCTAAAATGCAATGGAAGGGGCATAAGTGTAGCACAGCTCTCAGTCTGTGATGGAGAGTTGGTAAGGCCATCCAAAGCATTTTTGCATTTAGATTCTGCCTTTGTCCTTGAGGTTTTCTCAGATGATGCCAAGAATTTTTAGGCAACCACTTTAAAAATAAAAACAATTGCCTTTTAAATACACACAACTCTAATCCTAAGGCAAGAGCAATTGTTTGCCACCAGGAATCTTTTCTCCTGTAAGATCTCTGCTTTACAGTGCCATTGTATCTGTTGATTTAAGGTTGGCTTTCTTTTAACATATGATACATATTTGTGGTTCTAACCTCATGACCAAAAAAAGCAAAAATATTTCTGCAAATGTTTCTTGAATCACAGATGAGTTGTTAATTTTTATTTTCTGAGTAACAAAAAGAGAATATTCTATTGCGACTGAAGAAACTCTAGTAACAGCAAATTCTACTTTATTTAGCATCTTTAGAACTTGTGTGCAATGAATAATTAAATAGCAACATCTTGAAGATACGTTCATTCAATTGCAAGTGTTCATTAGTTGTGTTCCTTTCCTTGCTACAGCCCTGCAACCTTTGTCTACCTCTTTTACTTGTGCAGGAGGCTCAGTTCTGCTCCACCGACTGCAGACAGTTCATGTGAGCATTCAGAATTTCACATTTCTGCTGATCACTGTTGTAAATAGGACTTCTGGATATATTGCGGTACTCAGTGATGACCTTATGATCTCTGTCCATGTGTTCTGGCTGAGTACCCAAATTCTTAAGAGAGTTGGTAAATTCTATTGCCTTCCTTGTGTGATCATTGAAGTAAGTGCTCCCACTCTCACCCTCCACAGACTTCTGAACTAGGGACAATACATCTCCAAGTTCCTGCAGTGAGACCTGCAGGAGAAAGTGGCAGAAAAAAAGTCCAGTTCTTGGCCCAACTGATATAGACAGGAGGCAAGGAAATGCTGGGTAGAAGAGAGGAGTTCCCTGGCAAAGGCCCCACTCTCAAGACTGGAAACCCCTGGCCCTAAATGGGAACAGGCATTCCTGTTTATGTGCCCAAATGTTGTCTTTTCCAAGACCACTGTGGCCCACCATGACCCTATCCTGTGCCTATATAAACCCCAAACTCCACTGCAGAGCAGCACAGCAGAGAAGAGAAGAGAAGGAGTGTCTGAACATCAAGAGGAGTTTGGCTGGGGATGGTTGGAGAGGAGACTGGCCATGGGATGACCAACTCCAGGGGAAGATCATTTTCCCACTCCATCCCCTTTCCAGCTCCCCATCCATCCCACTGGGAGCCACCCCATCACTCAATAAAATACCCACATTCACCATCCTTCATTTGTGCGACCTGATTTTTCCTGGGTGCTGGACAAGGACCTTGGTACCAATAGGGCAGTGTGTAAAAGGGTGTTACCCTGACTCTCCACTGAGCTGGTGTAACACTTAGCCATCTAAGGATGACAATTTCTAAAAGAGCATTAATTGTAACACACCCCTGGATGCTACCATGTGGCTGGAGCCCAAAAGTGCTCACCCTGGCTCCTGCACCCGCCCCTCTCCCATAAGTGGTTTGAGCCTACAACCATTGAGCAAATGAGCAGCACCCCTGTTGCAAGTCCCATGAGGGGGTCAGGGAACTCTACATTTCACAACTTTTTGTTACTGAATTTCACTTTTCCCACCTCCCTCTCTGTAACAGTTGCTTTTCCTCCATTCTCACACTCATCCCAAATCCTGTGTCTGTGTGCACGTGTTCTTTCCTGCTTGTGTTAAAAAAATCATATAGTAGGCTTGAGACTACTATTCTTAGAATAGCTTGCTTGCAAGGTTAACTCTTGTCTGGTGTCTGGGAACTTGTTTAAAGGGAATGTCCCTTTAGCTAAAATGCAAAGGAAGGGGCATAAGTGTAGTTCTCATCATTTACTGATTCCTTCCCTGTGCCTAAATTGTTTATGCAAACAATGTGGTTTATGCTGCACACTTGCTTTCCCTCTGGGAGCCTGGAATTTTGGTCTGTGCCAAGTAGAGGGTACCTACATGAGCAGCTCCTAATAAGAACCCTGGGTGATGAGTCTCTAGTGAGCTTCCCTAGTAGAGAGCCTTTGACATATATTATCACAATTTGATACTGGAGGAATTAAGCATAGAGGAGATGTGGCTCCACTGGGAGAGGACTCTTGGAAGCATGTTCCTGGTTTCTTCTGGACTTTGCCCATGTGCCTTTTTCCTTTGCTGATTTTGATTTGTATATTTTCAGCATAATATATCATGACTTTGAGTACTAAATCTTCTGACCAAACCTGGGATGGTCTTGGAGACCTCTGTTACTTCAAACATACTGCTTCCTCAGCTTGAGGCTTCTGACTTTCCAGTTGGGCATCTGTCTATGCATTAAGGATGTTCTGACAGTTGTCGAGAGGCAAGATCTCACTGCAGGTCATATGGCAGAAGCATTGCCCTCATTTCACTCCTTTTGCTTATTTTTCTTTACTGAAGTGTGATTTACATAAGAGATGTTTGGAATCTCTTGTTTAATTTTTGCACTGTATCTCTACAAAACCAGTACCCATTGGGCAGGTGTTGATGAGGGTGATGTACCAAAGCTAAATCCTGAGGCCTGTAGCTGGAATTGCAGTACAGGCCAAATGAGGTATGTTTGCAACAGGTTGAGAGAGTCCCCATGATGGTTAATTTTATGTGTCAACTTGCCTAGGCAACAGGGTGCCCAGATATTTGGTTAGACATGATTCTGGGTTTGTCTGTGAGGGCGTTTCTGGAAGAGATTACCATTTGAATGGGTATACTGAGTAAAGCAGATTGCTCTTCCTAATGTAAGTGGCCCTCATCCAATCAATTGAAAGTCTGAATAGAACAAAAGTTTGACCTTTGATATGGTTTGGTTGTGTCCCCACCCAAATCTCAACTTGAATTGTATCTCCCAGAATTCCCACGTGTTGTGGGAGGGACCCAGGGGGAGGTAATGGAATCATGAGGGCCAGTCTTTCCCATGCTATTCTCATGACAGTGAATAAGTCTCATAAGATCTGATGGCTTTTGGAGTTTCTGCTTCTGCTTCTTTCTCATTTTCTCTTGCTGTCACCATGTAAGAAGTGCCCTTCACCTCTCACCACGATTCTGAGGCCTCCCCAGCCATGTGGAAGTGTAAGTCCAATTAAACCTCTTTTTCTCCCCGGTCTTGGGTATGTCTTCATCAGTAGCATGAAAACAGACTAATACAGTAAGTTGGTACCAGGAGTGGGGTGTTGCTAAAAAGATACCTGAAAATGTGGAAGCAACTTTGGAACTGGTTAACAGGCAGAAATTGGAACAGTTTGAAGGGCTCAGAGGAAGATAGGAAAATGTGGAAAAGTTTGGAACTTCTTAGAGACTTGTTGAATAGCTTTGCCCAAAATGCTGATAGCAATATTCTCCCAATTTCTCCATTGGGAACTGGAGCAAAGGTGACTTTTGTTATGTTTTAGCAAAGAGACTGGTGGCATTTTGCCCCTGCCCTAGACAATTATGGAACTTTCAGCTTGAGAGGGATGATTGAGGGTTTCTGGTGGAATAAATTTCTAAGCAGCAAAATATTCAAGAGGTAACTTGGGTGCTATTGAAGGCATTCAGTTTTATAAGGGAAGCAGAGCATATATGTTTGGAAAATTTGCAGCCTGAATATGCAATAGAAAAGAAAAACCCATTTTCTGGGAAGAAATTCAAGCCAGCTGCAGAAATTTGCACAAATAGCCAGGAGCCTAATGTTAGTCCATGGGGAAAATGTCTCCAGACCATGTCAGAGACCTTCATGGCAGCCCCTCCCATCACATTTTCGGAGGCCTAGGATGAAAAAGTGGTTTTGTGGACTGGGCCCAGGGTCCCCATGCTGTGTGCAGCCTGGAGATGTGGTGCCCTGTGTCCTAGCTGCTCCAGCTATTGCCAAAAGGGGCCAATGTATAGCTTAGGCTGTGGCTTCAGAGGGTGGAAGCCCCAAGCCTTGGCAGCTTCCACATGGTGTTGAGCCTGTGGGTACACAGAAGTCAAGAACTGAGGTTTGGGAACCTCTGCCTAGATTTCAGAAGATGTATGGAAACGCTTGGATGCCCAGGCAAAAATTTGCTGCAGGGGCAGGGCCCTCATGGAGAACCTCTGCTAGGGTAGTGTGGAAGGAAAATGTGGGGTTGGAGCCCCCATACAGAGTCCCTACTGGGGCACTGCCTACTGGGAGCTGTGAGAACAGGGCCACTGTCCTCCAGGCCCCAGAATGGTAGATCCACCGACAGTTTGCACTGTGAACCTAGAAAAGACACAGACACTCAACACCCGCCCATGAAAGCCGCCAGGAGGGAGGTTTACCCTACAAAGCCACAGGGGTGGAGCTGCCCAAGACCATGGGAACCCACCTCTTGAATCAGTGTAAACTGGATGTGAGAACTGGAGTCAAAGGAGATCATTTTAGAGCTGTAAAATTTGACTGCCTTGCTGGATTTCGGACTTGCATGGGCCCTGTAACCCCTTTGTTTTGGCCAATTTCTCCCATTTGTAATGGCTGTATTTACCCAATACCTACCTGTACCCCCATTGTATCTAGGAAGTAACTAGCTTGCTTTTGATTTTACAGGCTCATAGGCAGAAGGGACTTGTCTCAGATGAGACTTTGGACTGTGGACTTTTGGGTTAATGCTGAAATGAGTTAAGACTTTGGGGGACTGTTGGGAAGGCATGATTGGTTTTGAAATGTGAGTACATGAGATTTGGAGGGGCCAAGGGCAGAATGATATGGTTTGACTGTGTCCCCATTCAAATCTTAACTTGAATTGTATCTCCCATAATTCCCACATGTTTTGGGAGGGACCCAGGGAGAGGTAGTGGACCTATGGGGGCTGGTCTTTCCCATGCTATTCTAGTGATAGTGAATAAGTCTCACGAAGTCTGATGGGTTTACTGGGGGTTTCTGCTTTTGCTTCTTCCTCATTTTCTCTTGCTGCTGCATTGTAAGAAGTCCCTTTCACCTCCTGCCATGATTCTGAGACCTCCCCAGCCATGTGGAACTGTAAGTCCAATTAAACCTGTTTTTCTTCCCAGTCTTGGGTATGTCTTTATCAGCAGCATGAAAATGGACTAATACACTGCTCTTGTTCATTTTTTTTTTTTTTTTTTTTTTTGAGACAGTCTTGCTCTGTCGCCAGGCTGGAGTGCAGTAGCGTGATCTCGGCTCACTGCAACTTCTGCCTCCCAGGTTCAAACGATTCTCCTGCCTCAGCCTCCTGAGTAGCTGGGACTAGAGGTGCGTGCCAGCATGCCCAGCTAATTTTTGTATTTTTAGTAGAGATGGGGTTTCACCATGTTGGCCAGGATAGTCTCAATCTCTTCACCTCGTGATCCGCCCACCTTGGCCTCCCAAAGTGCTGGGATTACAGGCATGAGCCACCGCACCCGGCCGTCTCTTATTTTTTATTAACCCTGAGCACCAGCTTTCTCTTTTTCTTAGATCACAGGGATGCCAGAATACAGCCATGTTACAGCTTTTGAATTTGTATCTACCCCATTTAGGAGACTAGCCTAGACTGAACAAGAATCTCTCAGCCTCACTTCCATGTTCCCCAAAGAAAGGGCCAGACAACTGTGACTTAAGGGCAGGGTCATGTTGTATAAATATGGCTTGTGGAGCTGGTGGGCTGAGGAATTCAGAGGACCTTGGGGAGCTTTGCAGACACTATGAAGGGGTCCACAATTACTATAATCAGCCTGGCTTTGGAGTGGGTAGAACAGGCTGTCTTTATCAGTAAGCTCTATTGTGCTTTCTTCCTTAGAATATCCTATCTGGGCTCAATTCATTTTTGTCAAGGATTTCACAAGGCTACCTAGAAGAGAACTATAGATGTAGCCTACCCTTATTTATCTTTCATAAATGTTGGCACAATGCTTCAGCTGTCATTGGTGAAGACATTGGGAGACAATGTGCTTATGAGTGTTGTGCAATGTATTCTAAAGAAAAATGTTTGAGAAAGAAAAAGTTACATGATAGTATGGAAATGTACATCAATACCACCCTCTGGAAAGGCTTATCCCTGCCTTTCTGTCTGCTTTTTCCTTAGTCTTCTCCCTGCATTTTCCCTTCCATATTGTTGCTTACACTTCTCTCTGGTTCTCAAGCTTTAGGGCGCATGTACATGGGAAGCTTACTGAAGTACAGATTTCCAGGCTAAGACTGGACATTTTTTCCGGAAATCCTCTCAGGATTTCTGACTCAGGAAGTATAAGATGAGGCCTACTGATCTGGATTTTTAATAAGATCCCAAGTGATTCTGAAGTGTCTGTCCCAGGACCACACTCTCTGATCTCCCTGCCTCCAAGTCTAGCCAAACACGTCTACAAACAAGTCTAGCCATTGGACTTGGCATGGGAAATCAGGGATGGACCGTGGGTGGCATCTAAACCTTGACTTGTGGAAAATCAGAGCGGTTCCTCTGGATTTCTTTTGATTTTGAGAAATCAGCTGAGCAATGTAGATAATATTCCTGGGGCCTAGGTGGTTCATTCATTCATTTTGACTATTGTCTCCCGAGAAGCAGGACTGAAGCAAAAAATTAGAAGGCTTTGTCTCTAAGACTTAACAGTTACTGGATGAACTCTAATCCCACTCTGGGTGATGAGGGATAAAATAAATAGACCTCAAAAGTAGATAAGCAACAATTCAGGCCTCTTTGTTAATATCACCAGATGAGAAAACATTTAAAATTGATGAAAATGAAATGGAAATCCCAAGAAGGGAGAACAGTATGTGCAGGTAGCAAGGGAGTAAGGATTGAGAGAAGCCAATTTTTTCAATGTTGCTGATTTAATGTGCAAGATTTTTAAACAGAGAGATATCAAACTGTCTCTGGCATCAAAATTAATGAGCAAGATATTTCATGTACCGAGGGCATTTTGTGGCTACCCCCTGTGGCATTTGCTTTGTCAGGAATTCCACTATTGGAATTCTTGGCATAAAAAAAGTACCATCTCACGGAGACATTAAACAATTAGCTCAAGAGAAAAAGAATGGGCCGGGCGCGGTGGCTCACGTCTGTAATCCCAGCACTTTGGGAGGCCGAGGCGGGCAGATCACGAGGTCAGGAATCGAGACCATTCTGGCTAACACGGTGAAAGCCCGTCTCTACTAAAAATACAAAAAATTAGCCGGGTGTTGTGGCGGGCGCCTGTAGTCCCAGCTACTCGGGAGGCTGAGGCAGGAGAATGGTGTGAACCCGGGAGGCGGAGCTTGCAGTGAGCCGAGATCCCGCCACTGCACTCCAGCCTGGGTGACAGAGCGAGACTCCATCTCAAACAAAAAATAAAAATTAAAAAAAAAAGAGAAAAAGAATGTAGCCAAAAGAAAGTATTTATTATAACATTGACTCTTGATGTTTCCTGGAATAATCAAGCAAGAGGCCAGAAAGTGATTTTAGTGTTTATCATTCAAGTTCCCAGGCTTGAGTTTGCAAAGCTGGCACTCTGTAGTAATCTGTCCAACAGAAGTAAGAGGTAAGCTACAAATTCAAGCCAAAGATATTCAATTTTCTCTTAGCCACATTAAAGAAAGGAAAAGGAAATAGGAGAAGCTAATTAAAATATATTTTTTTATTTAGCCCAATATATAAAAATCATTTGAACATGTAATCAAAGTAAAAATTATTAATTTAAGCCTTTTGTTGTAGTAATTAAAATATATTTTATTTAGCCCAATATATAAAAATATAATTTCAACATGTAATCAAAGTAAAAATTATTAACTTAAGTCTTTTGTTGTACTAAGACTGAATACTTGTGTGGTTTTTTTTTTTTTAGAGTTTTAAAAGTTTTTTAATTTTTGTGGGTACATAGTAGGTGTATGTATTTATGGAGTACATAAGATATTTTGAAATAGGCACACAATAAGTAACAATCATGCCAGGGCAAATGGGATATCCATCTCCTCAAGCATTTATCCTTTGTGTTACAAACAATCCAATCATACTCTTTTAATTATTTTTAAATGTGTGATTAAATAATTTTTGACTGTAGTAACCCTGTTGTGCTAGCAAATACTAGCTAGGTCTTATTCATTCTTTCTAACTTTTTTGAACTCATTACTTATCCCTATTTCTCCCCACCCCACCACTACCCTTCCCAACCTCTGGTAACTATCTTTCTACTCTCTGTCTCCATGAGCTCAATTGTTTTGATTTTTAGTTCCCATAAATAAGCAAGAACATGTGATGTTTGTCTTTCTGTGTCTGGCTTATTTCACTTAACATAATGACCTCCAGTTCTATCCATGTTGTTGCAAATGACATGATCTCATTCTTTTTATGGCTGAATAGTACTCCATTGTGTATAAATACCACATTTTCTTTATCCATTAATCTATTGATGGACACTTAGGTTGCTTTCAAATCTTGGCTATTGTGAATAGTAACTGCAATAAACATGCGAGTGCAGATATCTCTTCGATATGCTAATTTCCCTTCTTTTGGGTTTATACCTAAAAGTGAGATTGCTGGATGATATGGTAGCTTTACTTTTAGTATTTTGGGGAACCTCCAAACTGTTTTCCATAGTGGTTGTACTAACTTGCATTCCCACTGACAGTGTTCAAGGGTTCCCTTTTCTCCACATCCTTGCCAGCATTCATTATTGCCTATATTTGGATAAAATCCATTTTAACTGGGGTAAGATGATATCTCATAGTAGTTTTGATTTGTATTTCTCTGATGATCACTGATGTTGAGCATTTTTTCATATGTCTGTTTACAATTTATATGTCTTCTTTTGATAAATGCCTATTCAGATCATTCATCCATTTGAAAATCAGATTCTTAGTTTTTTTCCTGTAGAGTTGTTTGAGCTCCTTATATATTCTGATTATTAATCCCTTGTCAGATGGGTAGTTTGTAAATATTTTATCCCATCCTGTGGGCTGTCTCTTGACTTTGTTGATTGTTTCCTTTGCTGTGCAGAAGCTTTTCAACTCGATGTAATCCCATTTGTCCATTTTTGCTTTGGTTGCCTGTGCTTATAGAGTATTACCCAAGAAATCTTTGCCCAATCCAATTTACAGGAGAGTTTCTAAAATGTTTTCCTGGAGTAGTTTCAGTTTGAGGTCTTAGATTTAAGTCTTTAATGCATTTTTACTTGATTCTTGCATATGGTGAGAGATAGAGATCTGGTTTCTTTCTTCTGCATATGGATATCCAGGTTACTCAGCACCATTTATTGAAGAGATTGTCCTTTCTCCAATGTATGCTCTTGGTATCTTTGTCAAAAATGAGTTCACTGTACATGTATGGATTTAATTCTGGGTTCTTTATTCTGCTCCACTGGCCTATATGTTTGTTTTTATGCCAGCAATACTGTACTATAGCTCTGTAGTATAATTTGAAGTCAGGTAATGTGATTCCTCCAGTTTTGCTCTTTTCACTTAGCTTTTGCTATTATGGGTCTTTTGTGGTTCCATATAACTTTTAGAATTTTTTTCTTAATTTTAGGATTTTTTTTTCTATTCCTGTGAAGAATGGCACTGGTATTTTGATAGGGATTGCATTAAATCTATAGATTGCTTTGGGTAGAATGAATATTTTCACAGTATTGATTCTTCCAATCCACAAACACAGAATATCTTTCCATTTTTTGTGTCCTTTTTAATTTCTTGCATCAATGCTTTATACCTTTTTTTGGAGATCTTTCACTTCTTAGTTATTTCCTAGGTATTTAATTTTATTTGTAGCTATTGTAAACGGGATTACCTTCTTAATTTCTTTTTCATATTATTCACTGTTGGCATGTAGACATGCTACTGATTTTTGTATGTTGATTTTGTATCCTGAAACTTTACTGAATTTGTTTATCAGTTCAAATAGTATTTTGGTGGAGTCTTTAGGTTTTTCCAAATATAAGATCATATCATCTGGAAACATGGATTGACTTATTCCTTTTCAATTTGAATATCTTTTGTTTCTTTCTCTTGTCTGATTGTTCTAGCTAGGACCTCCAGTACTGTATTGAATAACAGTGGTGAAAGTGGGCATCTTTGTCGTGTTTCCAGTCATAGAGGAAAGGCTTTTGGTTTTTTGCCATTAAGTATGATACTAACTATGGGTCTGTCATATGTGGCTTTTATTATGTTGAGGTATGTTCCTTCTATAACCAGTTGAGGGTTTTTATCATCAAGCGATGCTGAATTTTATCAAATACTTTTTTAGAATCAATTGATCAATTGAAGTGATTATATGGTTTTTGTTCTTCATTCTGTTGATATGATGTATCACATTGATTGACTTGCATATGTTGAACCGTCCTTTCATCCCTGGGATAAGTCCTGCTTGGTTATAATGAAGGATCTTTTTAATGTGTTGTTGAATTTGGTTTGCTAGTATGTTGTTGAGGATTTTTGTTTATTAATGTTCATCAGTGATATTGACCTGTAGTTTTTTTTTCTAGATTTTTTTTTTTTTTTTTTTTTTTTTGAGACAGAGTCTCGCTCCATCACCCAGGCTGGAGTGCAGTGGTGTAATCTCAGCTCACTGCAACCTCTACCTCCATGGCTCAAACAATTCTCATGCCTCAGCTTCCCGAGTAGCTGGGATTACAAGTGCTTGCCACCATGTCCGGCTAATTTTTTGTATTTTTTGTAGAGATGGGGTTTCACCATATTGGCCAGGCTGGTCTTGAACTCCTGACCTCAAGCAATCCACCCGTCTTGGCCTCCCAAAGTGCTGGGATTACAGGCATGAGCCACTGTGCCTAGCTCCTTTTTGAGGTGTCTTTGACTGGTTTTGGTATCAGGATAATATTGACCTCAGAAAATGAGTTTGGGTGTATTCTCTCCTCCTCTATTTTTGGAATATTTTGAGTAAGATTGGTATTAATTCTCTTTAAAGAATATGTTTGATAGAATTCAGCATTGAAGCTATTGGGTCCCAGGCTTTGCTTTGCTGGGAGACTTTCTATTACTGCTTCAATCTCATTAGTTATTACTGGTCTGTTTAGGTTTGGGATTTCTTCATGGTTCAAGCTTAGTAAGTTGCTTATGTCTAAACAAAGTCCTCTTTACTTTTCCCTTTGCTTTTTTCAAGCAGAAGAAGTCTCTCTCTGTAGCCACCACAGCTGGGAATGTTCTGGGTCTCACCTAAAGCCAGCACCTCTCAGAGTCTCACCCAAGGCGCATGGTATACTACCTGGGTATTGCTGCTGGTTATTCAGGAGCCAAGAGCTCTTTAGTCAGCAGGTGACTTCTGTTCAACCTTCAAGGCAGCAGGTTTCCTTCTGTTCCAGGGTGCATCTAGAAATGTTGTCTGGGACCTAGGGCTTGGAATGTGGACCTCTCACCTCTGACTGGTGCCCTATTCTACTGTGGCTGAGCTCGTATCTAAGATGCAAGAAAAAGTTCTCTTATTCTTCCCCCTCCTTTCTTCAAGCAGAAGGAAGGGGTCTCTTTTGGAGCTGCAAGCTGTGCTGCCTGGGCTTGGGAGAGGAGTGGGACAAGTACTCCTTTAGCTGCCATGGCCGGTGTTTCAGTAGGTCATGTGCCCCCAAAGTCCACTAGCTCTGAGCTCAGCTCAGCAACTAGGACTTGCCTAGGAGTTGCAGTCTTTGTGGCCTATACTGCCTTTGGAGTTTATTTAGGGCCATAGGGCCCTTTAGCCTGCAATGGTGAGGCTTACTGGAACTTAAGTTCCAACCACTGGAATGGGTGATTCCTCTTTGGCTAGGGCTGGTCTAAATGCTCCCTACATGGGTGAGTGTTGACTGAGTTCAGCCGAGTTTTGCTTTCTCCTCTGATGGGGCATTACTGAATTCAAAGCAAAGTCTCCCAGTCACTGCACTTTCCCACTCCCAAGTGCATGGATTCTCTCTCCACACCACACAGCTATTGTGAGGCGACTGGGGAGGGATGGTGTCAGCAATTCGACAGCCTTTTCTTCCTCTTCAGTGCATCTTTCAGTGATAGGAATCTAAAACTAGGTAAGGTGAGTGCTCACCTGATTTTTGGTTCTTATGAAGGTGTTGTTTATGTGTACATAGTTGTTAAATTTGATGCTCCTTTGGAGGGGACAATTGTTGGAGCCTTCTGTTAAGCCAACTAGCTCCCCACTTACTTTTTTTTTTTAATACTTATAACATATTTCAATTCAGACTCACCACATTTCAAGTGCTCAGTGGGCATTTGTGGCTAGTGATTAATGTATTAGACAGCACAGCTCTGTAGCCTATTTGCTCCTTCTGAGGTGTTTTAGTTGCAAAAGTGATGCTGCTGTGATTTATGATTCAATCAACCATGGTACCAGTTTGCATGGTAAGTGGACATGTTGCTGATAGCATAGATTTCTACTTTTTGCATGCATATCAAATTTCATTTAAATAGTTGAAGATAATCATCAGTTGATATTGCTATAATACTTAAATGTTCTTATATAATACATAATTCAGAAAAAGGGTTGTAGAAATGCAAATATCTTCTCAACAAACATTCAACGATTATTTATTAGTAGCCACTATGTGCCATTGCCTTTCTAGAAGCTGGTGATAGGGCAATGAACAAAACAGACATAGCTACTGGCCACATGGTGCTCATGTTCTTGGTGGGGAGGTAGACAATAAGTAAACAAATAAACATATTCCTTGTCAGGTGTGAAGTGCAATGAAGAAAAATAAAGTGAGGGGAACAGAGGATGCTGGGGTGAGACTTTACTTGTATATTCTAACATTTTCCAGTATTGATCTAGTTTTTCCTCTTTCCTCTGAGACACCTTTACCCCCACTTTTCATCTCTTTACTTCAGTGACAAATTACCTTTCCTCTGAAAGTCTAAAGCTTGTGGAATTATAGAAACTATTTTATTCTTTCTGGTGCAGACATTAACATGTCTAGGGAGAATTATCCAACTGAATTTTTGAAGTTCAAGGAAAAATCCTTTTGAAGTTTCTTGATTTCAGTTCTTGTCTCTGCTCATTGATAGAAATGGAAATAAAACTGGATTTTGGGAACTGTCCTCCATGACTTAAAAAAACAAACAAAGGAAAAAAAATTAGTTTACGTAAAGCCACATGCTAGCCACATTCCAGCTCTAAATAATAATTACTTATTGTGATTATTTTTCCCTTTCTGAGGTACTATCAGTATCTATATAATATTGATTCCTTTCTTTCATGCTTTTGACAATTGACTGAAATGCAACTCAGGGTATCTAAATTTTTTAAAAAGGCATTTATTAGCTCTCACAATTGTAAAATCTATAATTCACAGCTTTAGGCATAGCTGGATCCAGGTGCTGGAGTCACTGGGCATTCATGTTTCTTCTTTTCTTTTCTTTCTTTCTTTCTTTTTTTTTTTAGATGAAGTCTCCCAGGATGTCTCCCAGGATGCAGTGCCGTGGTGTGATCTTGGCTCACTGCAACCTCTGCCTCCCAGGTTCAAGAGATTCTCATGCCTCAGCCTCCCAAGTATCTGGGATTACAGGGGCATGCCACCACACCCAGCTAATTGTTGTATTTTTAGTAGAGACAGGGTTTCACCATGTTGGCCAGGCTGGTCTCGAATTCCTGACCTCAGGTGATCCATCTGCCTCGGCTTCCCAAAATGCTGGGATTACAGGTGTGAGACACCACACCTGGCCTGAGCATTCATGTTTCCCCATCTCTAGGACCTGATTTTCACCATATAGTTTTTTAACATTTTAAAATTAATTTTTAATTTAAAAATGTTTTGGGTACATAGTAGGTATATATGTTTATGGGTTACATGAGATATTTTGATTCAGGCATGTAATAATCACATGAGGGTTAATGGGATATCCATCTCCTCAAACATTTATCCTTTGTGTTATGAACAATCCAGTCATTCTTTTTAAATTATTTTAAAATGTGTGATTCAGTTAATTTTTTTTACTATAGTCAAATGTGACTATAGTCATCTTGTTGTGCTAGCAAATACTAGGTCTTATTCATTTTTCCAACTATTTTCTTTTTGTACTCATTAACTATCCCCACTTCCCCTAACCTCACCACTATCCTTCCCCACCTCTGGTAACCATTCTATCCTAGATAGAGAGTTACCATAGTTAACTCTCTATCCTCTGATAAATCTCTATCTCCAAGATCTCAATTGTTTTATTTTTAGCCCGCACAAATAAGTGAGAACATGTGGTGTTTGTCTTTCTGTGCCTGGCTTATTTCACTTAACGTAATGACCTCCAGTTCTATCCATGTTGTTGCAAATGACGTGATCTCATTCTTTTTTTTTTATGGCTGAATAGTGTTTAATTCTATATATATATCACATTTTCTTTATCCATTAATCTGTTGATGGACACTTAGGTTGCTTCCAAATCTTGGCTATTGTGAATAGTACTGCAATAAACATGGGAGTACAGATATCTTTTCGATATTTTGATTTCCTTTCTTTTGGGTGCATAGTAGGAGTGAGATTGCTGGGTTGTATGGCAGCTCTACTTTTAATATTTTGGGGGAAACCTCCAAACTGTTCTTCATAGTGGTTGTATGAATTTACATTCTCACCAACAGTGTGCAAGTGTTCCCTTTTCTCTACATCCTTGACAGCATTTGTTACTGCTTGTCTTTAAGTTAAAAGGCATTTTAACTGGGGTGAGATGATATCTCATTGTAGTTTTGATTTGCATTTCTCAGATGATCACTTACGTTGAGCACCTTTTCATATGCCTGTTTGCCATTTGTATGTCTTCTTTTGAGAAATGTCTATGCAGACCTTTTGTCCATTTTTAAGTTAGACTATTAGATTTTTCTTATATTTTAATAGAATTGTTTGAGCTCCTTATACGTTTTGCTGCATTGGTTTATTCCCAGGCAATGTAGCAAGATTCCAGGTGCCTTTCAGTGGCCTTGCTTGGGTTATTTTGTCTATTTATAGAGCATTTAATGTACGATTTGCATATCTTGGGTCATATATTCACCTTCTGAGCTCTGGTAGAATTAGCCCATAATTAACTCATAATCTAGAATAGAGGTGGGATGTTGTTATCAGAAAAAAGCAGAATAGATTCTGGGAATGGAAAAAAATAACATGTTCACTCCATGGCCCTAGCTATGACAGGTAGCATGATGTGGAGAAAGAGCCCTGTGTTCCAAGTCACAAGACCTATGTGTGGGTACTCTGTATTCTGTAAATTACTAAGAAGCTACTTTGTATTATTAAATGTCAGTGTCTTCACTTGTGGAATGGGGATAGTATTCTGTGCTCCACTTAATTTACATGGATGTTGGGAGAATAAATTTTGATCAAGGATGTGTTAGAGATTTGTATATCTTTGAGTACAGCACAGAAATCACTGGTTCTTTTATCAACGAATCCAGGAGACTAGATAAAAAAATTGCTTTCTGATCAAAGACTTTGAGTTATGGAAATTACAGCTATAAAGAGCCTACTTTTTAAGGACATTAAAGTAAGACTTTACTAGGATATAAAGTAGCTTCTATATATCAGGACATAGGAAGAAATAAAAGAATGCTTTTTCAGTATCTCTTCAACATCTCCCTTTTACTGTTTAGGAGCAATTATAGACCTGTTCTTCTCTTTGGCTTCAGGGTTGCTTAATTCCTGCCTGGGAAGGAAGTACATAAATAGGTAATACCGGATGAGCAAGAGATTCTGTTAGTTTGCATCTCAGTTGAAAGTATTCTAGATCTTTTGCATTAGTCTGGGTGCTCCAAGAAGCAAAAGCCAAGATGGGATTTAATTAGGAGAAGTGCTTGGAGAAATACTGGAGAGGGAAGCAGGAGAGGCTGGGAGATCTATCAGACTAACAGGCAAGTCAGGCTCCTAGTAAAGGAAGAAGGAAAGAAGGCCTGGTGGAAGCATCATAGACCAATGAGCAGTCGAAGGAAGCCTCACCAAGGCTATCAGGGAGTCTTGTGTCTCCATAATGGGCCTGCCACAGTATCTGTGTCACATTCGGGCAGCGGTTGGCGGAAGTCCACGGGAAACTTGGTGAATTTCATCAGTGGCCTTTGGTAAACAAAGTTCCCAGTAGCTGGAGATGTGCAAGATACATCGGCTTGGCTACCACATCTGTTGTTCATTTTCTTCACTTGTTTGTTCATTTGGTATATATTGAGCACCTAATGTGTGTCAGGCACTATTATGAGCACTGGAGATCTAGTTATAAATAAGACAGACAAAGGACCTGTGTTTCCAAAGCTTACATTCTAGTGGTCTGATTAGCAACATTCCAAATTGGCTACCCTGGGTTTTATGTTTGTCTCTTATAGAATTATAAATGATCTACTTTCTTGTTTGTGTATACTCCTTACCCCATATTCTCCACACTCAATTTTACATAGTTTGGTCTTAGGATCAAGACCATAACCAGAGAAATCATGTGGTTGGCTAGTCCTAAAGATTAAGGTTCAGGATTAATCCAGAGGAGCGTCAAAGCCCTCTACCCATCCGTTGGTCCTGCCTGAAAATTCCTCGTTAGCAAGTTATCTCATCACAGTTGGAAAGGATTGAAATTCCTTACCCTAGCATAAAAAGCCTTATTTGATTATACACCTGCTCTCCCCACACCCCCGTCATCTTGTTTGCTTTGTTTACCATGCTGCAACAACTTTGACTTTGTCTCTTTCCCGAACATAACAAGCTCATTCTCCCCTTAGGGAGAAGGACAATGTTTTATCTGTCTGGAATGCTCTTGGTTTGGCTGGTAGATTCTTGTTTCCAGACTCCATCTTAAATATTGCCTTCACAGAGAGACCTTTCCCGACCATCCAATAAAGTAACCACTTTTTATCTTCATGTCACATTATTCTAATTCTTGGCAATTTATCAGAATCTGGTATAGCTTTTCTTTCATTGTCTAGTGTCTTTGTCCACAACTAGAATGTAAGTTCCAAAAACACAGCAGAGCTGTTATCTATCTTTTTTTTTAATTTTTATTTTTAGATGGAGTCTTGCTTTGTCACCAGGTTGGAGTGTAGTGGTGCAATCTTGGCTCACTGCAACCTCTGCCTCCGGGGTTCAAGTGATTCTCCTGCCTCAGGCTCCCAAGTAGCTGGGATTACAGGTGCATGCCACCATGCCCAGCTAATTTTTGTATTTTTAGTAGAGATGGGGTTTCACCATGTTGGCCAGGATGGTCTCAATCTCTTGACCTTGTGAACCACCCACCTCGGCCTCCCAAAGTGCTGGGATTACAGGTGTGAGCCACCGCGCCCAGCCTGTTATCTGTCTTTTTGACCACTATATTTCTAATTTAGAGCCTAAAACAGTTCCATTACCACATAAGGGCATCAGTAATTTCTTCATAAATGAAGGGAAATGGGTGGCTAGAGTTCAATAGCTTCAGGACCACGGGAAGCTCCCACCAAGTTTTGTTTTGTTTTGCCTTTAGCATCCCAAACTTACATGAAAAGTATCAAATTCCTATCTTGTCGAGAGAAGGTGAGACCTTTGGGTGTGCTGGTTGGGTGGGATGATTCAAATATAGCAGCTGCTATATCGTTTTCCTGCTTGGGCTTGTCTTATCACTTATCATTGAACCACACTGAGATTTCCCTTACTAAGTCTAGCCATGTCTTTTGAGAATCCTATCTTAATGTAACTTTTTCTTTCCTATGTCTTGTGCAAAGGTACCTTTCTTTTCTTTAAGAAACCTACTAGTTATTGATGTCACCTGTATGCCAGGAATTGTTGTTAGTGTTAATTCAGAATTGAATAAACAGAGCCCTTGCTCTTGAGGGATTTGCTGTCCCCTAGGGAAGTGTGCTATCAAAGGAAAATGAAAGCCGCTGTGAGGATAGAGAGAATATTATGTGTGAGTAATAATTTCTCAATAGAGAAACATTTGATCTGAGTTTTAAAGAACTGACAGGAGTTTATAAAGTAGAACATATAAAAAAGGCATTCTAGAGAGAAAAGATAAAAAAGAGGCAGGGAAGTGTATGATGGATTCAGGAACAGGGTAGCTAGAATATATGGGGAGGTGGGAAGCAGAAGGAAATCAAGCCGAAGCGGTAAGATAAGGCTAGATTATAAGAGGTCCGCATACCATACAAATGATCTTGGATTTTATTCTGGAATAGTAGACCCCTTTAGAAGGGGGTTTGAGCAGGGGAGAAACAATTTCAGGTTGTTGGTGCTTTAAGAATATTGTGTTGCCAGAGATGAAGGAGGTAATGGACTAAAAAGGCTTTTAAAACAAAACTATCGTTCTATAGTAAGGGTGATTGTTATTCTCGTTGTTTCAAGTAAAACCCCTCTTAGGGGCTGTTCAGTGGGAATACCTATTTGGATCAGTTCAATTAAAAAACAGCCTTGGCCGGGCACAGTAGCTCATGCCTGTAATCCCAGCACTTTGGGAGGCTGAGGCAGGCGGATCACGGGGTCAGATCGAGACCATCCTGGCCAGCATGGTGAAACCCCGTCTCTACTAAAAATACAAAAAATTAGCTGGGCATGGTGACGTGCACATGTAGTCCCAGCTACTCTGGAGGCTGAGGCAGGAGAATCACTTGAACCCGGGAGGCGGAGGTTGCAGTGAGCCGAGATTGTGCCACTGCACTTCAGCCAGGAGACAGAGCAAGATTCCATCTCAAAAAACAAAACAAAACAAAACAACAAAAGACAACAGCCTTTTTCCTCCTGATACAAGTGATACAAGTTTGTAATGGAAAAAAATACAAATGAGCAATAAAAAAATTCACCCCAATCCCATCACTCAGATATAACTACAGTTAGAAATATGTATGTGTGTGTGTGTGTGTATGTTTGTTGCAGTTATTCTGTACGTATATTTTGTACATATTCTGTACATATGCTTTTTGCTTTACAATTTATCATAAACATCATTCTACATCATTTCAATCAATAAATATCTATTTTATTATTTTAATGGCTACTTACTCTACCATTGAATTGATGTACTCTAAAATCTTTAAGGACAATGTGAGTTTGTTGTAAAATTTATTCCTTCTTTGGTAAGAGAAATTCAGTGGAAAATGGGAAAGATCCATGGATTGTAAACGTTGGGCAAGGGAAATATTTTGAGATTTTCAAGGAGAGGATTAACATGGCTGGACACTAGCTCCACACAAAGTTTTAAACTTTGTGAAGCTTTTCAAAAAGCTTGTAGCCTTTTAGAATTGAGATAGGACTGGAGAGTGACCCTTGGGGTTTTCCCTGCATTCAGAGAACTCACATGGCTTAGTTGTTCTTATCTGCTGGCTGCCATGGCAGGGACTTGGCATCTAATGCCGAGCTTTTCTGACTCTGGCAAATATGACCATGGCCAAGAGTGCTTCTAGGCCCTGGGTTTCCAAATCCCCTAGCTATGAGTCTTTAGACCAGAGACTGCCAAGCTTTCTGTACCAGCTTTTGTCTCAGTAAAATATTGTGGAGCACACATCTTAAATGTGTGCATATTTATTTTAAGATTGCATTCAAATTTCACTGTACTAGATATTTGGTACATTATAAAACATACAGCAAACAGACATTTTAAAAGCATAAGAGCTGAAATAAAACATTTAAAAATAAATGTTTTTTGCTCTCAGTTAAATATTATTCACATAGCATGTAAAGTAGTTAAGCAGTATTAATATTTTAGGGAGATCAATGCAGTTGAGCTATGCTTGGTTTAAGACTTAGATATTTACAAATTCTTGTCCAAGTTCAGTTTATTTTTATACTTGCTTTTTAATGAGTATAAAAATAAAAAAGATACTGCACAGAAATATGTTAATCCATTGAGAAGAAAGGTATAATTGGATGTATTTTGTAAATCATAATGTTCATTTTAAAATTCCCTCCACCACTTTTACATACAGGTTTTAGTTGAAATTTGGTTAGTAAATTTCTATCTCATTAGAGGCTAATTAGTTGTTGCTTTCTCTTTAAAACTAGGTTAAAACCACTCAAATTCTTCATTTGGAAGATTTTTAAAATCCAGCTTACAAAGTGAAGTTTTATTCAGAACTCAATCTAGGCAATATACAATGAGAAAACATTCCCAATATCTCTTTTCAAAATGCCTTCTCTTTAGCATGAGGTTTTTTTTTTTTTTTTTTTTTTTTTTGAGACAGAGTCTCTCTCTGTCACCCAGGCTGGAGTGCAGTGGCGTGATCTCGGCTCACTGCAAGCTCCACCTCCCCAGTTCACGCCATTCTCCTGCCTCAGCCTCCTGAGTAGCTGGGACTACAGGTGCCCACTACCATGCCCGGCTAATTTTTTGTATTTTTAGTAGAGACGGGGTTTCACCATGTTAGCCAGGATGGTCTTGATCTCCTGACCTCGTGATCCGCCCGCTTCGGCCTCCCAGAGTGCTGGGATTACAGGCATGAGCCACCGCACCCGGCCTTTTTTTTTTTAAAGCAGCTAATTTTTAAAAATACATTTTGAAAATTTCACATTTACCTTGAAGGGTGAATTGTTTTGGTCATTGTTGAAAATATATATTGGGTAGTATAAACTGACAGCTAGTTGTCATCCCAGAAAATAGCAGATTGGCAAGATTCTAGTTTTTTAGACCTAAAATTTCGTGTTAAAAAAGAATAACTTTGATTTCAACAACTCTTTGGTATTTTCTCATAAAATAATTAGCTAATCTCGGTGTGGCACCAAAAATTTTCATGATTAGTTTCTGCTTCATTGCAGAATGTTATAAACATTCCAGTAAATGGAGCAAGATTGCTGATTAAAAGCAGCTACTGTGGGGCATTCATGGAGAGAAACAGAGGGGCGAATGAATACAGCACCTTCAAGTGAAATATCCAGGTACTCGCATTGGGACTGATCAGGGAAATGATTCAATCCATGGAGAACAAAGAAAAGCAGGGCAGGGTGACAACCCACCCAGGAGAGACAGAGAGCCAAGGGAACCCCCATTCCCAGCCAAGGGGAATGGTGAGTGAATGTGTGACCTTGGGAAACCCCACTTCTTCCATGGATCTTTGCATGGATATTTGCAACCCTAGGATCAGGAGATCCCCTCATGAGCCCACTCCACCAGGGCCTTGGGTCTAACACACAGAACTATGTGGAGTCTCCACAGAGCAGCTGCTTAGGCATGCACAGAGACCCAGGAGCTTTACATATTCCGGCCCGGAATCTCTGATAAAGGTGACTGCAACTCAGGCAAGGTGGGAGGTCTGTACATACCCCTAGGAAAGGGCCTGAAGCTGGGGGCCAAGCAGCCTTGGTCTGTGGGCCCCACTTCCACCAGCACCTCACAAGATAAAACCCATTGGCCTGGAATTCTAGCCAGTCATTGGCAATAGGGTGAGCCTGTGTGAGATGGGATGGATCCCCCAGGGGGAGGGGAGGGCCACCATCTTTGCTGTTTGGACGACTAGGCTATTCCAGCTTGTGGGCCTTGGATAGTCCAGATAGCCCGGATAAGGAAGGAATGCCCCCCTCTACTTCCCGTGCAACACAACTGCTTTACCAAAATGTGGCTAGACTTCTTCTTTAACTGGGACCCTGATCCATTCCTCCTCACTGGGCAGGACCTCCCAGCCAGGGCCTCCAGCCACCCCTGCCTGCTTTGTCCCTGGGACAGAGGGAGTGCCAGGCAGGACAGGTAGGCTGCCACCTTTGTTGTTTGGATGACTCAGCCATTCCAGCCTGCTGGCTTTGAAGAGTCCAAACAGTCCAGACAAGGAGGGGACCCCCTAGCACAGCACAGCTGCTTTGCCAAAATGTGGCCAGACTGCTTCTTTAAGTGGAAGCCTGATCCATTTCTCCTTACTGGGCAGGACCTCCCAGCCAGGGCCTCCAGCTACCTCCAGCTCTGATCTTTCTGGGACGAAGTGTCTAGGGTGAGGGGGCAAGGCGCTACCTTTGTTTTTGGATTACTTGGCTGTTCTAGACTGTGGGCTTTGGAGAGTCTAAGCCAACCAGGGCAGAGGTAGTTTCCCAGCACCGTGAGGCTGTTTTGTCAAGGTGTGGCCAGACCACTTCTTTAAATGGGACTCCATTCCATTCCTCCTTGCTGGGTTTGTCCTCCCAGCCAGGACCTCTAGCCACCCCTACCTGTGTTCTACAGCTGACAGAATTCTAATTTCTCCCTGGGATGGAGTGCCAGGGGAGCGGGGTGGGCTGCTACCTTTGCTATTTGGGTGTCTCAGCTAGTCCAGCCTGTGGGCCTTGGAGAGCCGAAACTGATTGAGGGTGGGGAGGGGGCTGAAGTGATCCCCAACAGCATGGCTGCTCTACCAAAATGCAGCCAGACTGCTTCTTTAAGCGGGTCCCTGATCCCGTTCCTCCTAACAGGGTGAGACCTCCCAACTGGGGTCTCCAGCCACCTCCTACAGGTACATTTGGGCTGGCAACAAGTCAGTACTCCCCAGCCACTACAAAAACACACTGAAGTACACAGACAATGACACTATGAAGCAATCACATAAACAAGTCTGCAAAATAACCAGCTAGCATCATGATGATAGGATCAAATCCACACATAACAATAGTAACCTTAAATGTAAGAGTGCTAAATGCTCCAATTAAAGGACACAGAGTGGGGAGCTGGATAAAGAATCAAGACCCGTCAGTATGCTGTCTTTAAGAGACCTATCTCACACGCAAAGATACACATAGGCTCAAAATAAAGGGATGGAGAAAAATTTACATGCAAGTGGAAAACAGAAAAAAGAGGGGATGCAATCTTAGTTTCTGACAAAACAGACTTTAAACCAACAAAGATTTAAAAAAAAGACAAAGAAGGGCATTACCTAATGGTAAGGGGTTCAATTCAACAAGAAGAGCTAACTATCCTACATATATATGCACCCAATACAGAAGCACCCAGATTCATAAAGCAAATTCTTAGAGCCCTTCAAAGAAACTTAGACTCTAAAAAAAAGAGTGGGAAAATATAACACCCCACTGACAATATTACACGGATCATTAAGACAGAAAATTAACAAAGATATTCAGGACCTGAACTCAGCTCTGGATCAAGTGGATCTGATGGATACATCAGGACAGAAAATTAACAAAGATATTCAGGACCTGAACTCAGCTCTGGATCAAGTGGAGCTGATGGATATCTGTTGCACTCTCCACCCAGAAACAACAGAATATACATTCTTCTTATCACCACATGACACTCTAAAATTGATCACATAGCCTCAGCAAAGGCAAAAGAAGTGAAATCATAACAAAAATTATCTTGAACCACAGTGCAATCAAATTAGAACTCAAGATTAAGAAATTCACTCACAGCCATACAACTACATGGAAATTGAACAGCCTGCCCTTGAATAATTTTTTGGTAAATCATGAAATTTATGAAATCAAGAAGTTCTTTGAAACTAATGAGAACAAAGAGGCAATGTACCAGAATCTCTGGGATGCAGTTAAAGCAGTGTTAAGAGGGAAAATTATAGCACCAAATGCCCAAATCAAAAAATCTAGAAACTCAAGTTAATAACCTAACATCACAACTAAAAGAACTAGAGAACCAAGAGCAAACAAACCCCAAAGCTAGCAGAAGACAAGAAATAACAGAGATAAGAGCTGAACTGAAGGGAGATAGAGACATGACAAGCCATTTAAATGATCAATGAATCCAGGAGCTGATTTTTGAGAAAATTAATAAAACAGACCACTAGCTAGACTAATAAAAAAGAAAAGAGTAAAGATTCAAATAAACACAATTGGAAATGATAAGGAGGATATCACCACTGACTCCACACAAATACAAACAACCATCAGAGAATATTATAAACACCTATATGCATATAAACTAGAAAATCTAGAAGAAATGGATAAATTCCTGGACACATACACCCTTCCAAGACTGAACCAGGAAGAAATTGAATCCCTGAAAAGACCAGTAGTGAGTTCTGAAATTCAGGCAGTAATAAATAGCTTAACAACCAATAAAACCCAGGACCAGATGGACTCATGGCTAAATTCTAGCAGAGGTACAAAAATGAGCTTGTACCACTCCTATTGAAACTATTCCAAAAACTTGAAAAGAAGGGACTCCTCTCTAACTCATTCTATGAGGCCAGCATCTTCTTGATACCAAAACCTGGCAGAGATACAACAAAAAAGAAAAGTTCAGGCCAATATTCTTGATGAACATTAATGCGAAAGTTCTCAACAAAATACTGGCAAACCAAATCCAGCAACACATCAAAAAGCTTATCCACCATGATCAAGTCGGCTGCATCCCCAGGATGCAAGGTTGGTTCAACATACACAAATCAATACATGTGATTCATCACATAAACAGAACTAACGACAAAACTCACATGTTTATCTCAATGTATGCAGAAAAGGCCTTTGATAAAATTCAACATCTCTTCATGTTAAAAGTCTCAGTAAACTAGGTATTGAAGGAAGATACCTTAAAATAATAAGAACCATCTATAACAAACTCATGGCCAATATCATACTGAATGGGCAAAAGTAGGGAGCATTTTCCTTGGAAACCAACCCAATACAAGGATGCCCTCTCTCACCACTCCTATTCAACACGGTATTGGAAGTTCTGGCCAGGGCAATCAGAGAAGAAAAAGAAATAAAGGGTATACAAATAGGAAGGGAGGGAGTCAACTCTCTTTGTTTGCAGATGACATAATCTTATATCTAGAAAACCCCATCATCTCACCCCAAACGCTTCTTAAGCTGACAGGCAACTTCAGCAAAGTCTCAGGTTACAAAATCAATATGCAAAAATTGCTAGCATTTCTATACACCAACAGGTAAGGCAAAAGCCAAATCATGAATGAACTCCTATTCACAATTGCTACAAAAAGAATAAAACACCTAGGAATACAGCTAACAAGAGAAGTGAAGGATCACTTCAAGGAGAACTACAAATCACTGCTCAAAGAAATCACAGATGACACAAACAAATGGAAAAATTTTGCATGTTCATGGATAGGAAGAGTCAATATTGTGAAAACGGCCATACTGCCCAAAGCAATTTATAGATTCAATGCATTTGCATTAAACTACCATTGACATTCTTCACAGAATTAGAAGAAACGATTTTAAAATTCATATGGAACCAAAAAAAGAGCCCGAATAGCCAAGGCAATCCTAAGTAAAAAGAACAAGTCTACAAAAAGGCATTATGGTACCTGAGTTCAAACTATACCACAGGGCTACAGTAACCAAAACAGCACAGTACTGGTACAAAGACAGACACATAGACCAGTGGAACAGAATAGAGAACCGAGAAATAAGACTGTACACATATCAGCATCTGATCTTTGACAAACCTGACAAGAACAAGCAATGGGGAAAGAATTCCCCATATAATGAATGGTGCTGGGAGAACTGGCTTGCCATATGCAGAAAATTGAAACTGGACTTCTTCCTTACACCATATACAAAAACTAACACAAGGTGGATTAAACACTTAAATGTAAAACTCAAAATTATAAAAACCCTAGAAGAAAACCTAGGCAATGCCATTCAGGATATAGGCATAGGCAAAGTTTTTGTGACAAAGACGCCAAAAGCAATTGCAACCAAAGCAAAAATTGACAAACGGGATCTAATTAAACTAAAGAGTTCCTGCACAGCAAAGGGAACTATTAACATTGTGAGCAGACAACTTACAGAATGGGAGAAAGTTTTTGCAATCTATGCATCTGACAAAGGTCTAATATTCAGCATCTTTAAGGAACTTAAACACATTTACAAGAAAAAAGCAAACAACTGCATTAAAAAGTGGGCAAAGGACATGAACAGACACTTCTCAAAAGAAGACATACATGTGGCCAATAAACATGGAAAAAAGCTCAACATCACTGATCATTAGAGGAATGCAAATCAAAACCACAATGAGATACCATCTCACATCAGTCAAAACGGCAATTATTAAAAAGTCAAAAAGTAACAGTTGCTGGAAAGGCTGCAGAGAAAAAGGTTTGTACACTATTGATGGGAGTGTAAATTTGTTCAACCATTGTGGAAGACAGTGTGGTGATTCCTCAAAGACTAAAGACAGAAATACCATTTGACCCAGCAATCTCAATACTGCATATATACTCAAAAGAATATAAATCATTCTGTTATAAAGACACGTGCATGTGTATGTTCATTGCAGCACTATTCACAATAGCAAATACTTGGGATCAACCTAAATACCCATCAGTGATAACCTGGGTAAAGAAAATGTAGTAGATATACACCACAGACTACTATGCAGCCATAAAAAGGAATAAGATCCTGTCCTTTGCAGGGACATGGATGGAGCTGGAGGCCATTATCCTCAGCAAACTAATGCAGGAACAGAAAACCAAATACCACATGTTCTCACTTATAAATGAGAGTTAAATGATGAGAACACAGGGACACATGGGAGGGAACAACACATACTGAAGCCTGTTGGAGGATGGTGGGTGAGAGGAGGGATAGGATCAGGAAGAATAGCTAGTGGATGCTGGGCTTAATACCTAGGTGATGGGATGATCTGTGTGGTAAACCACCATGGCACATGTTTATCTGTGTAACAAACCTACACATCCTGCACATGTACCCCTGAACTTAAAGGTTGGAAAAAAGGAGATTGTTGTATAATGCTGCTATATAGCAGTCAAAAATCAATTAATTAAATGTCAACTGCATCCCACTATGAAGAAAGAACATCCTACCATGTACCAGTCTTATTTCTTTAATAAATTAACAACTGTAGTGAAATCCTAAAGCATATAAGTTTCAATATATTGTAATATTCTAAAACCAAGCAAACAAGAGGGTCCACTGTCATCTCTAAACTGTGTTTAAAGCCATTCTTCTTTCAGGCCCATCATGTACAATAGGTAATAAGTGATCTCCTAACTGCAGGCTGATAGAACCAGTGCCAGCCTGCATGTTATGTAGAAGTAAACCTTAATTTCTTTCTCAACTTTAATATAAAATCAATATAAAAGAGGTTCTGGTTTATTTTCTTCCTGTACTCTAATACTGCACATCCATTGAGGTTCTTAGGCACTATCAAATGTCTTGTCTTTTCTGGGCCACTGTTCTGATTTTTAAAATGAAGGAAATGGGTAAGATTATATGTTTGAGACTTTCCTACTCTGACATTCTAGGATTCTTTTAGTTTTTTGACATAACAGGATCAACTAGCAAAAACTTGTGGTATTAGGACACTGGATGAATGAGTTTTGATGAGGCAAGTGGGTATAACAGAAGCACTATTGAATATAGATGTGCTATGCACAGTAGCCATAGGTGGGGAAGGGTGTTGGAGTAAGCAGTAAACATAAAGAAGTAAGGACAAGATGATCCTGGAGACACTGCTCTTGTTTCTGACCTTGGACAGGCTATTATTACTTCTGGGCCTCAGTGACCTCATAGTAAAATGGAGTGGAGAAGGGAAGTAGATCATCTTTTTATTTTATTTATTATTATTATTATTATTATTATTATTATTATTATTTGAGATGGAGTCTCGCTCTGTCACCCAGGCTGGAGTGCAGTGGCTTGATCTCAGCTCACTAACCACCACCTTCCAGGTTCAAGCAATTCTCCCACCTCAGCCTCCCAAGCAGCTAAGATTATAGGTGCTTGCCACCATGCCTGGCTAATTTTTGTATTTTTAGTAGAGATGGGGTTTCACCATCTTGGCCAGGCTGGTCTCAAACTCTTGACCTCAGGTGATCCGCCCGCCTCGGCCTCCCAAAGTGCTGGGATTACAGGCGTGAGCCACTGCGCCTGGCCTATTTTTATTTTTTATTTTTTTTATTACGCTTTAAGTTCTAGGGTACATGTGCACAACATGCAGGTTTGTTACATATGTATACATGTGCCGCGTTGGTGTGCTGCACCCATTAACTCATCATTTACATTAGGTATATCTCCCAATGCTATCCGTCCCCACTTCCCCCACCCCATGACAGGCCCCAGTGTGTGATGTTCCCCACCCTGTGTCCAAGTGTTCTCATTGTTCAATTCCCACCTATGAGTGAGAACATGCGGTATTTGGTTTTCTGTCCTTGTGATAGTTTGCTTAGAATGATGGTTTCCACCTTCATCCATGTCCCTACAAAGGACATGAACTCATCCTTTTTTATGGTTGCATAGTATTCCATGGTGTTCAGGTCTCTTTCAGCTGTAAAGGACCCCAAGTCTGTAGGGTAGTAGGAAGAATAGAGAATGCTACAGAAAAGGCATCCTTGACACTGGAGTCCAGGGTCCCCTTCCCGGTGCTGGTGAAGTGACCTTGATCAGGACTGTAGCTTCTTGGGCCTGGAGGACCTTTCCATAGTGGCAGCATATTGTGACTGGGAGGACAGCCTCCAGGTTTGAAATGCCCCAGCTCTGTCACTTATTACTGATGTGATAAGTTTTTTAGCCTATCCATGTCTCATTTTCATCATTTGCAAAATAGTGGCAATAACAGAACTTCCCTATTGAGGTTGCTGAGGGGATTAAAACTAAATAAAATGACACAAAATGAGGAGTTTAACACAGTGCCTGGCATATGGTACATGTTTAATAAAAAACTAATTGTCCCTATAGTTCTTATTATGCTTCCCTCCTTGTACCTGAAGGAAACCAGGAGGTTTTTTGGTTAACCCCAAACTCAGGCCTACCAAACAAAAACAATAACTTTGAACTAAATTTGCAGAAATAGAAAAGCCTTTTTCCTCACTAGGTCTGTCTTCAAGCCCCATGAGCCATCAATTCTTCCAGTTTATTTCTTCCAATTTTTTATGCCAGTCCTTAAATACTCCTTTTTCTTTCATCCCAGCAAATGCCACCTCTTTGCACTGAACAAATCTCAATGCCAAATACAACAAAGTATTTTCTTTTCTTTATTTCTAAAGAATAGATTGAAGCTGGGTTGAAGCAGAAATATTACTCTGTTAGAGCTTAGAATTTGCAAGTGTAAATCTCTTCCATAGCCAGGTGCATGAGGCCAAAAAGATAAGGGTGTTAGGAGGTGCATTTCCATGTTGGAAATATCCTGGGATTAATTTGAAATCACTTGTTAATAGCGTACTATTTCTTCACTCTCAGGCATGTTATTATTGCTCAGTTGGCCAACTTGATGTCTTAAAATCAAACTCTTGTTAAAAAAATGGGAGAAGGAATTAAATATTAACACTTCTAAATCACCCTCTAATAAATATATGAAATATTTTGGCTGCCTTTTTGGAAGATGAAAGGCTTTCTGTGAAAGAGGACAGTAACAGAGGACTTGAATTCAGGAGGTTGCTTCTGCAATGAGTGCAGTTGAGTTGTTCAGTTAGGAGTGGACTATGGAGATTGAGTAGGTGCCCAAGGTCACCAGCCTAGGGGAGAGGGCAACTTCAGAAAATCATCCAAAATGCTGTCTGAAAATATGTCAGAATAACTCTTCATGAATAAGCTTTGATTGGCCTATTTTGTTTTCTCTTTCTCAAATTGGCATATGCACACATTCAGGGGTATATGGTCCTGCGCCCAAGAGGCATGTGACATTGCAGAATAAATATGCCATATCCTGTGGTACCAGTCAGTTTTGGTACCCCCACCTTCTTTAAAGATTAAAATTAAAAAGATATAATTTGGAAGCTGTTTTGCAAATGCAGAGATCAGGAACACAGGGCTTATGATTAGGGAAAACTGCATGAAATCCTGGCTCTAACAGTTGTGAGCTTCAGCAAGTGACTTAACCTCTCTAAATCTCAATTTCACCATGAGTGGGATGAAGGTAATAATATCTACTTCACAGGATAATAATGAATACCAATGAAATTAAGTCTACCTCTTAGCACATGCCTAATATATGTAAGTGCTTCGCAAGTGGGGACTATTATAGGGGACACTTAACAGAGTTAATTTGGTTGCAATCAACTCAGTCCAGCTCAGCTAAGGATGGTTTATTGTAAAAATACAACAAGCAATCTCAAAGGCAACCAAAGAAGGAAATACATCCAGCTGGTTTTATAGGGGCTGACCTGGAAAGTCTAGAACCAGAGACTGCTTTGATATGCTTTTCTCTTTGCCTTTATTACATTGGTCTCTAAGTGTATATGTCAGTTAATTCACCTCTGCCACTTGGGATATTTTGTTGGAAAAGCTTGAAAGAATTTGAGTGTGCTCCTGACACTGGATACAAAGAAGAGCAATTATGTATTGTCAGAGCTGAAGAGTCTCAGATACCCATCTGGACCGTGGATGGCAGTGACATAGCACAGGGATACATTTCTCACTCCACTTATGCCCATGGCAGACATCACCAATCAACCATAATAGTGTTTTGTGCTGAGATCAGAGTTGGCTTCACAAGCTTTCTCAGCATTGCATGTCCAGGCTTTCAGACAGCCAATACCAAATGAAAGGAGAAGACTCATGAAATAAAACTGATCTTCCATTCTTCACCCAACCACTTTTTTTTAATAGATGAAGACTGAAGTTCAGAGAGAGAATGTGACTAGCCAAAGGTCATATGGCTGAGCTAGAATCAGAACCAAACATTCTTTAGTGTAGAGGATAAAACTATCCCATGAGAGAATCAGAATGCAACAAAAATACCAAGCTAGTGGGTGCTGGAAGACTTTGGGAAGGTGTTATAGCAAAGATTTGATCTATCTGGACATGAGAGGAATTGAATAAGTGGAAAGAAGAGAGATCAGTATTTATAATGGCATACAGGATTGTTGGGGAGAGACTGGGAAACCTGGGTCCTTGAGGTAAGATTCTTCTGTAAGCTGCCATAGAGAGGTGTCTGCAAAGCTGCTCTCCTGCCCTGGTATTTGCCACAGGAGCCATCATCATCACACTGTCTCTGCATAGAGGCAAAAAATGCCTTCCTACATAGGGCAGTAGCTGTCTATTGATGGCTGCTCTGATAACAATCTACCTGGCTTCTTATTACTAATTAGATTAATGATACTGACATTGCACAAGAGATTGATGGCTGCATTCAAAACAGTGTTTTCCATTTTTAAGCACCTTTTTTGCTACAAATAGAGACAACACTGACAGGAAGGCAGAGTTCCATCTGCATTTGGTGAATCATTTCAGAGAGAGGCACACATGCTTCTCTTCTCCCTTTAATTGGGACCAAGGCTACATGTTTTGTTGGCTTGTGATCTCCATTTGTGTATCTCATTGTGGTTCTGATTTTAAAAAGTCTGCATATTTGAGAAATTCTTCACTATTGCAAAGTTCTGTCTGAACCTATTAATTGGGATTTTCAGAGACAACTTCTGCTCTGGGTTGGACACTTTAGCAAAATCTCTGAGAGATGATTTGTAGTAAAGCCCAGTTGAGTTTCAAGCCCAACCAGCTGTTTGACCTCAAGTAGGTTACTTAAGCACTCTGAGGTCATACAGCCTCAGTTTCATCCTCTGTACAAGGTGGATGATATGAATACTGACCTTACAGTGTTTGAGGATTCAGTGGAACAATCTATGAAATATTCAGCAAGGTTCCTCATACACAGTAGACCCTTAATAAGTGATAGCTATTAGATTTTTATAATTAACTTGTAATTAGAATGTTATCTTGACTCTCCATGATTTTTTGATCTCCTACATCTAAATGCTTAATGAATTTCATTTAATGATTTCTGAGAAAAGGCAACAGCAGGTATTTTTCATTTTTACCACACTATTCTTCATTCCTGAAAGGTAGATGGTGGCATTTGGTGAGTGTGCCTTGGGCAGCAAAGGAAGGAAGAAATCTGAAAACGGGACACTTTAAGGCCAGCTAGCTCTAGTGCAACTCCTCACTTCTACAAATGAAGAGCCTAGAGCCCAGAGATGCCAAGTGACTTGCCCAAAGACACACAACAAATTCGTTACAGAAAAAAAGAGAGGAAGCAGGTGAGAAATCAAGGGCTGCCCGCATTTGAAACCATAATGACTTCTGTTTTGTTCTACTGCATGTTAGTTCAGGCCCTTGTGGGAGAAGGAAGAATCAGAAGACCTGAATTCAGGTCCGGAATGCCAGTTAGTAGCTGCATGACCTTGAAGCTATCCCTGAGCCTCAGTTCTCTCATTAGCAAACAAGAATAATGAGGATATAGCTTCATAAGTCTGTCAATGAATTAAATGAGGTAATATATGTGAGATGGCTCAAGACAGTGTCTGATACATGGTGAGCACTTAATAAATATCGACAATGATAACAATGATGGCATTGATAGCATACAGAAAAATTAGAACTGAGTGGGTCAAAAACAAACCAGGCAGTAGGCCCAGGCAGAGGTGGGCAAGGGTGGCAATGCTTGTAACTGTAGAACTGCAGCCAGGCATGCTACAGTGGGATGGAATACTGCATGTGTGGCATGGAGTTTGGGGGAGGGTGCTGGGTTAAGGAAGTGTTAAAAAGTCACTTGGGTGGCTTGCTTCTCCTCTTTTGAGTCTCTGTTCCCTATGCAGTCAAAGGACTTGCATGAGATTCATTTGTGAACTGCTGACCGTGCCCTTGCTTCGTGCTGGGCACTAGGCTAGGTGTGGTATACAGTTGGTGTCCTGGTTCTCCTTCAGTGTTTGGCAGAACAGTCTTGACTGTGCTCACCACATGGAGACACTGTGAGGACTAGTGCTGTGATGCTTGCAGAAATTGGGAGGATTGGCAATTTAAATTATAATTACAAGTTTAACTGTAAATTCAAATTGTGTTCTAAAAGGAACACCACCACCACCACAAGAAAAAATATTATTCTGCCATAAGAGACACCTAACCATACTTATTAGAAAGAACAGAGAGTATGTGAATGGACCAAGTGCTGATGTGTGAAAAGTACTTAAGAACAACTCTAATTACCTTTGCTTTCTGGGGGTATCAAATGGTGCCCCCTTGGGAAGAGGAGCAGTGAAGTAGAAAAGAGGTTACAGATGCTATTAGAGGAGGTGGCAAGATGCCCAAGATGAATTTCACCTTCTTCACTTGCTTGTTCAGGGCCATGTCAGCCTCAGTGAAGTATATATTATTTTCCAATTTCACAACCCATCATTCTTCTGTTTTTCTTTTCCTTTCTAGCTTTCCATTTTTCTGTGTTCAGTAAAACCCTCTGGCACTTGCTGTCATGGGAACATTGGCTGTTAGTCAAATCCTTCTTCCCTTCAGGGAAACAAAAGCAAATCAATATATGATATTAAACAACCTAGAAGACCCTAGTGATTTAACACATCTTATAAATGTCAGCCATCCCTGTAGCTGAAGATGGTCTCGCTCTTCACATCTGTCATTTCCTCTCTCTTCTCTCAGCTGCCTCTTGATGTCTCCCTTGGACAGGGTTGGATTGGCAAGGACAAAATAAGCTTGGAAGAAAGAATAAGAGGGAGAGTGGTCTTCATCACTAAAGGCATTCAAAGAAAAGCCTAATGAGCTTCCTGTGTGGGACAGTGGGTCATTCAGGGTTCTTTAATTGTAAGTGACAGAAAACCTATCTCAAGTAGGTAAAAAAAGAAAGTTTAATGGCTTAGACCATTTAAAGTCAAAGGATAGGCTGGTTTCAGGAATGATTTGATGCCAGTAGGAACCACTTTATTTCTTTCCATCTCTTGGTCCTACTGTTTTTTTGTTTGTTTGTTTAAGCTTGCTTTTAGGCTCCAAGATGAGAGCAGAAACTCAAGACCTACTATCTTTTCAGCTTCATACCCAGCAGGGAAGAGCATCTGCCTCCTCTCTAGCATTCTCAGCAAAAGGCAATTTCTTTTATTATCTCTGCCTGAGACATGTGTCCATCCCTGAACCAATCGCTGTCAAGAGGGGATAGGATAGTCTGATTGGTTTAGGCCTCACTTCAATGATTTATACCTGAAATTAGGGGTGGAACTCTCCCCAAAGCCTATTGGCTGAAAGCGGTAGACAATATGGTTTTTAGGGGAAACATCAAGGTATATGACTCAGTAGAATAGGAAATGGGTGGAGGACATCTCAAGTCATAGATAGCTGTGACCTGTTCTGCTGCTTTGTAGGACCTGTGTTCAGGCAGATTATCTAGAAAGGGCCAGGTTATATTCTGTGTATATGACTTAGGGTTGCAAACCACTGAAGTTATTTGTCATTGATAAGAGCTAGGATGCTGTTATCTTAGAACCTGGTGATCAAGTGGAGGCCCAGAGATGGGGAAGCCTTGTCCAAGCTCACCCAGCACGTGAGTGGCAGAGCTGGAATGAGAATAAAGCCTGCTGGTTCTCAGCCTGGATTTTTCTCCTCTATTCTGGGTGGCTCTGTCCATCTCCCCAGTCAGCTCCCAGAAGGGCTGTTCACCTAGCTGAGTCTTACTGCAATGGGGACTGCTGCTTGTTTGTCAAGCAGGGCATTAATGGTAACACTGGATCCATAACAAGAGTGTGAAATCATTGCAATCAATGGTAGCCTTTTAGTACCTGCTGATTGAAAGGCAGGGGAAGTGAAGAAAGGAAAAGGTGGGGAGAGAAGTGACATTATTTCAGGGAGAGAAGAATAGGTATTTCTTTTTTTCTTCTTATCTGTTTACTCCTTCTCTCTACCCCACTCAGGGACAGCCTTATGGAGTGTAGAAAGAGGCAGTATAGGACAGAGAAATGGACACTGGCTTGGAGTCCAGAGACCTAGGCCTTATCTCTGCTGTGCTCTGTGACTTGGTAATTCTGGCCCTCCTCTCTGAGCCTGTTTCCCCATTTAATAAAATGAGGCAGCTGGATGACAGAGCTCATCAATTACTGTGTATTGTCTCATTCTATTTGGAGTGGTTGCTAATGTGAACAGCACATGGCTCTTTTTTTGTCATTGTTATATCCCATAGAACCTGGGACCAGGGCTCACAGAATACAACTGCAGAGGGTGCTACCTCCTCTTGGAGGTGGGCAATGTGGCAACTTACGAGCCCCTAGCACTTGGTAGGTACTCAATAAATATTTGTAGAATGAACGGATGTGAGCAGATGTCACATAGGACCCCATGAGAATTGTTCCACCCTTATAATGTCACTTCTTTAGGTCTTGAAAGCCCTTTCTACTTAAATCTTCTTTTAAAATGCAAACCATTTCAGGGTCGTTTGGATTTTAAATTTTAAATAAATGACATCTTTTGATTGAAAGAAAGCATGGGGTCCAGATTAGTGATGTGGAGTGAGGGAGACTGTGGAGAATATGTAGAAGGAGGGAAGAAATGACTGAGCAGAAGATTCTCAAGGCCAAAAGCTTGGATATGGTATGAAAGTTGCATTCCTGAACAATTAAAGAAAATGATGAAATCTTTCAAGCATCCAAAATGAACTGACAATATAGTACACACTTAAAATTTACCAAGTTTGAGAAATAAAATATTGCACATAAAAATGACTCTTGTGTGGCTTTCCCCATCTTTCTCCATTCCCAGAGCTAACTGTGATCTTCCCCAAATGCTTTTACATTTATTACATATATATGCATGTATAAACCAAATATAAAATTTACATATTGTATAGCTTTATGGAAATGGAGTCATACTGTATCTTTTTGCAATTTACCTTTTTCTTTTAATATTGTTTTTGACATGCATCCATGTTGAAACATACATTTCTAGTTGATTCATTTTAAAATGTGGTAATTCCTTGAATGACAATAATTTGCAGTTACTTTTAATTTTCTTGTTGATGGATGTTGAGGTTGTTTCTGAGTTTTTGCTATAACCAACATGCTGTGATAAACTTCCACGTAAGTACTGCTACATGTGCATCAGGTTTTCTGGTGCATATACCTAAGAATGAGATTGCTAGGACATGGTATAGTCACATCTTCAAAGTTATTAAATGTTGAGACAAGTTTCTAATGGGTTGCTACCAATTTGTACCCCATAAGGCAGTGTGTGAGAGCTCATTCTCCAGTGATGTTGGCCAGTCCTGTGAAACACACAGTCTCACTTCTTCATGCCATGACCAAGGCCTGGACTACTATTCAAACGCCAACAGTCTTCTCGACACATATTATTTATAAGGAGGAAAGGTGGAAGGAACAATTTTAGGGGACATTTAATTTGAGTTAGATACAAATATATACTTTTAAAAGGTAGTACTATGTAGGCTTTATAATCTGATGGGTTTTAATCCTGGCTCTGTCATTTCCGTTGTTTCCTAGTTGTATAGCTTTACACATGGTAGTTTGCCTCTCTGTGCCTCAGTTTTTCTATGTCAAATAAAAAAAAATAGTGTTCACCTCATGGGTTATTTGAAGGATCAGATGAGCCACTACTTGTGACTCACTCAGCACAGTATATGGCCTAGTCGATAGTAAGTGGTCAGTATGTGATAGCTATTAACATTATTATAGGTCATGTTTCCCAGGCATTACCATCTTTTTTTGCTTGAGGATTCCTTTCTCAGCTGAGAAGCTCATGTTAAAAAATTTTTTTTTTCTATGCTGAACAAACTGCATGAACTAAGCAGCATTTAATTCTTTATTTCATTTTTAGCTATCAAAGCCATCTGGGACTGCTAACCAGCTTCTGACTAGCAGAAGGAACAGTGCTGATACACGGAGTTGATGTAATTTCAACCCAAAACAAGGAAACTTGGTTTTTAGTTAGCCAGAGTGGCTTCATCACATGTAAATGTGTGGCTTTCATCAGGTTTTTAGAAATATTGTTTCTAACTATTGACTACCCATCATAGACTCTAGACTGTGACTGCTGATCTAGCCCTACCTCTTTTTTCCCAGATGGGAAAATGGAGACCCAAAGAAAAGCAGGACATTTCTAATGGTTCCTTCATGGAGACAGTTACTCACTTAGTGGCCAGGTCTGGTCTGGTTCACATACATGACAAATTAGAAGAGGGGTATCTGGTTATCTATTGCTCCATAATAAATGTCCCCAAATTTCAGTGACTCAAAGCCGCAATTTATCTTCTTTCATGTTTCTGTGGGTTGATTGGGCTCAGCTAGGTGGATCTCCTGTGGGCTTGCTGGTGAGGTTGCAGTCAGATGGTGGCTGGGATGCAGTCACCTGAAGGCTCCACTGGGCTGGGCATCCAAGATGGTTGCCTCCCATGACTGACAGTTGAAGCTGGCAGTTGCCAAGAGTGCCTCCACAGGGTCTCTCCGTGTGGTTGTGCATGTCACAGCATGTTGGCTGGCTTCTCAGAGGGAGCATCGCAAAATTGAGTGGTCCAAAAAAGGAAGCAGAAGCCACCTGACTGGTTGAGGGTTGATTCCAGAACTGAAACCACTTCTACCATATTCTTCTGGTCCTTGTAGTCACAGGCCCACCAAGATTCTAGGAGATCAAGTAGATGTCACTTGCTGATGGGTGGGTGGGGATTGGGGGGGCAAAATCACATTGCAGAAGACCGCATGGGATGGGGAAAGTTTTAACTGTCTTTGGAAAAGGGAGAAAAACTTCTGTCATGACATCTTTATTTTCCCCTCCTCCAAAGAACTTGCAAACATCTGTGGTAACCTGCTGAGTGATATAAATGAAATTGTGGCTTTTCTTCCCCAACTCTGTCAGCCCTGGGGGCAGGAGGGAGATGCATTCCAGTTGAAATAATCATGGAAAATGTGAAAAATCTTTCACTGTCTGGCAGAACAGGAATATTAAATATTTTTTAAAAATACCTTCTTGGAACAACCATGCTCATACTCATAAGAATGGAATTATTTTTAAACTTGTTTTAGAAAATGTTCATAATAAAACATCCTGTACTTGAATTATTAAAAACAATGTTGAGTAAAGAATTGCTTAATTTAGTAAATAATTCTAAAGGAAGTCGTTATTTTCTCCAAAGTTGAATTTGCTAAAAGCACTCCAAGAATTTTATTACAAGCACGACTGCATAATGTAATTGTGTAATTAGTAATACATCTGACACTGTTGGAAAGATTTAGTTTTACTTAGGGCAGGAACAAAATGTAGTTCTTATTTTTTAAGACTGCATGAGGGACACTGTCTTGTTTTGCTGGTGGAGATTTTTTGTTTGTCTTAAAAATATATTGTATGATTGAGGTAATAGAGAAGATAACCAACATTTATTAATATTGGATCTGTGGATAGAATATGTAGTTTGAAGTTAGACTGACCTGACCTAGGTTTAATCCTGGTACTACCTCTTGCTACCTGTATTTTTTTTTCCCAAAGATCTCATTTTCTTTATTTATAATAGGAATAATAATGTCTATTTCATGAGACTGTCTTAACTCTTAAATGAGATAATGTACAAAGATTGTGCTAAGTACATAGGAGGTACAGATGGAGTATCCTTACTTCAAAAATCTGAAATCTGAAATGCTCCAAAATTCAAAACTTACGGAATTCTGACATGATGCTCAAAGGATATGTTCACAGGAGCATTTTCAGATTAGGGAAACTGGTAAGTATAATGTGAACATTTCAAAATTAAAAAAATCCAAAATTTGCAATGCTCCTGGTCTTAAGCATTTCAGACAAAATAAACTCAACCTGTACTAGGTTAGGTTCCTTTGTCATTCCCATCTGTTTCTGTTTGAGCACTTGATTTTGTGAGTGGTTGGTTACGATGGTCAGTTTAAGTTCCATTTCAGTTGTGTTTGTTGGACACAGGCAAGGGTTGGTGAGTAAGCTCGACTGTCAATTTTTTCACCGAGATACACCAAAGAAAGTGCCTGTTCAATACATCGACAACCTATGTGCTTACAATGCCTTGAAATAACAGTTATAAGCTACATTTTACATCGATGAACTTTTCTTGTATTATTTGGTTTGGAGGTACAAATGTTGATTTAGAGGTTAGGAAGCTATTGCTGTAATGTGAGGGGTGGTGACTTCTGCATGACTGACAAGCTGTGTTTTGTCTGAGTTTTAGATTATATTCCCAGTGTAGTAGGCAGAATTCTAAAATGACCTCCCATGACCCTCACCCTTGTAAAACCTCCTTCCCTTGAATGTAGGCAAAACTTGTGATTATCACAGGCTGTCACTCCCAGGGTTATGTTATGGCATACAGCAATTGTGTAGCTGTTATAAAGGGTAGTAACTGGTTGACTTTGAGTTAATCAAATGGTTGGGCCTCACCTAACTACATATCGGCCCTTTACATCTGAGACTAGAGGTTAAAGATGGGAAAAGTGAGAGATTCAAAGCATGGGGAGGATTCAATGTGAGAAGATTCTCCATTGCTGGCTTTTAGAGATGGAGGGGGCCACATGGAAAGGCCGGAGAGTGCCTCTAGGAGTTAAGAGTGACCCCTGGCTGATAGCCAGCATGAAACAGAGCCCTTAGTCCTATAACCCCAAGAAATGGAATTCTGCGTACAACCATGAGAGCTTGAAAGGGGATCCTTGAGCTGTAGAAAGGATGGCAGCCCAACACCTTAATTTAAGCCTTTTGGGACCAAACAGCAGAGGGCTCAGCCATCTTATGCCTAGACTTCTGATCTACAGAAACTAGGAAAAAATAGTTTTACCGTACTGTTTTAAGCCACTAAGTCTGTGGTAATTTGTTACACAACAATAGAAAACTAATTTGCCCAGTAATTCTCATTGTGAGATCTTAAGTCGAATTGTTTTCTTTCCATCATTGTCAGTTTCCTTGCCTTCAAGTAAGAGGATTTTCTAGTCTAGAACACTGGTACTCATAATAATTATGTATTAAAATCACTTAGATTGTGAGGGGAAGCTTTAAATGTAGATTCCAGACCTTTCTCCTGATGTCCTGAATCAGACAATCTGGGAGCAAGGCTGGGGGCTGCATTGTTGACTGGTTTCCTAGGTGATTCTGATGTTTGTGGGGCTGGATCCCACTGGGCAGGACATCTGCCTATACCCTGGAATAAGAATATACAGTCTCTTCTAGCACTGACAGGTAAAGTTGGCAGGGAAGTCCTTTTTTTTTTTTTGTTACAGTCGGAGTTACAGCCAAGTATATGCAGTGCTCGCTAGGTGTAAGGCATCTCATGAGGACTGTCTACCTTCTCTTGTTAAATCCTTGTGATGAACTATAATGACCTGTAAGGTAGGCACAATTATTAGCCAGTCTTCACTGTAGCTTGAGGAGACAGGGCCAAATTTACACAATGCATAAGGGGTAGAACTGGAATTTGAACCCTGATCTTTGTCATTCCCAGTTGGGGGCTCTTAACCACTAAGTACTCCTGTGCTGTGAAATGGAGTGTCCATTCATTTCTGTATCTGTAGTGCTAAACACACTGTCTGGCACGTGATAGATGAATAATAAACACATTTTGCTTATTAAATTCTCTGGAACTCCATTGCGCCACCCAGTGCAGGGCAGTTTTTGTGACAATGGAGAGGGAGGAGGAGGACCTGGCCAGGACCTTCACTATGTAAGGGCTCCCTGCCCACTGCTGCCTCTCTGTGTCAATTCTGCCTCGTTTTCTTTCTCTACAGTTGTCTCTTTATGTCGGATGAGCTAACAGCAGCCACTCCCATACTGTCGGATCCTGCTTCCCTTGCCATAGCTGATTAACCCAGGGTAAGACACTGGGAATTGGAAACTTGGAGTGGAAAGACTCTGATCATAGTGGTCTCTGGAGCCAAATCCCATTCCATGGCAATGTTCTGGTAAGAAGGCCCACACAGCCTTCCCTGCTGCCTAGACCCCTGGAGCCAGCCCACCTCCTTTCTTGAACATTCCAGCATCTTTCCATTAAGTTCCTTTTGTGGCTTAGGAGGTTCTCTTTGTGACAAAGAACCTCTGCGAATGGAGGAGTAGAGACTTGCTGAGCTGGAGGGCATCTGAAATGCCATCTTCTGCTTTGTGTCGTCTGGCTGGGCGAGACAGGGCACTCTCTGCTTGATGCGACTCCTTCAGACCCTTCACACTGGCCCAGTTTTCTCTACTCATTCATGCTCTTCCCCACTTCCACTACCTCTCCAAAATGGACTCAGCTTAGAGGATGCCGTACAAGCCCCACCTCCTCCATGTGAAAGGCTTAAAAGAGCCGTGCCATAAATATTTAAGATATCTTTCCTCTCTGCTTCATTCCCTGACATTTTCTCCACCTTTAATTTTCACTAGTTACAACACAGGACATTCTTAGGGTAAGAAAAATCTATTTTCTGTATGAATTGTCGCAAATTCCAACTTAGTGGTATCATAATAGCTAATATTTTTGTGCTAACTCTTAAAAGCCAGGTTTACTAATGTAAGTTACGTGCTTCATGAAGTTAGATGTGCTTAATATGATTTTCTCAAAAAATTCATTGAGGTGTCATCACTATTATTCCTTGTTTCATAGATGAGGAAATTGAGAGGTTGAAAAGTTCTAAATGAATAAAATTATATTCCAGAGCTGTCTGTGTCCAAACAGTGATAGCAAGATCAAATTGTAAAGCATCTCTATTTCCTTTTTCTGCCACCATCTCCATGCCATTTATTTTGGATATTGGAAAAACAGAAAGACAGTGCTGAACATTTCAGGGTAATGTGAGTGGTAAAAGAAAGTTGGACACCAAAGGAGGTCATGTAACTGGTGAGGGTGAAGAATTCAGGAAGACTTTCCTGAGAGGTATGGCAGATTATATTTTCTAAAGAAGGCTGCAAAAATATTTTCCATCCCACATGTTTTTTCTACAATCTTAACACTCCTACATGAAGAGGTAGGGTCTGTGTCCCCTCCCCTTGAACATGGGTGCATCTTTGTGATTGCCTGGACAGACAGAGTACAGAGGAAGGGACATAATGTGACTTCTGAGGCTAAGTCATAAAAATGCCATGTTCTTTTATTTTATTGAGAAGCTCCCTCTTGCAACTCAGTCACCATGCTGTTTAGAAGCCCAAACAACTGATTAAGAGGAACTGAAACCAATATCCCTGGCTGAGTTCCCAGCCAAGAGGTAGCACCATTTTTTTTAAGCAGTGTAAGTGAGTGATCTTGAAACTAGATCCTCTAGTCTTCAGATGAACTACCCCAGCTGATGCCATATATAGCAGAAGTAAGCCATTCCCCTAGGTCCTGCCTAAATTACAGATTCATGAGCAAAATAAATGATGGTTGTTTTAGGCCATCAAGTTTGAGGTGCTTTATTAAACAGCAATAGATTAATGATACAAAAGAGGCTTTGAAAGATGGGCATCTTTCCAAGCAAGGTTCAGAGGGCCATATGCTGCTTATTGACAGCTAGTAGAAGTAGTAATAAAAATAAATGTTATTATAATAATGATACCACTCTTAGTAACTGTAGTGGTAGTTAAGTTTCACTAAGTTCTTTTTTGTGCTATGCTCACACTAAGTGGTTCATACTTTACCTTATTTAATTCTAATAATGACTCTAGGTAGGTACTATTACCCTCATTTTACAGATGAGGAAACTGGGGCTTAGAGAATTTAACTTCTCTTTATAGCCACCCGGATTCTAACAAACTCACTTTCGTAGTATTCCCAGGCTTGAACATTTCCTTCCTGATTGCCCAAACTCTACCAGATGATTCATTCTTTCATCCAGGCAGGGCTCATCTAGCCCTTTCATGGAAAGGAATGCTTTTAATCAGATTCACACTAAAATGAGGATGACTGGAAGGTAGACAGATGCATTTTTTTCACCTGTCTATTTGCATTTTCAAGGTGGATATTTGTTAATCAAATTGAAAGCTCTTGTGTAGTGCATTTCTGTAGCACTATCTGGAGGCAGAGGACCTCTTCCTAGCACTTGCCAAATGATTTTGTGCCTTAGACAAAGGCCAAAAATCCATCCTGACATGGTCCTGGCAGCTCACACCTGTTCCTCTTTTGGCAGTTTGGAAAGTGGGCTGCTATATGTCATCCCCTCTAATCTCTGCCCCAAACTGAGTTGTGCTATCACCCTTATGTTACCTTTGAGGAATCCACAGCTCAGGCAAATTCATAGCATGCCCAGGATCACACAGAAGAACCACGATCAAACGTGGGTCTTCTAACTTCAAAAGCTGGGTCCAGTCTGCAACATGACATGCTGTATCTCCCACTCTATGTGAATGATTCAGGAAGGTGGATGATAAGAGACAGCAGCCGGCAGAAGGAAAGCAGTGATCTGAACACCTAACGGGAATCCTAAACAGTGGAGAAAGGAGAGCAAACATTAAAAACTCATGGATAGAAAAAAAGAGGAAAAGAAAACCATTTGGAAGTGTTCATTGAGTTGATGCACTGGATAATTTAATAAGCTGTCTGTTCTGATCCGTCTTGCTTCCCTGCTTTTAGCAGGGTGCCATATGAAAGCTCCTACATGGTAATTATAGTGGATGATCTTTTCCCCTGTCTGGGATCTTTATGGTGTGATTTGGATAGCTCAGCTGCTAAGCTGTTTTTCTTGGGAGGCAGAGTGTGGGGCATGTGTGAAAATATGTGTGAGAGCTTGTGTGTGTGTTGCGGGGGTAAGGGACAGTGGCTGGGATTGGCCCTTAGAATCTCTTTTCCATTGTGGCAACATTTTTTTCTGCTGCTTCTTGGGATCTTGGTGCCAGGGTAACTTTCCTGCCTTCTACCTGATCACATCTTTCTCGGACTATGGCCTCAGGACTCAAATCCCTGCCAAATGTCAATAAATTCATCAGATTAATGAATCCTTTCCTAGCTAATATGGTTCTCAGTTAATTAATCAACAAATAATTATTAAAAGCTTGTAAATGCCAGGCCCTGAGAATGTCCATGCTCTCATGAACATAGGTTTTAGTGGAGGAGATTGTGGGAAGCAAGAACACAAGTAAGTATGAATTCCAGACACTGATAAGTGATAAGAATAATATGATGGCATGTTTTTTTGTTTGGGTGATCAGGGGACTAAGTGATGTCTAAGGGCCCTGAAATCCAATCTGGACCTAAATCTAATCTAACCTGCCTCTAATCTGATCTAAAGGAAGGAGAAAGAAAGGAAATCTTGTCAAAGAACTCACTTAGGAGAACTCTTTTCCAATTTGGCTTCCTGTGTATTGATGAGGCAGGCTGTCCTGTTACTTGGCATGCTAACTACCAACTATTTCTTCCTTTGATTTCAAAGATCTCATTTCAGGATAATGATGACCGTGGTGATGACTGTTAATAAACCCAATGTTTAAAATTCTATGGAGAAAAAAATTTAAAACATACAATTGGGAATTGCTCTCAAGAGATTTGCTTTGATCCTTTCAAATGGGGTGCACTAACTAGATATGAGATCTTGAGCAAGTTCCTATCTCTCTGGGCCTAGTTTCACCATCTGTAATATGATGATATTGAGCTAGATCAGTGGTTCTCAAACTGTGGTCCCTGGACCATTAGTGGCAGCAGCACTTGAGTACTTGCTAGACATGCAAATTCTCAGGCCCTACCCCAGACCCACTGAATCAGAAACTAAACCCTGGCAATCTGTGTTTTAAGGGGCCCTCCAGGTGAGTCTAATGCACCAAAAATCTAAACACCACTGAACAAGATGACCCTTAAGGCCTTCCTGATCAGCCTCTGTTTGCTTCTCAGGCCTGTTGGATGAAATTGGCCTGGAGTGGGATCCTCAGAGGGAGGGATGAGAAATGGAGGAAGGTGCCTTTCCTGGTTGCTTCCCTCCCCTTTGAAAATTTCAGTGACTTCTCCTTATCCCTGCTTTCTCTCAGCGTCCTCTGATGATTGGAGCTTATTAAGATGGGGGATTTTCCACAGGCCTGTTTCAGAGGTCCTGGAGAGGAGTTTTAATTGCCAGACTTCACATTGAGGGTGTTAACATTTATTAAAGTCAGCTCCTCTGATTGCCTTTTAGCAAGACGATGACTGTGCATAGGAGATAACACTGGGCCCAGCCGGGTGGGGCCCCAGAGGTAGCTTAAGATAATCAGGCCCAGGGAAAACAGAAAGGCAGCCTGGCATAGTGGTAGCAGAGACACAGCAGCAACTCTCATGCTGTTTGTGCTGGGGTGGCTGGGCCGACGGAGGGGTCTAGGCTGTTGTGGGATCTGGGGTGGTTTCAGTCAACAAGGTGGGCCTGGGGGAGAAGAAGGGAAAGGCTGGTAAGGTCCTGTTCAGGAACAGAAGCACTACAGAGATGGGGCAGAGAGGGCCAAAGCTCTGGCCTCTTTTGTAATGTAGATTTGGGTCTTACCACTTTCATAATTTTGTGAGGAGGGATAGAAGATGGACTATATGCTATTGGGTAGTGGAGGGTGGAAAATGCTCTCAAAGACCTGGTTCTAGTCTGGATTTGCTGCAATTGCTCTTGGCTCCTGGCCCTGTCCTCTGCGGCCTCCTGTGGGCTCACACACCACAAGCTTACTTTTCCCTTCTTTTTCTTTTTAAACATTTCAAAAGCTTTAAGGGTACAAGTGGTTTTTGGTTTCATGGATGAATTGTATGATGGTGAAGCCTAAGATTTTAGTGCACCCATCACCTGAGTAGCGTACCTTGTACCCACTATGTAGTTTTTATCCCTCACCCACTTTCCAAATCCTGGCTTCTGAGACTCCAGTGTCCATTATACCACTCTGTTTGCCTTTGTGTACCCATAGCTTAGCTCTCACTTATAAGTGAAAACGTGCGGTATTTGATTTTCCATTCCTGAGTTATTCACTTAGAATAATAGCCGCTAGCTCCAGATTGCTGCAAAGGATATTAATTCATTCTTCTGTATGGCCGAATAGTATTCCATGGTGTGTATATACCATATTTTCTTTTTTATTTCTTTCTGTTTTTTGAGACAAGGCCTTGCTCTGTCACCCAGGCTGGAGTGCAGTGGTGCAATCTCAGCTCACTGCAACCTCTGCCTCTTGGGCCCAAGAGATCCTCCCACCTCAGCCTCCTGAGTAGCTGGGACTACAGGTGCATGGCACCACATGCGGCTAATTTTTTTTTTTTGTATTTTTGGTAGAGATGGGGGTCTCACCATGTTGCCCAGGCTGGTCTTGAACTCCTGAGATCAAGCAATCTGCCCGCCTCAACCTCCCAAAGTGCTGGGATTGCAGGTGTGAGCCACCGCGGCTGACCTACATTTTCTTTATCTACTCATCAGTTGATGGGCACTTAGGCTGGTTCCATATCTTTGCAACCGTAAATTGTGCTGCAATAAACATATGTGTACTGGTGTCTTTTTGATATGATGACTTCTTTTCCTTTGGATAGATACACGGTAGTGGAATTGCTGGATGGAATGTTAGATCTGCTTTTATTTCTTTGAGAAATCTCTGCACTGTTTTCCAGTTGTACTAGTATACATTTCCACCAGCAGTGTATAAGCATTCCATATTCACCACATCCACGTCTATGCCAACATCTATTGTTTTTTGCCTTTTTAATAATGGCCATTCTGGCTGGAGTGAGGTGGTGTCTCATTGTGGTTTTAATTTGCATTTCCCTAATGATTAGTAATTTTGAGCATCTTTTCATACTTTTTTTTGTCATTTGTATATCTTCTTTTGAGAAATATCTATTCATATCAGTTGCCCACTTTTTAATGGGATGATTTGTTTTTTTCTTTACAGCAGTAATTTTCAAACTGCATTCACCTGGTCTTAAGAACTCAGCCTCGACTTCATCAGATCAAAGATCCAAGGAGTTGAATGGCTCTCATTTCTCTGGGGTCTGTGAGGAGAGGAATGGCCTCTGTTCCTTCCTTCCCTTCACATGTGGCATCTCTCATTTCATCTGGTTTTTGTCACAGAAGTTTGAAAGTATTATCACCAAGAAAAAAGAAAAAAGATACACAATTGGAAAGCACTATGCTCGATTACTTCTTTTTCTGTGATGAACTCTGCCTTCCTTCCCTGCTCCTGCCTACACTTTCTCTCAATTTCCCCCCTTGGTGAAAGGCAGACCCAGCGCAGCAGTTGCCCCTTCTCTCTCTTCTTTGTCTTAGCATCCCACTGTCACTACATGGTTCAGATTCTCCTCACCAGAGGCTCCAGAATCAGTCTCTTCTTTCTTTGCCCTCCCTTATGGTTATAGCTCAGGTCTTTGTTGCTTCTTGCCTGGACTTGCAAGGTAGGCTCAAAACTGGTTGTTCTGTTTCTGGTCCTGCTCCCTCACATCCTTGTAGCCTGCACCCAGAGTGACCTTGCCAAATGTCACTCTGAGCAGGTTATTCCCTGCTCCATGCCTCATTTTTGCCCATCAAGCCAAGCTCCTTGGTTCAGGGGTTCAGACCCTCCATGAGCTGTGCTTTTCAGTCTTATCACTCTCTGCTCAGCCAAGCCAATCTCCTGGTTTACTCAATACCTTTCAAGAGTCAGCTCAGGTGTCACTTTCTCTCTGGTTCCTGTCCCTGACTCCCTGAGCTGAGTAAATTGTTTCATTTGGTAGGCAGATGGCCCTCAAGATTATAATTTTATAACTGTCTTCTCTACAAGCCTGTGAATTCCTCAAGGGTACAGTGAGCATGGACCATTCATCTTTGTACCCATGATATATAGCAGGTACATAATACGGACTCTTTTGAATGCTGCAGGACTGTTCAAAGGACTTCTTTGGTCCCTTCCCACCCTTGTTTTCAAAGTACAGTGGTATTTGCTTGGAGGTGAATGGTCAAAGTATAACTGAGGCTGCTGTGTTGGTGAAATGTAGTGAGCAGCTGGGTGGGCACTGAAGGGCTGAGTCATCATGCGACCCTTCTCCTTAATTGCCTTGGGTTGGTCATTTGGCTTCTCTGGAATTTGGTTCTTCTACCCATGCATTTGACAACTTGACAGCAGTGAGAAATTTGTGTGTCTTTGGCACACAAATATTGAGATACAGTGGCAAGTTCTACCAGCGTGTATCCCACTAATAATAATAAATACTTATCAAATTGTTGAGCATGTACCAGGCACTGAGCAAAGGCTGAGCTCTACCCACTTTGTCTTATCTAATTCTTCTCACAACCCCAGGAAGTAGGTACAATTGCCTCCATTTACTGAAGGCTCAGAAACACGTAAGCTACTTGTGCAAGGTCAGGAAGAGTCGGGATTCAAATCCAGGTGTAGAAGACTCCAAATGACTAACTAGTGGGCTGTCTGTCTTGTGGTCTGAGGAAGGTGAAATATGCCCTTACAATCACTAAAAGTGCTATGCAGCCCCTGGCTAGGAGGGAACTATACCCAGCACTGCTTTCTATAGCAGGCAAATACAGGTACCACATGTTCCCTTCCTGGGCTTCCTAGAACCTCATTATGGGGATGATGAAAATGATGGTGATGATGTAACTGCAGTGAAAATATGCTCAGGAGATAGTTGCCACCACCTACAGGCACTTGCTCACCTCTGCCCTCACTTCATACCACTCTTGTCCTTTTTTATCCTTCTCTGGCCATATGTACCTTCCTGCTGTTCCCTGTACATTTCAAGCTTGTTCCTGCCTCAGAGACTTTGCAGTTGCTATTCCCTCTGCATGAATGCCCTTCCACCTGCTCTTCATGGCTTTTATCACTCACTGCCCAGTTCTAACATCACCTCCTCAGAAAGGTCTTTCCTGATTCCCTGTCTAAAATATTTCCCTCTCTTCCCCAAGTTACATCCTGTCCCATCCCTCTGTTAATTTCTTTTATAGCAGTCTGCATACTTTGTAGTTATTTTCTTCACTTTTTAAAATGTCCTTCCCCTCCTCCCTCAGACAGGAACCCTGAGGGCAGGAGCTTTATCTGTACTATGCACTTCAGTATTCTTACCCAGTGCCTGGCCCATGGTGTTGATAAAACAATTGTTGAGTGAATAACCAAATGAATGAAGGATGACAAATTCTCACATTACTTTTCCTATTCTAGGCTGGACAACACTTGAACTCATCCAATAACCTTAGCCAATTTTCTTAACTTCTCTGGGCCTCTGTTTTCATGCCTCTAGAATAAAGGAGTTGAACTAGAACAGGGGTCAGCAAGTGTTTCCTAAATGGCCAGAGAACAAATAATTTTAGGCTCTGAGGGCCATGCAGTCTCTGCTGCAATGACTGATCTCTGCTGTTCTAGTGTGAAAGCAGCCATAGATAATATGTCAATGAAAGGGCATGGCTGTGTTTTAATAAAACTGTTTATAAAACAACAGGCCAGCCTGTGGGCCATAGTTTACTGACGCCTGGACTAGACAGCCACTAGAGACCTTCCTAGCTTGGACGTTTTAAATTACCTATTGGCCATCTTGTAAGGAGCCTTGCTTGGCTTCAGTTTCTTGGCCTTCATGATTAAAATCCCTCTTCTGGTGGCATGTAGGTTTGGGACCCTCAAAGGGGCAAAGCAATGTGGAAAGTAAAAATAGACCCACTAAGGCTGTATGACATACCAAGACTATAAGCGATGTTTGAAGGCTTTCCTGAGATGGTTAGAAACACTCAGATTATAGAATTTGGTGACTACCTTTGGAAAGGATCCAGAAGTTTTCTTTCTCAAGATTTTTTCCTCCCTTTCCCTGGAGGCTTGTCTAATCTCTTCAACCTTCACAGAACTCCTTGGGCTCTGAAACCCTGAGCTCTCGGTCTGTGTGTGACACCTCATCTCCTGCTCAGTTGCGTTGTCTTTCCTACCCACAAGTGTGTGTCTTCTTTCCCCACTGAATTATAATCTCCCTGACAGCAGACAATTTTCTTCCTTCCTTTCTCTCAAATGGCATCTAATATTGTTCTGAGCACACAGAACTGCTGAATAAACATCAGTTGACATTCTAAGAGCCCCCTGCCCTCCTTTCCTGTTACGCGTTGTTCAGGAGGCTCATGCCCTTGTGAGGACAGAGCTTGATGATGACTTTTCCTTTTGTTGGATTCTATTCCCTGTTATGTGTGGGTTCTGCCGCCTGTCTGCTGGTTACCAGATACTTATCAGTGATATTTATAGTCAGGCTCTGTGGCTGGCCATGATGGTCGATTGGAGATCATCTGAGCCCACAGAAGTCAGAGAGGCAAGGCAATTGGGTGGGAGGTGAAGATCAGATGAGACTTGAGAACTGCATGAGAAGTAAAAACATTCCAGATTTAAGATTCAGCTCTGCCACTAACTTGCTGAAGGACTTAAGCAAACCACATAGCAAGTCACTTCAACAAGCCATAGCCTCCGTTTCTTTATTTAAATGGAGATTAAGTGAAATAATTTATATGAAGGTACTGGTAAAAAGTAAAGAATCATGCTCATATTGTAATAATCATTAGTAATGAGCCGTCATCACCTCTCACCTCCCTACTGGCCTCCCCACTCTCACCCTTGCCCACTGAGTCTGTTGTCTAAATGGCAGCCAGAGTTATCATATAAAGATGAGTTGGATCTTAGATCTTGTCACTCCTCTGTGAAACCTCCAATGGCTCCCATCTCACTCACAGCCCAAGTCCTAATAATGGCCCGTTGGGCCCCACATCTCCTGGCCCCATGGCCTCTGATCTCATTTCCTACAAAACTCCATTCCAGCCACCTGCTCTTCTGTATTGTTCCCACTGCAGAGGCTTTGCTCTTGCTCTCCTTTTATCTAGAATGTTCTTTCCCTAGATATAAACACAGCTCACTGCATCATCTGCTTCAAGATATTACCCAAAGATCACCTTTCTCAGTGAGGCCTTTCCTGGGCATCCTGTTTTTAAAAATTGCTTCCCATTTCCCATTCCTGCTTAAATTTTCTCTGCAGCATTTGGTACCAGCTAACATAATATTTATGTCACTTGTTTTGTTTTCATCTGCTCCTGTACCCTGTGAAAGTTTCATGAGGTCAGAGAGTTTTATTGATGTACTTACTGCTATATTCCCAGGGTTAGCACAGGGCTTGACACATAGTCGGTGCTTAATAAATATTTGTCAAGTAAATAACAGAAGTTACCATTTCATTAGCTCAATAAGGGTGCCTGCTGGGGCACACAGGAACTGTGTGCATTCACTTTAATCCTTGGTTTATATGGATTCATCCATTTGCTATAGCTTGGTGCAACTAATGCTCTCCTCTTTCCACCAGGTCTCTAGGAAGACAGCATGTTGAAGTGACTAGGGGTTTGAGCTTGGCCATCAGACCTAGACTCACTAGTTGTGTGTGTTTCACAAATAACCTACTTCTCTGAACTTGGGTTTCTCGACATAAAATGACAGCTTCTACCTTGTAAAGTTTTTATAAGGTTTAAATGGAGGATTATTAATTCATATAAAGTGTTTAGACAGGTCTTTAGCCCATGGTAAATTTTTGGCTAACGGTAAGTATTTTTATGTCACTAGCAGTATAATAACATCATAAGCATCTTTCAAGAGTGCATAGGCACAAGCATAATTTTAATAACTACTCTTTGTGTGAATTTGCTGAGTTGTCCCAAATATGTCTTTTGTGTTTAAATTTTATATCATCTGCTATTAGGACAGGCATGCCAATTTCCTTTTTTTCTACTTCTTTCCATTCTCCCTATCTTTCCTTTACTCTAGGATGAACATTCATCCCATCCGTACCACTTACTGGCCATGTGTCTTGACTCCAGCCACTATACCACTGAAGCCTCAGTTTCCTCAGCTGTGTAATGGGACCAAAAATCTCTGCCTTTCCTACTTTGCAGAGACAGTGACTGGACAAATTGAGAAGATGGATGTAAAGAGTAACATACAAATATCAGGTTTGCTCCTCATTTTTATTGCCTCTCCCCAGCAATGGGTGTTTTTGTATGCCCCTCCAAGCCTCTCTGTTCTTGCCTGTCCTGGGGAATTAGCTGTAGCACGTGCACAATGGACGCAGCTTGCTTTTTTTGTTTCTGATTCTGTGGGTTTATGATAGATGCCTCCCTGAAGCCAAGATAGAGTTCTTCTTTGGAGAACCATTTTAAAAATGTTATATTGGAGATGACTTTCAGTTCAGCACGATAATTTAATTTTAATTATTGGTGTGACTTGAACCTGGCATTTTGGATCTGTTTAGGCCTCTTGAAAGCTTGAAGATTTTTCAACATTGTGAGGCCACTAATTTACTATCTATCCAGAGGTTTTCTGCATCAAGTAAACATACTGTAATTTCATTATTATAGTTCTCCGGAGAAATCAACTGTATCCTTGGTGCTGAACTGGGAAATTCATCAGGCAGGAGAGAGAATAGTGGTGAATGCAGGCCCTGAGATGGCAATTAGGAGCAGGGAATCAGACTCATTCCGTTTCTCCTTGTCTCCTTTGTCTGTAGGGCTCTGCAGAGTTTAGGACTTCAGCCCTCTGTCCTACTAGGTTTATAATACTGTTATGGAAAAAACAAAATAAATCAAAACACCTCTTGGAAACCAGTTAGTTCAAAGATGGCAATGGGTTTCTTTTCTGGTGCCAATAGACAGGGGGTGCTTGCCTGAAGCAAGTTGTTGAAGATTTCAAGGTGATATCCCCTTATTTAGCAATTTATTTTGTACTTACCATGCGCCAGGAATTGTTCTAAGCCCCTTGTGTTAACTCATTTAATCCTAGCAACAATGTGATGAGGCATGCAAGATGAATACTTCCTTCTCCACAGATGAGAAAACTGAACTATCTGGCCCCAAATCAGAAACTTTGTAAAGGTTGGAGGTGGGATTCAAACCAGGCAGTCGGTTCCCTTAAGCTCCAGTAGCCTTGAGAAGCACTTGTCTCAGCTTCTGACAAATAGTAAAACTTGATGAAACTGGGTTGGGCAGATGCTGCTGCTGCTGCTGCTGCTGCTGCTGCTACTGCTGCTATTACCACGTGAGGTTGCCATAGATAATGGTACATTTCCCAGAACAAGAGATGTTTAAAGAGACCCCTCTTTCTTTTTTTTGTCCGGCTACTCTCTATTCATTGTTTAGTCCCAGTTTTAAGTTTCTTTCAAGAGAGGCTTTTCCTGACTCATTCCAGCCATCCTTCTGGTCAAAAATAGTTCCCCCTGTTATCTCCATCACATCCCTGGTCTTCCTTTTTACTTTCACTTCAATTTGTGCTATTAAATATGTATCTGTGTGATCATTTGTTTAATGTCTATCTCTCTTACCTGTAAGATGAAGGGGCTGGTTGTGCACTTAAGTGGGATGATCTAACCCAGTGTTTTTCAAACTGTGGGTCATGGCCCATTAGTGGGTCTTGAAATCAATTTCGTAGCTCTTGAGCGTTGAAAAACATGAGAAAAGAGCAGGTACTTCACATATCGAAAAAATACATATCATATTGTAAAGCTTTTACTTAAAGATATTCATCTATAGATGGTGCCTGTACACTGGGTTGGGTGTAAATTGTATTTCGAACTGTGCGCTACAGCCAAAGATTTTGAAATTCCTGACTTAAAGTGAATAAGATGGGGAGTTGGACCAGGTAACCGCTGAGGTCTCTCTCCCTTGAAGCTGGGATCTATAGGTCAGGTGAGGTCATTTGGAACCTAGGGCTAATTCCTCTCCATCTGATGCATTATATTTTTCAATGCTATTTGATTATTCCTGGCTGCTTTGGAGGCGATCTCTCTCTTGTTCAATTAAGCTCATGCTTGCTTTTCAGCCTGCTAAATGAAGCCTTTGATCACAATTGAGAATTCACTGTTTCCGTTGGTATTACAGCTCTAAATTTGCCCATTTCCAACAGCCGCTGATTCTAATTGAAATGGAAGGGCTGTGGGGTTTTTTTCTTTGGGGTTTAATTGTGTTTGTCTCCTTATGTATTGCCAACTGCTGGTTCTTTTTTAAGAGGAAAAAGGGGCTGGGTTGGAGAACAATGTGACAAATCTTTTCTGGGCTAAGGTGATCAGTAGGTTACAGCCTTTAAGATCTAATGTCTCCAAGGCAGAGAATTGAACCAAAAAACAAACGACATTTTATTTTCTTTATTTAAGATTTATGTGCCTTAGTGGTAAATTAAGAAAATTTCTGGGTATATTTAGGTGCCACCCTTGCTTTTGTCCCTACAATCTTGTTCCTCAAAGTGTGGTTCATGGACCAGCATATCAGCATTACCTTAGAACATGTTAGAATTGCAGAATCTCAGGCCTTGCCCCAGACCCGCAGCATTTGAATCTGCATTTTAACAAGTTTTTGTGTGATCTGTGAACAATTTCATTTTGAGCCCTAGCTCTGGAGGCAGACCAGAGGCTGATCCTCCTCCACGGCTTTCTAGCTTTGTGACCCTGGCCAAGTCACTTAACGCTAGGGGCTCAGTTTTCTAGTCTGTAAAATGGGATCACAGTGGCACTTGTTCTTGGAATGCTGTGTGAAAGAAGACAATGTGGCAGAGAAGTTATCACAGAGACTGGTGTAAGGTATTTTGTCGTTATTGCTTTTTGCTGTTACTACTGGTGCCTTGAATTCTGATGTGTGCTCCTTTTCCCTGGCCTAGGTCTTAACCTTATCGTCCATAGTTCACATACCAATGAATGACTCTTTCAGAAGCAAAATTGTTGGGTTAAAACCTGGTCTCCCTGCAAGCAGGTTCAGGGCCTGGAGAGGCCCTATTTTTATCATTGTTTAAATGAATCATTCCAAGGCAAACGGGAAAAATGTTTCCCCTAACTGGGAGGACTCTTTATCTGAAATACATTCTCTGAAGACTGGAAATTTTAGTCTTTCTGAAATAGTGCCTGAAATGAAATGCATTTCTCTTCAACCTCTCCCTAGACTGTCTGGGCTTCTGCTCTACTGTGGCTCCCCTGCCCCAGTTAGGGATGTGCTACATTTCAGTAGCCTAGTTTAGTCCAATCCTCTCAAGCAGATAGAATGAAGTGTTTTCAATTAGCAGAATCTCATTGCGAGGGCACGAAGAGACAGTTCTTCTGGAGCAGAGAAACTAATTGAACATACATTGTGTGTTTACCAGAGGAGGAAGCTCCTCAGCAGGGGTTTAGTGTTCCCATGCTCGCTGGCCTGGGACTGCTCTAGCCATGAGCTCATTGTTTAAAGACACCTAGTCCAATCTCAATACACATAAATCCCTTCTGCAATAGCCCTGGTGGTGGCCATACAGCTTATTCTGCACATCCTACGGGACTGACTCACTTACAAGGCAGACCATATCTTGGTTGGACATCCCTGGTTGTTAGAAATTTACAACTTCCTTTCTTATGTTGAGTACAACTTTGAGGGCTGATTACTGCTCCCTGACATGTTTTCCTAAACTCTCACCATCATGGTCATCACTCTTCAATATCCTTTATCTTTTCCATTTCCACCCTTCCCTTCCCTGTCCCCCATACAAGTATTAAAAGGCATGAAATGAGAGTCGCATTCATCCCTTCACTCATTCATTGGTTCATGTATTACTCATTCAAAAAACGTTTAAGTGTCTGCTATTGGCCAGATATTCTTCAAAACACTGGGAATAGAGTGACAGACCAGGTTCTTGCTCTTATGGAACTTTTTCTAGTGGAGCAGAGAGATGCCAAACAAATAAACCAACAAGATAATTACAGGTTGGCTAGTACTTTGATAGAAATAAACACAGAGAAATGATCATGATCATGTGTTTGTGTGCGTGCATGTGTATATGGCGTGTGCATACATGCATGTATGTGAGGTAGGGAGGAAGAGAGAGAGATGGGGATTGGTTGATTTTTCTTTAGATACAGTGGTCAGGAGAAGCTTCTGAGGTGATTGTTTAGCAGCATACACCTAAAAGAGAAGGCAAGATGCCATGCCAAGGATGGAAAGAGCATTCTCAGTAAAGGAAACAGGATGTACAAAGAGATTAGAATAAGAGAACTAGGTGTGTGGGATGGATGGGAAGAGCCCAGGGAGGGTGGCGCATAGGGAACAAGGGAGGGAAAGGTACAAGATGCTAACAGAGAAGGAGGCAGGGCTAGTTTGGAAAGGACTTGTAAGCTAAGGAAGGGAGTTTGGATTCTATTTTGGCTGCTGTAGGAAGTCACTAGAGGATTCTCAGGTGGTTGAGGGGCATGATTTAAGCTTTAAAAGGATCAGTCTGGCTATATGTAGAGAGTGCATTGCAGGCTGGAAAGGGGATAGTGAGAAGACCATTGAGGAGGTAGCACAGTACTTGGGTTAAAGAGCCAAGATAATGAGTTTCTTTTTTTTTTGAGGTTGAGTCTTGCTCTGTCACCCACTGTGGAGTGCAGTGGCTCTATCTTGGCTCACTGCAACTTCCGCCTCCTGGGTTCAAGCAATTCTCCTGCCTCAGCCTCCTGAGTAGCTGGGATTATAGATGCGTACCACCATGCCAGCTAATTTTTGTATTTTCAGTAGAGACAGGGTTTCACCATGTTGGTCAGGCTGGTCTGGAACTCCTGACCTTGTTATCCACCTGCCTTGGCATCCCAAAGTGCTGGGATTACAGGCATGAACCACCGCGCCCAGCCAAGGATGAATTTCAGTTATGTGTTTAGAGGCAGAAACATCAGGACTTAGTAATAAATTGTATATTGTGGGTGTTAAAAAACATGTTCTGTGTCCTTGAGGCTCAGAGGAATACCTGTGTCTGGGAACAGCGGAGAGGAGTTAGCTGCATATGAAAACCAATGACAGTGGGGGCACCCTATTTCTGAAAGCGATTTCGTTTTTCACCTGAAGGTGCTTAAGGACATAGCTACTGTATGGATAAACAAAATATTTCAGAAGAAGTCTTAGTGATCTAGTAATACCTTTTTAATGGGCAGATGAGTCAATAGGAAATAGACAAAACTAAAGTTGCAAAGCAAATTATTGGCAAAGCCAAGACAATAATCAAGTTCTGATATCCAGGCAAACGCCCTTTCCACTCGCTACCCCACACTAAATGAGGGTTCTTGGGCCAGAGTGTTAAAAGGTCATGAAAATAAGATGGGCACCAAGAAGATCCTAGACATATTGGTCATTTGATAGGAAAGGAATTGAGTAATGATAAAATAATTTTTATTTATTTTTCCTTTTTTTTTGAAAGCCTTCAGTAGCTTCCATTGTACATGATACTCAAGTTTTACAGTGGTGGGAATGATCTCTGTATACTCACCATCTGGTACAGCACATGGCACGTATTAGGTCCTCAGTAAATGCTTGCTGAATGAGTGAATAAATGTTTCAGCATCAGGGGGCTTATTCATAGGTAATTTTTAAGCAGTCTTTTCTGCTGAGTAAATGCTTATCTCATTTTGGGCTGGAATTATATCAAGACTATTCAGACCAGGGATCAGATAGTTCTACTCCATTCTAAACTGATTGGGTAACACTTGGAGACTAATATTCTTTAGGTCACATGTTGGATCTAAGGAATATTGGAAATGGTATGGCCAGGAACTTGGAATAATATCAAACATTGTTAAAGGAACAGGGTATATTAAACCTGGAGTAGAGTCAAGACAGTTGATATGCAAAGGGATGACTTGTTAAAATGGTCTGATATTTTGGCCTTGACTTACTTTTGGCTTCCCAGAGAGTAGAATGAGGACCAGTGGCTCCAATTTTCAGGAAGGAAGAAAGATTCTTGTTCAGGGTAAGGGTGAATAAAAAAACATAGCCATCTGAATATGAAATAGGTTTCCTAGAGTGAGGTAAAGGATTAGTGAACTGGTTGACATGGGATGCACTCTTGCCAAGAATGTTGTAAAAGGGGTCCTTAATTTTATGGAGGCTGAGGTAGATATTTTTAGGTCACTTTCCAACCTGAGATTCTAAGGCATTTTTAGAAAGTTAGTATGCATGCATCCATTCATTCCCTACTCTGGTGAGTATACACTGGTGAATAAAACACATATAGTCTCTGTACATTTGAATTTATAATCCAGTGTGGTAGATTAGATTTTTCATTTCCCCCACCATAATTCTAGAATCCTCTTGATCATCAGCCTCCTAAATGGCCAAACCCAGTACCAAACAGAAAGCCAGAAAACCCCAGCTAGAACCGTCATAATAGAAAGTAAAGTAAGATACAACTTTTGTTTTCCTAAGTGAGCTTAATTGCTTAAAAGCCAGCTGGCTCCCACCATGTTGTTTTTCAGAGTAGTAACAATGAGACTATGACAGCTTCTCTGGCTAGGCTTTCTTTCCTGGTGCTGTACCCCAGGCTGGGGGTACACTTGAAGAAGATAGCCAAGTCTCATTAGAAATAAGGAAGTGGGGGCCCAGGATGCACTAGTTCCTTCTGAGCTTCGTGTGGTTACCATAATGCTTCACTCTGTTTTTCTCTTGGTGGTTGTTGCTTCATTCAGAATCTGTCCTCTTGGAAAGGAGCCGCTAGTAGGACAACTGCATCCAGGGAGAGAATAGGTTCATGATGCATCTGTCTACCCCATTGATCCTCACTCTTTTTTCAGTTGCTTTCCTGTTTAGACAGATACTCTTTTTTTCAGCTTCTCTTAATCTGGCTCAATTTACTCCTTAAGTTGTACCCATCAATAAACAGGGCTTGAGTTGCAGGCTGAGATTCTTTCAATCCCTTCTAGGTAATTCTCATCATGTCCATGAAATGATAGGTGATCCCTCATTGGAGCTCACTAACTCTGAACCCTGAAAATGTATTTATCTAACTTACTGTCTGTCCAGAGCTCCAAGCTCCAGGTTTTCTCTGTTCTGTCCTTTGGGAGGCTCTAAACTGCCTTTCATCAGGGGTGCCCATTCAATAATTGCATTTGTCTCTGACCAGGAGTGTTTAGGCTTCACGGGTAACAGTGAGTGAGAAGGCTTTGAAGTATTTATTTTGACAGTAGCACATAAAGCAAGGTAATGTGTACAATGACATTTATTATTCCACAAACATTTGTTGGTTGCCATGGTAGCATAGAGGAAGGCAGGCAGGTTCTGGAGTCAGAACAGTTTAAATTTCAGCTTCATCATTTTCCACATATGTAAATTTGGATAAGGTGCTAGCCACTCTAAGCTTTAGCAACCTAATCTGAATAGTACCTACCTGAAAGAAAATTAAGTGAGATAATATATATTCAGTGTTTGGTATATAGTAAGCATGCAATACTTGTTAGGTATAATAAGCTATAGATACTAGGAATATAGGTAGCTAATTGTCATAAATCCTGGAATAACTGAGTTGGAGCAAGGGTTAAAGGAAATGAAACCTCTGGCACAAATTGAGCACAGTGCTCCTAATTATAAATCTCTTTTCTCTAAATATTTGCTTGTTTATCTTTGTGCTGCCCTAGGTCTTTTCATAGCTATTGAGCCCCATCTGTTCTCATTTATATTCAGCTGCTATTTGGAATATAAGTGTTAATTATCTCTTTAACACCTCACTGCTACTAATTCTGAGTACTCTGTATTCTTGGTTCCTTTGGTTTGCCATCTGCCCAGGGTCCCATACTACTTGTCTTCATGATCTCTTCTGTTGTTTTAGTGATTCTTGACTCTCTTTTAAAAGGAACATGTTTAAAATAACCTCCTCCAACTATTGTTTTTAAATATATTTTATGATTGTAAAAGTAATTATTATTAACAAGTTGGAAAAATACACAGAAAATAACCCTGTTTTATAACCCTTCGACCTAGATAAAACAAGGATTTATATGTTAAATATCTTTTCTTCCAGTATTTTTTCCCTATATATGTGTTTCAAGCTTAGTATTACACCATGTAGCAGATGAGAATTTGTAACTATAAGTAATGAAACGATCAACTCAAACTGGGATTAAAATGAAGAAATAGATTAGCTTACATTACTGAAAACCCAGAAGTAGCATAGAATTTAGGATTCCCTTAAGCCGGTGGCTCTGCCTTCATCTTTTTGTCTCTCAGCTCCGTTATCTTCTGCTCCATCAGTTTCTGCTTTAATTAATAAGGCAACATGGCTTCAGCAATCCCAGGCATCACATCTGTACACAAAGGAGACCAGGAGAAGAAGGGCTGTTTCTTCCTATAGACTCCCTTAAGTGTGGAAAAACCTCTCCCAGAAGCTCCCACCAAATTTTCCTTCACATCTCTTTGGCCTCTGTTGAGTAATGTGCTCATTCCCAAATCAAGCTGTAAGAGACTGGTTTACCAAGACGACCTAGATCCATGGTTCTTAAATTTGACCATGCATCAGAATCCTTTTGAAGGCTTGTTAAAACATGGATTTCTGGGCTCCACCTCCAGTGTTTTTGATTTAGTAGATCAAGATGGTGCCCAAGAATTTGTATTTGTAACAAGCTTCCAGGTGGTGCTAATGTTGCTCGTCCAGAGACCACACTTTGAGAACCACCAGCTTAGACAAATTAGAGCCCTTTTGGAGATGAGTTCAATCTCTCCAAATATTCTGTGGCCATGTAAAACAGAAAGAATGAATTGAATGGTGGGGAGAAAATCAAAGTGTCTATTACATCCTTGACTTTTCCCCCTTATCATAAATCATGCTTTAAATGTATGGATTTTATTGGTAAAATAAACCATGGTGCTTCTATATAAGGAATTATATTATTTAACCAGTCTTCTGTTGTTGGACATTGATAATTTTAGTATTTTGCTATTATATATTACGCGGTAAGAAATGTCAATGCCCGCAATCATCTGTGTGCTCTTCTGATTATTACCTCAAAATACATTCCTAGGTGTAGAACTGCTCTTCTAGCTATTCTTATCTCATTGACTCAGGGCTCTTTTTTTCAAGGGAATACATGTTTTGTAACCCCCCCACCCCACCCTTGGCTTTCTTAAAGAGCCAGACCTTTATATCCTCTCTACATTGACAAAATCATTTCACAGAATAGAACCAGCTGATGGCAGGATGAGGAGGAGATAAGGAAGACTCAGGAAGTAGAAAGAGCAGAACTGGGCCAGACCCGTGAGAGTGCAGGGCTTGCTGAGGGAGCTGGGAATCTGCATGAGGATCCATGGAGTAGTGAAAGGTGAACTTGGAAGGGAGACTTGGGACAATCTGAACCAGAATCTTTCCTTTTGGGTTGTGTTTTCTAAGCTTCAGTCATTTGCTGTATCACAAGTAGAATTTTTGTCATATATGTTTCACCTGCATTATTATAATAGTTTTTTAGTCAAGTCCATTATATTAACTAATTTTTAAAAGAAACTTTGTATCACTAGGGTTAATAGTAAACTATTATCAGTTACCACACATAGAAAAATAACATATTTGTGATAATTTGATTAAATTTTAATTCAATATTGTTGCACAAGCTCTGAACTGGTAACCTGTTCTCTCTTTGTTATGGGGAAGATGAAATGCATTAAGAGGTGTTAAAAATGAACCATCTCCAAATATGGACTGTTTTCTTGATATCATTAGAAAGATTAAAGAAAGAATTGCAAAGAAAATAACTTTATTTAATATAAAATTGTGCACTCCCTAAAATCAACATTCCACTCTCAGGGCATGTACTAGGTGAATATGCCTCAAACTTCAGAACTCCCTAGAGAGCTTATTAAAAAGATCCATGGATTTAGAACCTCTGGGGCTGGTGGTGGGAGGCAGGCCCAGGGATCTGCATTTTACCAAGTCTTCAGGCCATTCTCATGTTTACCTTAGTTTAAAGATGCACATAAATTATTGAAAACTACTAAGCTATTCTCCTTTCATTTTTAGAAAGCATTTTATTTAAAAATAACTTTAAACTTATAGAAAAGGTACAAAAATAATACAAAGTCTTTCTGCTATACCCTTTATCTGATTGATTGTTAGATATTCTTATTCACTTTATCATCCTGTCTCTCTCTCTGCATGCTCTGTCACCTCTCTCTGTATTGTCTGTTTTTCTCTCTCCATGTAAATCATATGTATATAAAAATATATATATGTAAAAAATAGCTATATATTTTCCCCTGGACTATTTGATAATAAGTTAGATACACCATGCACTTTTATTTCTATACTTCATTGTGTATTTCCTAAGAATACAGATATTCTCTTTTATAACTACAGAATGGTAATTAACTTCAGGACATTTAACATCAATGTAATGTTTATCTATCTATAGTCTATATGCCAATTTTGTCAACTGACAATAACTGTAAATCAATATAGTAATAATGCCCCATGTAATGGTTTTGGCCTTCAGTGTAGATTCCAGTCTTTGGTCACGTATTTTATTTAATTGTTATATATCCTTAGTCTTTAACCTGGAACAGTTCCTAAGCCTTTCTTTATTTTACAATACTGACTTCTTTGAAGAATGGATTCCTTTGCTTCTGTAATAGAATGCTCATTATTTTGGGTTTGTCTGATGTTTCTTCACATAGAGCCTCATAGAACCAGGCTATGCATTCCCAGATGGAATACTCTATAAGTGATTTTGTGTCCGTCTCAGGGCACCATATCTAGAGGCACACACATTCATTTGCCACTATCTGGTGATTTTAATTTTGATCACCTGGTCAAGGTGTTGTCTGACTTCTCTACTGTATAGTTGGATTTTTTTCCCTTGCAACTAACAGGCAATCTGTGGGGGAAGAAGCTTTAGAGCTAAGCAAATATTCTGGTCTTCACTATAAAGCATAGATCAGCAATGTGGAAAAATGGACTGAACTGAAGGGAAAAGGTGGCAGAAAAGCCAGCTAAGAGTCTGTTACCATAAACCAGATGGTCTAGGAGCATCTGAGCAGAAGAGCTGCTGAAACCATGTGAGTGGATGTGGTTGCCCAGACAATCCTGGGTCTTAGTCATCATTTCTATAGATTATTTGATCTATTATCATAAATGAAAATTATGTGTATTTTGCAGTTATTGAACTAGTGGAAATAGTGTTCTACATATATTAATTATGTGAATTTTTTCACACAAAAGGAAACAAACAGATATGTAAGTTAATTATGACAGCCATATTATTTACTTCTTTATCTTTATTGATTTTTTTTTGTGAGCTAATTTTTTATCAGGTACCAAGAAAAGTGTGCTAAAATTTCCTGGTATGATGATGCATTTTTCTCTTTTCTTTTAGTTTTGTCAGCTTTTGCTTTATTGCTTTTGAAGGTATATTTTATGCATACTTTACAACAATCCTTTTCTGCCCTTAAATGCAGAGAGTATGTTTTGTGAACAGTACATAATTATATTTTGCTTCTTCATCCAGTCTGACAATCAATGTCTTATAACTGAAGTATTTGTTCAATTTGTATTTAGTTACTGAGACTGTTGTATTTAATTATATCTTGCTATTTAATTTCTATTTGATTTATTTTTTATGTTTATTTTTGGATCAAATAATTATTTTTATTATATCTATTCTATTCCATTCTATTCTTTTTAATTACATATTGTTTTACTATGTTTTTAGTGTCTCCCTAGAAATTACATTACATATCCTGGATATATTACAGATTCTTTTAGATTGGTACTTTTACCACTTTCCAAGTGATGCAAGAAACTTACAACAGTTTAACTCAATTTACCCTGCTCACTTTTTGTGCTATTCTTGTTATATATTTTAAACCCATAAAATGACTCACTAATCCTCTATTCTTCCTTTTGTAACTTCTATTAAATCCATATTTCAAATTCTTAGTATCATTTATACTATTTAAGTTCTAAAATTTTTATTTGACATTTTTAATAGAGTCCAGGTCTTTGCCAAATATCTGTATTTTTATTTACTATTTTGAACATATTAATCATAGTTCCTTTAAAGTTTCTGTCTGATACCTTTACTACCTAATCATCTGTGGGTCTGTTTCTACTAATCCTTTTCTCTTGATTTTGAGTCATTTGGTCCTATTTTTAATTTCTTTTAATTTTAAAATATTTAATTGTCAAATAAAGATTCAGTCCTTTTAAAATCATCCCTGTTAATTTTTTTTTTCACAATGGATAAAAGTTGTAGAAGTGCTAGATAAAGTTACCTTTCTCCAAAGAGTCTGAATTTCTCCTAGCAAGCACATAGAGTATGGGTGAATCATCTTGATCTTGTCATAGTCTTTCCTATGATTGACCTTTTTGAGTTGCCCTTAATCCTAGAGGATGGTTGTCATTATTCCCTAACAGCCCTTAAAGTACCTCAGGATTTTTTACAAAGACCTGTCCATCTTGATGGGGCTTGAACTCCAAACTTCATCTTTTCAGTACCATGTGATGGCTGAAATATTTGCTCATATTTTTTGGCTTCCAGTTGATTTTTTTTTCTACTGCTTGTCCTAATCTGCATAATATGGTTTAGGATGTGATCCACAATTTAAGAGGAATATGCTCCCAGTGCCCAGACTCTATTTTCTCTGGGATTTCACCCTCAGATCCCAGCTGCTTTGTCAGTCCTGAATTCTGACTTTTGCCTATTCAGCCCAGTAAGGTTGCCATTTTCTTCTCGGGCTCTATTCACCTGCGCTACAAATTGGAAAATGCTGTCAGGGAAAAAAGCCAAAATGAATAGCCCCTGCTATGGTTTGAGTGTGTCCCCTCCAAAATTCATGTTGAAACAATCCCCATTGTGGTGGTATTAAGAGGTGAGGCCTGAAGAAGGTGATTAGGCCATGAGGGCTCTGCCCTGATAAATAGATTATTGCTGTATAAAGGGGCTGGAGGGAATGAATTTAGGCCTTTTTTACTCTTCTGCTCTTCTGCCATGTGAGGAGAGTGTTTTGTCTCCATTGTGCCCTTCTGTTCCCTGTGAGGACACAGCATTCCTCCCCTTTGGAGGATGCAGCAACAAGACACCATCTTGAAAGCAGACAGCAAGGCTAGGTGTGGTGGCTCACGCCTGTAATCCCAGCACTTTGGGAGGCTGAGGTGGATGGATCACTAGAGGTCAGGAGCTTGAGACCAGCCTGATCAACATGGTGAAAGCCCGTCTCTGCTGAAAATACAAAAATTAGCTGGGTGCAGTGACTCACACCTGTAATCCCAGCAATTGGAGAGGTCTAGGCGGGTGGATCACTAGAGGTCAGGAGCTTGAGACCAGCCTGATCAACATGGTGAAAGCCCGTCTCTACTGAAAATACAAAAATTAGCTGGGTGCAGTGACTCACACCTGTAATCCCAGCAATTTGAGAGGTCTAGGCGGGTGGATCACTTGAGGTCAGGAGCTTGAGACCAGCCTGGCTAACATGGTGAAACCCTGTCTCTACTAAAAATACAAAATTAACCAGGTGTGGTGGCTCACACCTATAATTCCAGCTACTTGGGAGGCTGAGGCAGGAGAATCGCTTTAACCCGGGAGGCGGAGGTTGCGGTGAGCTGAGATTGGGCCACTGGACTCCAGCCTGGGGGTCAGAGTAAGACTCTGTCTCAAAACAAAACAAAACAAGGCAGACAGCAGCCCTCATCAGACATCAGTCCCATTGGTTCCTTGATCTCAGATTTCTCAGCCTCCAGAATCATGAGAAATTAATTTCTATTATTTATAAATTATTCTGTTTGTGGTATTTTGTTATAGCAGCATAGATGGACTAAGATAGCCCCTTTCCAGAATCTCTCCAGAATCACAGCTCTTCATATTTTGCCTGCATTGATTGCTATACATTGGCTTCTGCCAGTTTTTACAGATTTTGTTCAGCTTTTATAGTTGTAGTTAGCAGGAGGGTTAGTCCTGTTGAAACTTCTTTATCAGAGCAGGGCTTGGAAGTTTTATATCAATTTTAAGTGAAGAAATTAAAGCTTAGAGAAGTTATGTAATCACCCAAGGTCAAATAGCTTGTAAATGGCAGAGCTAGAATTTAAACCTAGGTCTCTCTGACTCCCAAGCCTATGTTCTTATCTACTACACTTACTATATCCTTTTCGTAATAGTTACTATGTATTAAGGGCCTATTAGGTTCTAGGAAATGTTAGCTGCTTTCTGAATTATATCTTTCTTTATAAAAACCCTCTTAATAGGAGATGCTATCCCTTCTTTACAGATGTGGAAACTGACCTCAGAGTTCAGGTCTCTTTTTCTAGGGTATTCCGTATATGGATTTGAATCCAACCTCTTTAGACTCCAAATGTCTACCACCTACCACCTTTATATTAGAAATTGATTATTATGCACATGAATGTGGCCAACTACTTCTCTGAATCCTGGCATTCTAGTTTGTAAAATGTGAATACCAAGTATTCTTTGAACTCTTAAACAAACTTTTGCGTTGCAAAGGATATCATGGATGAGAAGACAATGTAAAGCCACATGGTACTTCACAGACGTGAGTGTTACCTGATGGATGTTTTTTCAACTCATGCTACAATGTTACTAATTCAAAGGTGAATTTATCTTTTCCTCTGCACACTGTAGTTTTTCTAATTTTTACTTTATTTGACTTGATTTTAATAAATATGTATTCAACAGCTATTATTTGTCTAGTACCCCAGGAGAAACAAACAAATATTGGTTGTTCAGCCTATGTCTTCTACAAGTCTAATAATCTCACCAGAGAAACAAAGATCACAGGCCTGAGACCATTATAGTGTAATAGTAATAGAAATAAATAGATCAAGTGCTATGTTATACACAAACAAGCACTAAAATACGTGGCAGAGACACTTTTGTTGGTGTTCAGGAATGGTAGGAAGATCTTAAGTCTCAGAAGTCAGACTCTATAGTTCGCCTGCCTGAATTAGAATCCAAGCCCTATTGCTTATCAACTATATGAACTTCAGCAAATTTCTTTTCTTTTCTTTTCTTTCTTTTTTTTTTGACAGAGTCTTGCTCTGTCGCACAGGCTGGAGTATAATGGCGTAATCTCGGCTTACTGCAACCACCGCCTCCCAGGTTCAAGCAGTTCTTGTGCCTCGGCCTCCTGAGTAGCTGGGATTATAGGCACATGCCACCAGGTCTGGCTAATTTTTGTATTTTTAGTAGAGATGGAGTTTTACCATGTTGCCCAGGCTGGTCTTGAACTCCTGACCTCAGGTGATCCATCTGCCTCAGCCTCCCAAAGTGAAGTTACTTACTTTTCTAAGCCTTGTTCTTTTAAAAATGAAGATAATAATATCACCTATCTAGTAGGGTTATCATGAAGAATTTATACATGCAAATGTTTAATACAGTGTGTTACTAAATACAGACTTTCTATAATTCTTATTAACAAATTTAAAATATTTATTAATTATTATTACTGGGTATTTGGAGGATGTTAGAATTTGGTTTGAACAGGTGTGGAGAGGCATTATTTAGCAGGTAGAATTGTCTGTAGAAAGACAAGAGCCCATTTTCCATAGTGTTAATTAGATATGGGCAGGAGGAGGAACAGCTAGGCACATTTATGACCACGGTTTAGAAAACAGTCTTTGGCCCCTTCATTGCATTTGGCACTAGTGTCCCTAATCTCTTTGCTAAATCAGTGCTATTACCTGTGGGTATGAGAGTTGGTAAGGAAGAAGCAGGGAAAGTAGGCAATGATATTTTCCCCTAAGGTTCTCACTATGCCTACTCTGTTTCTTAATGGGGTCTTACAGAAAGCTTTAGAATTCCAAGTTCTTTCCTTGCCTTCTCTCTGGCATTCCCATGGAACTGAGGGTTGCTTGTTCTGGGGAGTTAGATTCACTTATCTGCAGGGTAAAGTCTTATATTTTTTAATAAGTATATTTATAATGAGTTGAAAGATGAGTATTCATCTTTCTAAATCTACAGCTCATAGAGTAGCCATATAAAAAATGCCCACCCTTATATTCTCATAATATTTAAAAATCACTGGAAGACAAGGTGGCTCACTGGATTTCAGCTTCCCCAAATGTTGATGCTCTGCTGTTTCCCCCACTCCATTGCTTTGAGGCTAGCAGTATGGCTACCACATCTGCAGTGGCTCCGATCTCTGTTACAAGTGTTCTGAGGAGAAAGAAGCCACAACAGAAGCCCTTTGCTTATGAGAAGCTGAAAAAAATCAGTGAGAACTCACTATTAAGACAGTTGCTTACCTACCTCCTCCTCTAATCATAGCACTGGTGAATTATAATGTAAGAAATGTTCCCACCTAAAACTGTTATTCCCTGGGGATTGGAAGTTAAAGCTTAAACATGAGGAGTTGTTTTGTGGGCTAAGGAGGATTGACAGTGGTGTTCTGGTTGCCAAGGCCTTTACACCTCTCCCCTTTCTCCCTTCCCTGAGCTTCTTTGGGCTGACACAGATAGGGGTTTGGTTTTTTCCTGTATTCGAAGCCTGGTAAAGTAGCTGGTCATCCCAGGGTCAGGCCAACGTAACAATGTGTTTGAGAGCATGAGTATTTCAAAAGAAAAACAGCAGAGCGAATTTTTATCAGAAGCAGAAATATTAGGGGAAAAAACCCTCAAACCCGGATAACCCGGAACATCAAATTAACCTAAAAATAGATTGGGGAAGATATTAAAATTATGAAACAAGAACAAGCAATCACAAAAATAACCAAGCAGAAATGTAAAATATTTCCATTGGGGGAACTGAGCAAAGTATATAGGGATCTTCCTATATTATTCTGTACAGCTATGTGACTCTACAGTAATCGCCCTAAAAATTTCAATTCAAAAAGATGAAAGCTCATTTCATATTGAAAGGGTTCCTGAAATGCCAAAGAAGAAAGAAGAAAAGCCCCACACCTAGGAATATTATAGTGATGTTTAAAAATATTAAAAACAGAAAAATTATGTTTCCAGAGAAGAAATCACATGCAAGGGAATAAACATAAGCAGACTTTTCAACAGAGCCCCAAATGCAAGAAGACGATCAACTATTTAAAAATACTGTTTAAAAGCAATAAATAATGAGAGAATAAAGAATACATCTTAGTAGCTTAAAGTATAGGTAAAACAAATATGATAGATGTGTGGAGACAAGATCAAATGTTGTGAGAATATGCTAAATTTCTTATTATATATTATAATTGGAAATAAAAAGCAAGATAGAATTAAAACAAAATATATAAAAAGAGGAGCAAAAAATCACAAATAATGTAAATGGTCTAAATTTCCGGCTTAAAGATAGACAAACTAGTTTTAAAAAATCCAGCTATATGTGATTCATAAGAACCACACCTAAAGCATAATATCACACACAAATTGAAAATAAAAGAATAAATTTTAAAAAAGACATATCAAACAAAGACTAATGAAAGAATGCTGGAATAGTTATATTAACATCAAATTATAAATAACAATAGACTTTATTATGTAATAACATTGTATTATAAATAGTGTAAAAATAAAGAATAAAAACAGAAAGATTTATCAGGGATGGAGAAGGTCACTACACAATGATAAAAGAATCAATTTTCCAAAAGATTTAACAATTTAAATATAACACAACTGTTCAAAAGAATTCAATGCAAAAATTGGTCAAACTTCAAGGAGAAATTGATAAATACACCATTATCATGGGAGCTTTTAATCTCCCTCTGTCTTAATTATTGTTAAGAAGACAAAAATATCCACAAGGGGTTAGAAGATCTGAACTATCCAATTAATAAGCTCAATATGATGGACATATACAGTAGATCAAACAAGTGCATCATAGTGACATAAACAATGTAGATGGACCTTACAATACAACATGAAGTGAAAAAATGTTCTAAATAATTACATATAGCGTGATACTCTTTTTATGGTGTTAAAAGCCAGGAAAATAAAAATAAATAATTTTTAGAAGTGTATACAGATGTGATAAAACAAAGGGAAACAAAGGAAGGATGAGCATGAAATTCAGGATGATGATTACACTGGGTGGGTGGAGAGGAAGGAGATGAAGTCCATGTGGTTAGATAAAGAGCTTTGTCAAAATCCCAGAATTTATTGGGGGCTAGCAGTTTACGTGTGCCACTAACGTGGTTAAAAGATGAGTTAATTAAAGAATTAGCCACATAAATAAAAGCTGCCCATCCATTTAAAATATACTTTATTTAAATTATTTTGAGGAAAATGGTGCTGTGAGGACAAAGATAAGCAGCAATGCGCTGCTTAAGAAAGTCAAAGAAGAGTTGGAAAAAGTGCTTATATTTGAGAGGCTACTTCAAGACTCAGCAGAAATAGATCATGCATAAACAGGAGGAAGGTCATTCCATGCAGATGAAGCAGCATAATGGAAGCATTAGAACAGAGAGAATTTGGTGTCTGTTGATGGATATTCCAATAGGCCACGCAGTAGTTAATGAGAACCTGCCAGAATGGAGAATGTGAGAATGGAAAACATGAAATGAATCCAAGGAATCATTGGAAATAGAATCGTTTTGATGACAAATCAAGGAGAATAACAACCAGCGCTCTGTCTACAACAGAACAGGCACACAGTGAAGGAAACTGGTTGTTTCTACTGCTGATCATTGTGCAAGGAAGTTGATGTCTCAGTTTCTAACTTGGTAACAAAGTAGATGTTAATAGCATTTTCTGAGATGACATGGGAAAAAGAAGAGGTTCTGGGATAATTGCAAATCAAGATTGTTTCAGGTATGCTAAGTTTCAGGTACAGTCAGTTCTGTCAGAGTGTGACATATATGTTCCTAAAAATCACTGTGCCATATAAAATTATACATAAAAACCACAGAGCTTAAGGGGAAAATGAGGTTCGGAGTACAACACTTGAAAATTCATCAGTGATACATTAAAAAAGAAAATAGTAACCTTGCAAAAATGATAGCATAGTTTTACACATGTTAGATGGCTAAAAAATTCTTAAGATCTGCAGTAATATGACATTTTACCTTGCAACAGACCTAAAGTTTTGCTTATGGAAGTGGGCATCAGAAAGATTGCAGCTTGTGAATTACTGTGAAGTGGAGGGAGGGCTATCTGAAACTAGAGAAGGTTGTGACACCAGATGTGCTTACATGTGGCTCACAACATACATGGTTAACTAAGGTAGCTGGTAGATGTTTGGTGTAAATTCATGTGTGCATTTTGTGTATTCTTACATGGTTCCATTGAGTAGGATGCAGTTTTCTGAGTTCACCTAGTGTTTCTTGCAGAGAGCATTATTTCATATAAGCAAATGTGAAATTTGCAGTATGTTGGAATTGCTCCCTAACAAATCAATCATATTGCAACACACTTTCAAAACAAGCATTACAGAAGAACTGACTCTACCGATATTGAGAGGCAATTAGGAGAGAGATAAGGTATGCCAAAAGTTGTTAAAAAAGGTACTTCTCTTAATCCAGCAATGTCACCATTAGGAATTTATCCTAAGGAAATATTCAGAGATGTTGCCCATGAACAAAGAAGAAGTATTTTAGAATAGCGAAAAATTGAAACAAGGTTAAGGTCAACAATATAGGTTGAGTTAAATAAATTATGGTTATCCATTACTGGAATATTATGTTGTCATTAATAATCAGTTTGGAAAAGGACATATATTGATGAGGAAATATTCATCCTATATTGCCAAAATTGGGAAGTATCATGTTCCACAAGCCTTTTTAAAAATGGAATATTAGTTTTGTGAAACCTATAAATATGCACACATATAGAACAAATACTGAAAAAAAATTTTTAACTTTTTCTTTAGATGGCGAAGTTTTGGGTGTTTTATCTTTGTGCCTTCCTGTTTCTCTAATATTTCAGCAATGAAATATTGAATTTTTCTAATTCCTGTCTTTCTAATATTTTGGCAATGATTTCAACTAGAAAGTACGGCTTAGCTTGATTCAGGACACGTTTGCTATCTCTAGGTTTCATCTTTCAGCTCAACTTCACCACAGTGCCTTTGTGGCCAGGCTGTCCCTCTCTACCCTTATGGGAGCTGGCAGAAGGCTGCTTGTTCATGTCTAGCAGAAAAGAGACTGTGTATATTTGCATTATTATGAGAAAATCGAATCAATGTTTAAAAAGGATGAGCAAGGGCATTATTGATGGGCAAGGCCACTGAAGTCAAAGATAGAAGCCTGTCCAGGAGCTGGCATGGTGGCTTATGCCTGTAATCCCAGCACTTTGGGAGGCTGTGATGGGAGGATCACTGGAGCCCAGGAGTTCAAGACCAGCTTGGGCAACATAGTGAGACCTTATCTCTATTTTAAAAAGTATATATATATGTGTGTGTGTGTGTGTGTGTGTGTGTGTGTGTGTGTAAATAATACATATAAATTTCACATAGATTATATATATATATATAAATTACACACACACACACGAATATATGAACTGTGTCCAGGGCACCTGGGGAGAGAAACTAGCCTGGGATAGCGAGAGACACATACATATTTTTTTTTTCCTGCAGCAAGAGGGCTGTGTGTGGATGTGGACAGACTGCTCAATTTCCTCCCAGCTCTAATACTCTCTGATCCTCTAGAGATGGAATGTGCTTCCACACCCCATGCTAACCTAATTAGCATTCTAGACAGGGATGTGTTTGATATATTTAATCTAAATCACTCATTCCGGAAAATGTAATACTTTTTTGTTGTTGTTCCACCTTTAGGGAAATCAACTCGACATTATCCTTCAGCCTCCAGAGTGTCATTATCATTAAATCTATCCTTGGCCTTCTCCAGCAGAGTGGTCTGTCTCTTTTGTACATTACCTGCAGAGTTGCTGTCATGATCTGCAATAGGGAATGAACCATGCCCAGACCACAAGGAAGGGAGGAGGCATGCCATGTGTGAGGAGAGGAGTGTCTGAGCCTGAAGTTCTCTATCAAATATGGTGCATTACATCGTGTCGAATATCCATCAACACCATCCTTTGTTTACTGTGGACTTTCCACGTGCTGGTGGATTTAAGGGAGGAAGACAGTCCAGTTGGAAACGTGAAATAGGACTGGATGAATGAGGTTTGGCTAAGTGCATGTTTATAAGAGTTGTCAGAGGGCAAGATGCCCATAGTCAAGTCTTTGCAGTGACTCTTAAGTGTTTTGTGGACCAACTGATGTTCTTTAGACTCATTAGGGATATTAGGATAAAGATTCTTGGACTCCAAAACCTACTGAGTCAGAATCTTGAGGGAGTGGCTCAGCATTTTAAATATGCTTTCTCCTCCTCCCTCCCCTTTATGTCCATTGAAGTAGGAGAACTGTTGGTTTCCAGAGGAGGCTTCATGGAAGAGGAAGGATCTGAGTCAGGTATAGAGAGGAGCAGGAAGGACTTTCCAGGTACAGGAGAGCTGGCACAAAGCCAGAGAGGTGTGGAGCGAGAGGTTGTGCAGGCAGTGTGCAATTTGGATGGAGCAAATGGTAGTATCAGTGTGTTAATATGGACGCTAAGACTAAAAAGAGTGATTGAGACATGATAGTGGAAAACCAATCAACAGTTCTCTACCATTTTGTTTGTTTGATGAGATACATATGACTTTTCGTATTTATCAGCACAACACATTGTCCTAAGCATGTGAAGACTTTGATACCACCTCTCAACTCATCTTCTACCTGGCAAAACTCACATTTTCAGGAAATTAAAGCAATCAGTGCCATAATCTTTTATGTTGTGGTATTCACAAAAAAATTAACAAGCATGCATACAAGCAAATGAACTACTTAAAGTTCTGAAAAAATTGACATTTATGAGGAAAACAAAGTAAAAATAATGTTTTTCACAATTAAATTTTATCTTAGAAAATGAATTTTGGGTTTTTCTGTTAGGTGTCTATTCTACCTCCATAAAAGCAAGAATATTCTCTGAAAGAACATGCATAAATAAATCCTGTCATATTATGTGGTTAAATAATAAAAGAAGTGACCAGTTCTGACATCTCATTAATATGTGCATGTCACTGCAAAATTTACTACCATCATTGCTTTGCATTTGATGTCATCATAGATTTGTTGATGCCGTGAATGTTTCTCATAGTATTCTTATCCATGTAAAATGAGGGAAATAAACTGCTCACTCTTCTTTTATTTATCTCTGATGTTTTCCTAATAAAAAATTAGCTGACCTCCTCAGTGTGTTCAGGAGATTTGTTAGCCATTGAAAAATCTGTGGAGCCTGTGTTGAGCCTGCTATGTAGAGTTGCCAGCTTGAGAAGCAGCTCAATCACGTCTACACCTGCTTTATGATCTGTGACTCTTGGTTTGAGCCTCATGTTCAAAGCTATAGTAAATTTTCTCCATCACAGGCAGCTTCATGTGGGTGACATGTCCTCTTGATCATTCAGTGAACTCGCTTTTGGCAAATTAACTTTCATCTGAATTGGCTTGGATTCCTGTCTTTACCTATACTTACTGTTTCAAAAATGCTACTTAAATTAGGTGAAAGTTCTTCAGCTGTTATTACAAGATGAGGTAACGAACAGAAACTTAATGTATATGATTCAACCATATACGATGTGAGTAAAACTAAAAACGACTTTACTATGTGAGTAAAATCTAAAAAATGAAAGTCACTGAAAATCAAATTTATAAATTTTAGTAATTCATAATTTTTGCAAAATGAAGAGTACAGGTAGGAGGCCATGAGTCATATGAAATTCCCACTTTGCTGGCTAAAATAACTCACCCGTTTTTCTCTTAACTTGGGAAAGTCTAAGATGAGTCAATGAAAGTGACTTTATTATAAAGTATACCTTTTCATTTGGTTTAATATACAAAATTAATGTATTGTTTGCAGTCTTCATTAGTGTAAATGTTTTTAATGTGATGATGTGCTAGCCCTGACAGCTGATGGTCACTACCCACAGAACCATGGAGGCTGGCAGTGGGGGAGTCCTTTACAAGGTTGTAACATGATGAAACTGACATACAAACTGTAGGCTATGCACGATGAGATGAGGGTTGAGGGGAATGGAGCAAGGAGAACAATGAGAAGATTATTTCAATAACCCCGGGAAAAATGATGTGAGCCTTACTGGCTGTTGGCAGTGAGATTTGGAAGAGAAGACAGCTGGGAGAGAGAAAGTGGCAAGAAGTCTTTGGAGGAGGCCAATGGGAAGACACATATGGCCTCTATAAGAGAGGAATAGTTTCCTGTGGTGTTCTGTCTCCTGAGGAATGTAAAAAGAACAAATTGGGGCAGTAATATGCTCTGTGTGGCAGCAAATATTCAGGTTACCCTGGGGAGAGACATGAAAAACCTCTGTTTGCAAGGACTGCAAGTCATTTTCATCTCCCTGGGCTGAGTGAAAGCGCCAGCTGTGTGATTTCTTAGCCAATTATGGGAACTTGTACAGCAAATGCCATGCATTTAATGCAAGGCCACAAATCTCGGGCAACTTTCAGCTTTGAAGTTTTTCTTATTTCATCTGCAATTTCCTTTATATGATTCTCACTTACAGGGACATAACAGTGTTGTCAAGGCAGACTATAAGGCATCTTCTCTCATGCTTCTACTCCTATCCTGCTTCCTGAGAGGTATATGCTCTGCAGCTTCCTGGGTTCCCAACAGGGTGCTGCAGTCAGGGGCTTGAGCTGGGGCTGGGTAAGGAAGGTAGCTGCCGAAGACAGGCCTCCTTATTTGGCCACTTGTTCCACCAGGGAAGGATCCTGGCTTGAGATTTGGAGTCCCTTTATGTAAAGAGAAGTTGACTGTGCAGAACTGAGCACACCATACAAAGCCACTGAAATTTGCTAAAAGTAGGCTCCTAATCCCTTTACCATATTTGTTTTGATTTTGCCTGATGTCTTCTTGGACCTCTTACCTTGAGCTGTGAAAACAGTGGCTCATACTTCTCCTGCCATGCTATGTTCACAAACTTTGTTTTAGCTATAATTTACCAAGCCTGTCTGACCTCCTGACTTTGTATGGGCCTGACTTCTAATGACCCAGCCCAGCCAGCATGAAATAATTTATCCCTGTATCAACAGGGAGGAAGGAGACTCTTCTTCATTCTCTTCTTATTCTTTCTTTTCAAAATAATAACAGTGGTAAAAAGCATTGAAATAACTTTTTCAAATTATATTCAAGGGGAATAATTAGAAAGGAAGGATCTGTCTTCATACCTAGGTAACAGTGGGGACAAGGGTGTTTGCAGGGGTCTGTCCCACAGACCCTGACCCAACGATGGATGAATAACATACACCGACATAGATATTATGCTTGTCAGTCCAGCTGAGGGTCTGGGCCACTTACAGACTCCAAGGAGAGTGCTGTAAAGAGTTGCAGCCACGGCCCTGACTCGCTGGCCCTGTTGGCTTTTATTCAGCACACCTTAAATGACAAAGGCTTTGAGTCAGCACCATTAGAGGGTAACCAACCTGGTCGCCTTCCCCCTGAGGGAGCCATCCTGCCCTAGAATGATCAAAGGTTAGTTTTAGGACCACTTGAGTAAGCAAGTTATTTAGATAAACTCCTCTGCATTCCTATGTATCTACTCTAAGTTATTTACTCAAGGTAAGGATTAGGCTGCTTTCAGCCATAACCCTATCCTGAGACTTTTGCAAAAACCTTCTAGCCTTCCGAGAAGATTTGTGTCTATATCCTATAACTTCATCTTAAAACTTTTCCCACCAGCCTGACTGAACTCCCACAGGTGTTACTGTCCAGGACAGCTGTCCTGGGTGAGTATCTCTGAAGGAAACTGTGGTAGGCTGAATGAAAAGTGGTCTCCCAAAGATATGTCTACATTTAATTCCTGGAACTAGTAAATGTTAACTTACTTGAAGAAAAAAAAATCTTTGTAGATGTGATTAAAGATCTTGAGGTGAGATCATTCTGAGATTTTTGGGTGGTCCTAAATCCAATAATAAGTGTCCTTATAAGACAGAGGCAGAGGGGGATTTCAACACACAGAAGAGGAGGAGGCAGTGAGGCCACAGAGGCAGAGCGAGGAGTGATGCAATCACAAGCCAAGGAATGGTGGCAATCACCAGAAGATGGAAGAGGCCAGGAAGATGCTGCCCTAGAGCCTCCACAGTAGTGTGGTCTTGCCAACATGGATTACAGCTCAGTAAAACTGACTTAGAACTTCTGGCCTCTAGAGCTGTGAGAGAATACATTTTTAAGCTACCCATTTTGGAAATTTTTACAGCAGCCACAGAAAACTAATGCAGTAATGAGCTGTTGTATCTGCACTTGGCTATAGTTCAGGGTCCTACTCTCTAACTATGGGAAGTGGCATATATAAAATTGGGGGAAGGAAGAAGTTACAGAAAGCACGCTCCTCATCTTCATAGAATCTGAAAGTTAGACATGGAAACAACAACTTACCACCCTTTTTTTTTTAATCCTTCCCTCCAGTGACTGATTACCGACTCTGAACCAAGAGCTCTGACAGGCATTGACTTGTGGATTTTCCCTGTTCCAAAATGCCTTCTTCCAGTTAAGTCAAACCTTTCCCACCTGATCATGACCTTGAATTTATACCATGTGGATGAGCCTCTTCGATAAGAAAATATGAAACAAAAAACAGGCTGATAAGGATAGCTGAGTTGGTAAGAAGACTGCTATACCTTTCCTTTATTTTTCCCATCAACCATAAGTGGCCAACTTTCTATGGCTCTGGAATTGGGTCAAATCAATAAAAAAGCATTGACTGACCCAATCAATCAAGCCTTGAACTGGAAACCACATCTTAGCAATGAAAGAGCAGGAAGACACACAACTTTGGCTAGTGGGAAAATTCCAGATCAAAGCAGAGTCATTCTGGGGCAATGGCTACTGCTTGATTTTCTCTGGGTCTCAGTTTTTCAGTCTGCACAGTGAAGGATCTGGATTAGAGTATTTTATGTCTGCAGCACTAGAGAACCAACAATGTTAGGTCTGAAATGGATGTGCTAGATCACCTTGTATATTCCAGCCACTTTACAGATCATGAGAGTGAGGTCTAGATTGTAGGAATGACTTGTCCAAAGCCGCAAAGCAAGGCATTGGTGGAGCTTGATTACATTCTAAAACCTGGGGCTGCTGACGCAGGCTTTCTTGATTATACTAATGGATTTTTAATGGAAAAGATTGCTTCAAGGATGGATGTCAAGGTTTCTGTAAACTCCCTGAATTTGTATGCCAAAATGTTTTGAATGTCTATACATTTTTATAAGCAAAATCTTTAATGTGATCTCCAAAAATGGCTGAGAACTTTTCAAAAAGCTATCCATTAATTAATGCAACGGAGATTTATTGTGCCTTGGCTGCCTGTTACCAAACATTTTGGATGGAGCAGTGGACAGAGTGGGCAGAGAGGTCTGTGCTTTAAAGAAACTTATATTTTACAGGAGGGAGTGATAGTCAATTAACAAAGGTAAAACTTATTGTATGTCAAATGGTGATGGGGTATGGAGAAAAATAATGCAGGGATAGGGACAGGAAGGGCAGGGGGTCACTTCTGTTACTTAAATTGAAATTCAATTTTCTCGAAAGTGCCAATATTCCTTGTGCTATTGTTCAGGAGACTACCACAGTGAAGGAACACAGCAGATTGTGCTATGGCCATTTTATAAAGGGCAGCTAGAGGCAGAGGCAAGGTCCCTGGATAGCCCCTGATCTTGCCCCCTTCATCATTTCAGGGGTGTCTGTGACAGGAAAGTGAGCAACTTGTTTTCCTGAGCCACCTGAACCTGAGTGCTGGGCCACCATCACTCATAGAATGCCACATGCTGTCCACTGCCAGAGATAGTAATGGTTTCTGTGTCAGTATTATTTATGACTTATTGCATCACTGCATGCCAGGGAGGGGGTGAAGACCAGGCAGGCAGAAAGGCAGCAGCAGCAGTTCACCGAGGTTATGCATTTGGGGATGAATAAAGGATAACCATTTGGTGGTCTGTGTTACTGATTTTTCAAAGCCTTTTGAGTTTGATTTGATCTTCACATCGTTAATCCCATTTTAAAGATTTATTACACAACACACAGAAGGGATTGTGTCACAAGTTAAAAGTAGGGTGGAAAATTATAATCCAGATGATCTTGTGTCTTTGCAAGGGCCCTTACTGCTACATCCACATCCTTGAGATCATCCCTTCTCTTTTCTTTACCTTCTATTCCACATTCGATCTAGCAGCCAATCCTTCTCCTTGGAAATATATTTAGAATCTGACATCTTCTCACCATCTCACCTGACTTCCCTAGACCAGTCCACGAATCTATCTCACATGCACTATTGCAATAAACTGCCAACCAACCAGCTTTCCTGCTTTTACTGTCTCCCCTGTCCCCACTCCCAATCCATCCTCCATTAAGCAGCCCAGCAGCCAAGAGTGATTCTTTTAAATATAAGTCAAATCAAGTTACCCTCTGCATAAAATCCCTGAATAGCTTTCCATCTCTCAGAATAAAACACCAGAGTTTTCCCTGAGGCCCACAGGGCCCCACCTTATCTGAACTCTTGCTACCATTTTCACCTAATTTTCCACTCTTAATCTCTTTTGCTTCCTCTGCTTCAGCCACATTGGCCTCTTTGCAGTTTCTTGAATTTGACAAATACATTGCCATTTCTGAGCCTTTGCACTTGTTCTTCCCTCTGCCTGGAAGTTCTTTCCCCAGATATTTCCGTGACAGTCTCCTGTACTTCATCTGAATCTCTGCTCACGGGTCTCTTGCCATTCAGTATAATACTTGAATGAATCATTCAGTATAAACTGGCAGCTCTGGTCATACCCTAATCCCTCAAGCTTTTATTTTTCTTCATGGCATTTTTCAGTACTGGATGCTATATAGTAGTTGGTTATCTGGTTTTAATTTATTCTACTAGAATGTAACCTCCATGAGGGCAATGACTTTGCCTTATTCATTCTTCAAGCGCTGGTGCCCTGCAGAGTGTCAGGCATATAATAGGCATATGAATTTGTTGAACAAAATATGCAAGAATGAAAGCATCCCTCTAACTAAAACCATTTATTGAGGATGTTCAATGAAGATGATAATGATATTATCAGAGGCTGCATTAGTCTGCTTGGGCTGCCATAGCAGAATATCGTAGACTAGGTGGCTTAAACAACAGAAATAAATTTTCTTACAGTTCTTGAGACTGGAAATCCAAGATCCAGGAGCCAGCAAGGTTGGTTTCTAAGTGAGGCCTCTCTCCTTGGCTTGAGCTCAAACCTAGTTCTAAAGCCTGGTCTTTTATCCATTTATATTTTATAGTCTTCCATTTTATTTGAAAGACATGATGGGAATAGGTTCCTTGATATAATTTTTAAGCTTTTTTAATTATATTCTTCCATTTTTCTTGCCCCAAATTGATCATTTTGTGTTCTCCTGAAAAGTAGTAGGTGTTTGATTGTTTTCATTCAGTGACTATTCATGGAGAAACTATTGCTTCAGGAAAGTATATGGGATGCTGCTTGTGAGATACAGAGAAAAATCTGTATCCTACTATGTTAGTCAGATAACTAGGCTATGTTGAAGTAACAATAAATAAATATCATTGCTTTAACATATGATTTATCACACATGCTACTTGTTCAGCACAAGTCAGTGACAAACTTCTCCACACAGTTGCTTAGGGCTCCAGACCAGTGGAAACTCTGCCGTTGTGTACTTGTGCCATCTGGAACACATGGTGTATGTGGCCACTGTGGAAGAACACAGAAGGGAGAGCTCAATTTATTTACCTGCTAAATAAGTGTATTTACCATCGAGTTATAAAGCTTTTCCATAGTCTCAGAATGTTCCCAGGTGTGTTCTGTCATTCATTTCCCCCCTTCTGCCCCTTTCTCCCTCCAAAAGAGACAACCACTTTCTAATTTCTATCACCATGGTTTTGGTTTGCCTATTCTAGAATATCCTATGAATGGAACCTCACAGAATAGACTCTCGTGACTGGCTTTTTTTGCTCACATAATGGTTGTCAGATCTATCCTTGTACGGGTATCAGTAGTTTGTTTCTTTTAATTGCTTATGTGTTTATGTGTAGTATTAATTAATCTCAGTCAGATTGACCATGTACCTATAACTAGAATTGCCTGGAGTATATTAATACTTGAGCAAAGCTAGAGAATATAATAATTGGGATTAAATGGTATTTTACAACTATGTGTATGTAAGTGATTTTGGGGCAGGATATATAAGCCTATCAGCCTTGTTTACTAATAACAATTAGATTTATGGATTCACCTGGTTCAGGTGAAGCCAGGGGAATGTTGACATTAGAGATTGGACATGTAGTTGTAGTGTGCCTACCTAAGCATCCTACTCACTGTAAGAGACTCCTACCTCAGGCAGACCTTTGGCTTCATGGTTCCAAGGATCTTTATGTGCATACAAATGGTGGTTTGAGAGGTGAACACAATGCATGTCCAGGGAAACCCAACACCATTTTGGAAGAATAAGGAAGTCTTTATTTAGGACCTCTTGTTATTGCTGTATTGTATCCTTTGCCCATATCAAAATTGTTTCCTGAGTATAAACTGTTTAAGTTTTGTGCATCCTATTAGCAATCAAATCACTTAAAGTAATTAACATGTTATTAACATAGCTGAGTAGCATTCCATTACATAAATATGCTATAATTTGTTTATCCTTTCACCTTTTGATCAACATTCTAATTTTTAGCTATTACAGATAATAGTGCTATGAAAATCCTTGTACAAATCATTTTAATGGACTTCTGTTTTTATTTATCTTCAGAAAATACCTATGAGTTTATATTAGCTATTTATTGTTGCAGAACAAACTACCACAAATGCAGTGGCTTACAACAACACACATTTATTATCACACAGTTTCTGTGGATTAGAAATATGAGTACCACTTAACTGGATCCTGTGCTTCAGAATGTGTAACAAAACTGCAATTAAGATGTCATCTAGGGCTGGGGTTTCATCTGAAAGATTGACTGGAGAAGGATCTCCTTCCAAGCTCACATAGTTGTTGGTAGAATTCAGTTCCTTTCAGTCTACTGAACTGAAGGTCTCAGTTCCTAGTTGGCAGTTGGCTGGATGCTATTGTCAGTTTCTTGCCTTATGGGCCTCTCCAAGATGTCAGCTTGATTTATCAAAGCATGCAAGCTGAGAAGGCAATAGAGAGAGACTGTTAGCAAGATGGAAGTGACCATCTTCTGTAATCTAATTATGGAAGCAATGTCCCCTCAATATTGCTCTATTCTGTTGTTAGAAGCATGTTACTCAAGGGGAGGGGATTACTCAAGGCTGTGAATAGCAGAAAATCAGAATTATTGAGGGTTATCTTAAAAAAGCTGCCTATATAGAATTGAATTTCTGGGCCACAGAGTAGGTGTATGGTAGGTAAGTGTATAAAAAACTTCTAAGCTATTTTCTAAAATAGTTGTACCATTTAATAGTCCCACCAGCAATATATGAGAGTTCCAGTTGCATCACTCTTTTCAACAGTTGGTATTATCAGAATTTTCTTTTTGAGTATATCTAGTAAGTATGACATGGTATCCCATCAGGGATGTAATTCACATTTCTCTGATGGCAAATGATATGGGGACTTTTGATTCAAAAATGGCAGTGTAGAAGCAAGCTGGCTTCACTCCCCACTCCCAACCCTACTAGAAAATAAAAAAAAATACAGTGCTGGGATTATTACCAGCAATATCCGAGGATTTGAATATGAGGATGAGACAGTTTTTAGGGCCACAGAAAAGTGAAAAAAAACTCCAAGCAGTTAATAAGAGAATTGGACTTCCATATTTACAATGCCCCTCCCCTCAATCTGCTTGGCACCTAGTACCTGGAAAACTTCCCTTTGACTCATAGTTTCTACTCTTGAAAAAGTGAGATTGAGATGGATAACCAACTTCCCCACCATCCTGGGTTTCCCTGGCAGAAGACACGTTCCTGTCTTTACCCACAGGAAGCAATGGCAGTGCGTGAACCAAGAAATATCCCTGAAGACAGCCAGAGAAGAAGGGAGGAGGTAGAACTACCATTCCTAATGCTGGAAACTCTGCTCTGTAACTCAACCAAAACCGAATCAGAGTGGCTGTTCAGCAGCACCATGACACAGGTTGTTCATTCCACAGGTCCTCTAGGCACAAACACCTAGGTTTCCCACACTACAGGGATATCTCCTTTGGGACCTCCCCCATTCTGGATGGGCAGCATTCTGATTGTTCACTAGAACCGAGACAATTCTAGGCTAAAGGCACCATATGGTATGAAAAAGGAGACAGTGACCTTGTGGGAAAAAAAGAAAGACAATAGCTAAATTACAAATAATCTGTAAGCAAACATATCCAATAAAAAACAAAACCATCTGTAAAAAGAAGGCTGGAATAAATAATCATTCAGTGCAAAGACGTAGACATACGTATACAAGAAACCAGGGCAAACAGGGAACCATGATCTCCTCAAATGGACGAAACAAGAAACCAATGAGATGGTAATCTTCTAATGAGATAGTAATATGTGAACTCTTTGACCAATAACTCAAAATAGCAGTTTTAAGGAAACTCAGTGACTTCTAAGATAATACAGAAAAAAATTCAGAAATTCATCAAGAAATTTAATAAAGAGATTGCAATAGTAAAAAAAAATCAAACAGAAATCATAGAACTGAGAAATACATTTGTTGAACTAAAATATTTATTAGAGGCTTATAAAATCAAAATAGATCAGAGGAAAGGATCAGTGAGCTCAAAGACAAGCTATTTGAAAATACACAGTAAGAACAGAGCAAAAGAAAAAGGAATAAAGATTGCCAATAAAATATAGAAATTACCTCAAAAGATTATGTCTGAGAATTATCGGTGCTCAAGAGGGAGCTAAGCAAGAGCAAGGAGTACAAAACTTAATCAAAGAAATAACAGAAAACTTTCCAAAACTTGAGAAAGAGATAAGTATTCAGGTACAGGAAAGTCAGAGAACAGCAAACAGATTTGATCCAAGTAAGACTATCCCAAGGCAAATACTAATCAAATTCTCAAAGGTGAAGAACAAAGAGAGGATCTCTAAAAGCAGCAAGAGAAAAGCAAATACACATAAAGGAGCTTCACTTTGTCAACAGATTTCTCAATGGAAACCACACAGGCCAGAAGGGAGTGGGATGACATTTTTAAAGTGCTGAAAGAAAAATACTGACATCTGAGGATATTGTATCCAGCAAAGCTATCCTTCAAATATGAAGGAGAGATAAAGTTGTTCCCAGAAAAACAAGAGATAAAAGAATTTAAGATCATCAGACCCATTTTACAAGGAATACCAAAGGGGGTTAGTAAATCAGAAAGAAAAAACCACGAACATGCAAAAAGAAAACATTTGAAGGTATAAAACCCACTGGTGAAATTAAGTACATGGACAAACCCAAAATACTCTAATACTGTAATTGTGGTGTACAATCCAATCATAATTCTAGTATGAAACCCAAAAGACAAATTTATCAAAACCAGTATTAGCACTAGCAACCTAATAAGAGATAGTAATATAAAATACGTAAATTGAAACAAAGTGAAGTCAAAATGTGGGAGAGGGGGTTAGAGTTAAAATGTAGAGTTTTTTTTTTGTTTTCCTTTGTTTCTGTTATTTTCTTCAAAATCTAAGTTGTTACTTTAAAAAATAACTTGTTATAGCTATAAGACGTTTTTTGTAAACCTTATGGTAACCACAATGTAAAAATCTGTAACAGATTTACTAAAAATAAAAAGTGATGAATTAAAAATATTACCAGAGAAAATTGCTTAACCACAAAGGAAAAAAGGAAAGAAGGAAAGAAGGAAAGAAGGAAAGAAGGAAGGAAGGAAGGAAGAAAATTACAAAATAACCAGAAAACAAGCAACAAAATGGCAGTAGTAAGTCCTTACTTATTAATAATGATATTGAATAGAAACAGACTCGAGTCTCCCATTAAAAAGCATAGAGTAACTGAATGGGAAAAGAGACCATATACAACTGTGTACTGCCTACAAGAAACCCACTTCACCTATAAAGGCATACATAGACTAAAAGTGAAGGGGTGGAAAAAGATATTTCATGTAAATGGAAACGAAAAAAATCAGATGCAGCTATACTTATGTCAGATTAAATAGACTACAAATCAAAGACTGTAAAATGAGACAAAAAATGTCATTATGTAATGATAAAAGGAGTAGCTCAGCAAGAGAATATAACAATTACAAATATCTGTGTACCCAACAATAGAGCTTCCAAGTATATAAACCAAACATTAATAGATCTAAAAACAGTGATGGACTGCAATATAAGAGTAGTTGGAAACCCCAACATAGTATTCTCATTAATGGGCAGGTCATCAGACAGAAAACAAACAAAGAAATATCAGAGTTAAGCTACACACTAGACATAATAGGCCTAATATTTATGGAACTTTTCACCCAACTGCCACAGAATACACATTCTTTTTATTAGCACATGGAATATTCTCCAGAATAAACCATATCTTAGGCCACAGAACAAGTCTCAACAAATTAAGAAATGTAGAGATAATATCAAGTAGCTTTTTGACTATAATGGAATAAAAATAGAAATCAATAAGAAGAGAAACCTTGGAAAATAAACAAATACATGGAAATTAAATAACACGCTCCTGGATGACAAATGAGTCAATGAAGAAATTAAAAAGGTAATTAAACAAGTCCTTAAAACAAATGAAAATGAAAATATGACATACCAAAATCTATAAGGTATAGCAAAACTGGTACTAAAAGATAACTTTACAGCAATAAATTACTATATGAAAATAGTAGGAAGACATTAAATAAACAACCTAATGATTCACCTTGAGGAACTGGAAAACTAATAACAAAACAAATCCAAAATTAGTAAAAGGAAAAAAATAAAGATCAGAGCAGGAATAAATGAAATTAAGACTTAAAAAAATACAAATCAACAAAATGAAAAGTTGGTTTTTTGCAAAGATAAACAAAATGAACAAACCTTTAGCTAGACTAAGAAAAAAAGGAAGGAGGCTCAAATAAACAAAATCACAAATGAAAAAGGAGACATAACAACTGACACCACAGAAGTACAAAGAATCATTAGAGATTATTGTGAACAGCAATCAGCCCACACATGGGAAAACCTAGAATAAAATGTATAAATTCCTAGATATATACAATCTACCAGGATTGAACCATGAAAAAACAGAAAATCTCAACAAACCAAAAATGAGTCATGGGATTGAAGCCATCATAACAAGTCTTCTATCAAAGAAAAGTTTGGAACTTGATGTCTTCCTGCTGTATTTTTCCAAATATTTAAAGAAGAACTAATACCAATCCCACTCAAACTCTGAAAAAATTGAAGAGGAGGGAATATTTTCGAACTTATTGTATAAAACCAGCATTACTCTGATACGAAAACCAGACAAAGATACAACAACAAAAAAGAAAACTACAGGCCATTATCACTGATAAACATAGATGCAAAAATCCTCAACAAAATACTAGCAAACAAAATTCAACAACTCAATAAGAAGTTTATTCAGCATGATGAAGTAGGATTCATCCCAGGGATGCAAGGATGGTTCAACATACGCAAACCAAAAAATGTAATACATCACATTCACAGAACCAAGAACAAAAACTATATGATCATTTCAACAGACGCCGAAGAGCATTTGATAAAACTCATCATCCTTTTACGATAAAAATCCTCATCAAACTGGGTATAGAGGAACATACTTCAAAATAAAAAAAATCATGTATGGCTGGGCATGGTGGCTCATGCCTGTAATCCCAGCACTTTGGGAGGCCAAGGCGGGAGGATCACTTGAGGTCAGGAGTTTGAGACCAGCCTGGCCAACATAGTGAAACCCTGTCTCTACTAAAAATACAAAAATTAGCTGAGCATGGTGGCACGTGTCTGTAATCCCAGCTACTGGGGAGGCTGAGGCAAGAGAATCACCTGAACCCAGGAGGCGGAGTTTGCAGTGAGCCGAGATTGTACCACTGCACTCCACAAAAAAAAAAAAAAACAACAACAACAAACATATATGACAAACCCACAGCTAGCATTATACTAAATGGAGAAAATTAATACAATACTGGAAGTCCTGGGCAGAGCAATTCTGCAAGAGTAAGAAATAAAGAGCATCCAAATTGAAAAGAAAGAAGTCAAATTAGCCTTGTTCACAAACAATATAATCTATTTTTTTTTGGTTTGTTTGTTTTTTGAGACGGAGTCTTGCTCTGTTGCACAGGCTGGAGTGCAGTGGCATGGTCTTGGCTCACTGCAACCTCTGCCTTCCGGGTTCAAGCGATTCTCCTGCCTCAGCCTCCCAAGTAGCTGGAATTACAGGCTTACAGGCACACACCAACATACCTGGCTAATTTTTGTATTTTTAGTAGAAACAGAGTTTCAGCATGTTGGCCAGCCTGGTCTTGGACTCCTGACCTCAAGTGATCCATCCATCTTGAACTTCCAAACTGTTGGGATTATAGGCATGAGCCACTGAGCCCAGCTGACAATATAATCTTATACATAGAAAAACCTAAAGACATTATTTAAAAAAACTGTCAGAATTGATAAACAAGTCCAGTAAAGTTGCAGGGCACAAAATAAACTTGTAAAAATCAGTAGCATTTCTACAGTCCAACTGTAAATTATCTGAAAAAGAAATGAAAACACAATCCCATTTATAATAGCTACAAAGAATATAAAATACTTAGGGCTCACTCTAGCAAAAGAAATAAAAGATCTATACCAGGAAAACTATAAAACATTGATTAAAGAAATTGAAGAGGACACAAACAAATGGAAAGATATTCTATGGTCACGGAATGCAAGAATTAATATTGTTAAAATGGCAATTATACTCAAAGCAGTTTATAGATTCAATGCAATTTGTATCAAAATAAAAATGACATTCTGAAATAAAATAGAAAAAAATAATTCTAAAATGTATATGCAAACACAAAAGACCCAAACAGCCAAAGTGATACTGAACAAAAGGAACAAAGCTGGAGGCATAACACTAACTGACTTCAAAATATACTACAAAATTATAGTAACCCAAACAGCATTGTTTTGGCATAAAAAACAGAGACCAACCAAAGAAAAAGGATAGTGTGGCCAGAAATAAATTCACATATCTATAGCCAACTGAGTTTTGACAAAGGCGTCAAGAACACACACTGTGGGGTTGGGGAGGAGAAAGTCTCTTCACAGCACTATCAAATTAGAAATCAAGACTAAGAAATTTGCTCAAAACCATACAATTACATGGCAATTAAATAACCTGCTCATGAATGACTTTTGGGTAAATAATGAAATTAAGGCAGTGTGATGGTTAATATTGAGTGTCAACTTGACTGGATTGAAAGACGCAAAGTATTGTTCCTGGGTCTGTCTGTGAGGGTATTGCCAAAGGAGATTAACATTTGAGTCAGTGGACTAGGAGAGGCAGACCCACCCTCAATCTGGGTGGGCACAATCTAATAATAATAATAATAATAATCATCATCATCATCATCATCTAGCTGTACTGCCAGCACGGCTAGAATAAAGCAGGCAGAAGAAAATGGAAGGACTAGACTTGCTGAGTCTTCAGCTTCCATCTTTCTCCCATACTGGATGCTTCCTGCCCTCAAACATCAGACTCCAAGTTCTTCAGCTTTTGGACTGTTGGACTTATACCAATGATTTGCCATGGGCTTTCTGGCCTTTGGCCACAGACTGAAGGCTGCACTGTTGGCTTTCCTACTTTCGAGGTTTTGAGACTCCGGCTGGCTTCCTTGTTCCTCAGTTTGCAGATGGCCTATTGTGGGACTTCACCTTGTAATCGTGTGAACTGATACTCCTTAATAAACTCCCCTTCATGTAGAAATCTATCCCATTAGTTCTGTCACCCTAAAGAACCCTGACTAACATAGGCAAAATCAAGAAGTTCTCTGAAACTAATGAGAGCAAAGATATGGCATACCAGAAGCTCTGGGACACATCTAAGGCAGTGTTAAAGAGGGAAATTTATAGCACCAAATGCCCAAATCAAAAAATTAGAAAGATCTCAAGCTAACACTCTAACATCATAATTAAAAGAACTAGAGAACCAAGAGCAAACAAACCCGAAGGCTAGCAGAAGACAAGAAATAACCAAAATCAGAGCTGAGCTAAAGGAGATTGAGACAAAAAAAACCACTCAAGAGATGAATGAATTTGGGAGCTGGGTTTTTGAAAAAATTAATAAAATAGGTAGACTGCTGGCTAGACTAATAAAAAAAAGGAGATTCAAATAAACACAATAAGAAATGGTAAGGGGGATATTACCACTGACCTCACAGAAATAAAAACAACCATCAGAGAATATTAGGAACACCTCTATGCACATAAACTAGAAAATCTAGAAGAAATGGATAAATTCCTGGACACACACACCCTTGCAAGACTGAACCAGGAAGAAATTGAATCCCTGAATAGATCAATAACAAGCTTTGAAATCGAGTCAGTGATAAATAGCTTACCAACTAAAAAAAGTGCAGGACCAGACGGATTCACAGCTATATTCTGCCAGATGTACATAGAAGAGCTGGTACCATTCCTGCTAAAACTATTCCAAAAATTTGACAAGGAGGGACTCCTCTCTAACTCACTCTATGAGGCCAGCATCATCCTAATACCAAAACCTGGCAGAGATACAACAAAAAAAGAAAACTTCAAGCCAATAACCTTGATAAACACTGTTGCAAAACGCCTCTACAAAATACTGGCAAACCGAATCCAGCAGCACCTCAAAAATCTTACCCACTATGATTGAATAGGTTTTATCCCCAGGATACAAGGTTGATTCAACATATGCAAATCAATAAATGTGATTCATCACATAAATAGCACTTATGTCAAAAACCACGCGATTGTCACAATAGATGCAGAAAAGGCTTTTGAAAAGTTCAACACCCCTTCATGTTAAAAACTCTCAATAAACTAGATATTGAAGAAACATACCTCAAAATAATGAGTCATCTATGACAAACCCACAGTCAACATCATACTGAATGGGCAGAAGCTGGAAGCATTCCTTTTGAAAACTGGCACAAGACAAGGATGCCCTCTCTCACCACTCCTGTTCAACACAGTATTGGAAGTCCTGGCCCAGACAATCAGGCAAGAGAAAGAAATGAAGGACATCCAAATAGGAAGAGAGGAAGTCAAATTATCCCTGTTTGTTTGTTCTATATCTAGAAACCCCCACAGTCTCAGCCCGAAAGCTTCTTAAACTGATAAACAACTTCAGCAAAGTCTCAGGATACAAAATCAATGTGCAAACATCACTAGCATTCCTATACACCAATAACAGTCAAGCCAAGAGCCAAATAAGGAATGCAATCCTATTCACAATTGCCACAAAAAGAGTAAAATGCCTAGGAATACAGCTAACTTGGGAGGTGAAAGATCTCTATAAGAAGAACTACAAAACACTACTCAAAGAAACCATAGATGACACAAGCAAATGGAAAAACATTTCATGCTCATGGATAGGAGTAATCAATATCATTAAAATTGCCACATTACCCTAAGCAATTTATAGATTCAATGATATTCCTATTGAACTTCCACTGAGATTCTTCACAGAACTAAAAAAACAAACTATTTTAAAATTCATATGGCACCAAAAAGAGCCCAAATAGCCAAGGAAATCCTAAGCAAAAAGAAAGAAGTTGGAGGCATCATGCTACCTAGCTTCAAACTTACTGTAGGGCTACAGTAACCAAAACAGCCTGGTACTGGCACAAAAACAGACACATAGACCAATGGAACAGAATAGAGAACCCAGAAATAAGGCCGCAAACCTACAACTGTCTGATCTTCTGCAAAGCTGAGAAAAACAAGCAATAGGGAAATAATTCTCTATTTAATAAATGATGCTGGGATAGCTGACTAGCTATATGCAGAAGATTGAAACTAGACCCCTTCCTTATACCATATACAACAATTAACTCAAGATGGATTAAAGACTTATATGTAAAACTCCAAACTATAAAAACATTGGAAGACAACCTAGATGATACCATTCAGGACATAGGAACAGGCAAAGATTTCATGATGAAGATGTCAAAAGCAATTGTAAAAAAAGCAAAAATTGACAAATGGGATCTAATTAAATTAAAGAGCTTCTGCACAGCAAAGGAAACTATCAACAGATTGAGCAGACAACCTACAGAATGGGAGAAAATTTTTGCAAACTATGCATCTGACAAATAGCCAGCACCTATAAGGAACTTAATGAAATTTACAAGAAAAAAACCAAACAACCCCATTAACAACCCCATTTGGTTGTTAAAAAGCAACCAAATGACATGAACAGACACTTTTCAAAAGGACATACATGCAGCCAACCATCATATGAAAAACTCAACATCACTGATCGTTAGAGAAACGCAAATCAAAACCACAATGAGATACCGTTTCACACTATTCAGAATGGCTGTTATTAAAAAGTCAAAAAATAACAGATGCTGGCAAGGCTGCAGAGCAAAAGGAATACTTAACACACTGTTGGTGGGAGTGTAAATTAGTTCAATCGTTGTGGAAGACAGTGTGGTGATTCCTCAAAGACTAAAGACAGAAATACTATTTGACCCAGCAATCCCAATACTGGACATATACCTAAAGGATTATAAATCATTCTGTTTTAAAGACACATGCACATGTTTGTTTGTTGCAGCACTATTCACAATAGTGAAGACATGGAATCAACCTAAATACCCATCAATAGACTGGATAAAGAAAATGTGGTACATACACATCATGAGATACTATGCAGCCATTAAAAAGAATGAGATCATATCCTTTGCAGGAATATGGATGTAGCTGGAGGCCATTATCCTTAGCAAACTAATGCAGTAACAGAAAAGCAAATACCACATGCGTCACTTATACAAAAAATTAGCCGGGCTTGTTGGCGGGTGCCTGTAGTCCCGGCTACTCGCGAGGCTGAGGCAAGAGAATGGCGTGAACCCGGGAGGCGGAGCTTGCAGTGAGCCGACATCGCGCCACTGCACTCCCGCCTGGGCGACAGCAAGACTCCTTCTCAAAAAATAAAAAAAAAAAAAAGAAAAATAAAAAATAAAGGGGGAGCTAAATGATGAGAACACATGGAGACACAGAGGGGAACAACACACACTGGGGCCTGTTGGATGGTGGAGTGTGGGAAGAAAGGGAGGATCAGGAAAAATAACTAAAGGGTACTAGGCTTAATATCTGGTTGACAAAATAATGTGTACAACAAATACCCATGACACATGTTTACCTATATAACAAACCTGCAAATGTACCCCTGAACTTAAAATAAAAGTTAAAAAATAAAAAAATGATTCTCTTTCATAAAAAATGGGCAAAAGACCTTAACAGACATTTCTCAAAAGAGGACATACAAATGGCCAACAAACGTGAAAAAATATTCAACATCACTAATCATCAGGGAAATGAAAATCAAAACCACAGTGAGATACCACCTTAGTCCAGTTAGAATGGCTGTTATTAGAAAGACAAAAGAAAACAAGTATTGGCTAGGCTGTGAAGAAAAGGGAACACTTACACACTGTTGCCGGATTGTAAACTAGTACAGCCATTATGGACAACCATATGGAGGTTCATCAATAAACAAAAGATGAAACTACCCTATTATCCAGCAATCCAACTGTTGAATATATATCCAGAAGAAATGAAAGTATGTAGAACATATACCTGCACTGCCATGCTTATTGCAGTGCTATTTACAATAGCCAAGATATGGAATCAACCAAACTGTCCAACAATGGATGAATGGATAAATAAAACATGATATATACTCAGCCACAAAATAAAATCTTGTCATTTGGAACAATATGGATGAAGCTGGAAGACATCATATTAAGTGAAATAAGCCAGACACAGAAAGAGAAATACTGTATGATCTCACTCATATGTGGAATCTTAAAAAAAAAGTTAATATATCATAGAAGCAAAAAGTAGAACAGTGGTTACTAGAGATTGGAGAGGGAGAGCGGAAGGAGAGAATGGGGAGAGGTTTGTCAATGGGTACAAAGTTACAATTAGTTAGGAGGAATAAATTCTGGTGTTCTGGAGTTCACAGTAGTGACTGTGGTAGACAGTAAATTATTTTGTATTACAAAATAGCTAGAAGAGAGGCTCTTGAATGTTCTCACCACAAAGAAAGGATAAATGCATGAGCTGATGGATATACTAACCAGCCTGATTGGATCATTATATAACATATAGGTCTCAAAACATCAAATCATACCCCTTAAATATTTACCATTACAATGCATCAATTAAAAAATAAATTTAAAAAATTTAAAAAGTATGTGTGTTTTAATGTTTTTGGGTGTAGTGTTCTTTAAATATAAGTAGTTGAAATTGGTTAAATATGTTGTTCAAATATACTGTATCCTTACTGATATTTTGGGCTACTCGCTCTATCAATTACTGTGAGTGGGTGTTAATATCTACTATGATGATAAAATTGTCTAACTTCTTTTACTGCTCTCAATTTTGTTTCACAGATATTGAAAGTTTGTTATTAGGTGAGTGTACATTTATGATTATATGTCTTCTTGAAGAATTGGTGCTTTTATCCCTCTGAAATGTATCTGATAATCTCTGTTAATGCTTGTTGACATGAAGTCTGTTCGATATTAATACAACTCATACTTGCTTTCTTATGCTTACCAGTTGTGTGGTACATTTCTCTTCTTTTCATTTTCAGCCTGTCTGTTTTATATTTAAAATGAGTATAAAATAATTGTTGCTTTTTATCAAGTATGACAATGTCTGCCATTTAATTGGAGCATTTAATTCAATTGTACATGATACAATTATTCATATGCATAGATTTAAATTTATCATATTACTATTTCTTCTCATTCTCTCTGTTCATTGTTTCTCCTTTCCCATTTTCTTTCCCACTGAATATTTTATGTTATTACATTCTATGCCCTCTATTTTTTAAAGACCTAAATCTGTATTATATTTTCAGTGTTTGCTAAAGGGATTACAGTCTTTCCTTAATTTGTAACAGTGTTATTTGAATTGCTACTATACCACTTTACATTTAATGTAAGAAATTTACAAAAGGATACTTTAATTTACCTAACTTCCATCTTTTGTTCTATTTTTGTCATGTATTTTACTGATACATATGTTATAAACTCCACAGTACATTGTCATTATTCATGCTTTAAAAAGTCAGACTTAAAATGTTAAAAAAGAAATAGAAATAATATTTTAAAGTTACTTATATATGTACAGTTCTCACTCCTCTTTATCATTTCCTATACATCAATATTTCCATCTGGTGTCATTTAAATTCAGCCTGAAGAAATTCCTTTCGTATTTCTTTTAGTGTGGCTGTGCTAGCCTCAAATTCTCTGTTTTCATTTATCAGAAAATGTCTTTATTTTGCTCTCATTTTTGAAAGGTATTTTTTATGGTATATAAAATTTTGCGATGGCAGTTTTCTTTTCCAGCACTTTAAAGATGTTTTTTACCCATTTATTCTGGTCTCCATATTTCTGTGAGAACTCAGTCATCATTTTTATTAGCATTTCCTTGTGTTTTGTGTGTTCATTTTCTGTAGCTCTCTTCAAGATTATTTCTTTATCTTCGGTTTTCAGATGTTTGTGCTCTACCTAGAGTTGAAAAAAACCTTGCCTGTGTTTTGCTGAACCTCCTAGATATGTGAAATATTGTTTAGATTAACTTTGGAAATAGTTTGGCTATTATATCATCAGTTTTTTTTTCTGTCTCATTCTCTCTAGCCTCCTTTTAGGTTCTGATTACACCATTTGATATTGCTCCACAGACCATCAAATATCATCAAGATTTCTTTCAATATATTTTCTCTCTGTGCTTCAGTTTGGATGATTTTTATTGACCTTATTTCAAGTTTACTAATCCATTTTACTGTATTGTCTAGTCTGCTATCAAGCTCATCCAAATTAATTCTTATTTCTGATATTATGTTTTACTGTTGTAGGATGCCTCTTTCATTCTCCTTTTAGAGTTTACATATCTGTCCTGAAATTCCATAACTCTTCAATTATTAATATATCTTATCCTATGGATCTCAAAAACATATTTATCACTGTTTTTTAAAAATAACTCTTTATTTGTTATATTCCTTTTCTGCATCTGTGATGATTAGTTTCATGTATCAACTTGATTGGACTATGGGGTGCCCAGATATTTGGTCAAATATTATTCTGGGTGTTACTGTGAAGGTGTTTTTGGATGTGATTAACATTTAAATCAATACACTGAGTAAATCAGATTGTCCTCCTTAATGAGGTTGGACCTCATTCAATTAGTTGAAGAACTGAATAGAACAAAAACCTAACCCTTCCTTGAGTAAGACAGAATTCTTCCTGCTTGATGACCTTCAAACTGGAACATCAGCTTTTATCTGCCTTTGGACTTGAACAGAAACATTGGCTGTTCTGAGCCCACTAGCCTTCAGACTGGAACTACACCATCAGCTTTCCTGGTTCTCAGGCCTTCAGACTCAGACTGGAATGAAATCATTTGGCTTTCCTGGGTCTCCAGCTTACCACCTCATGTTGTAGATCTTGAGACTGGCCAGTTTTCATGCTAATGTGAGTCAATTCCTTATAATAGATCTCTATATATCTATGTCTACCCATATCATCTATATCTATATATCTATATCTTCTATTGGGTCTGATTCTCCGAAGAACTCCAAGATTTGTGGTCATTTGTGGATCTCTTTCCCAGTTTCTTCTCCTTTCTAATAATTTTACTGTTGTATCCTAGAGATTTGAGATGATATGTTTTCCAGATTCTGTATTCTGTTATCTTCCTATGAAGATAATTCAGTTTTATTTTATCAGGGAGTTAAATTACTGCCAGGGCACTTTGACCTTTGAAAGGTTTCATTTTATGCTTTGCTTGAGGGGATCTATTTTGGGTTTATTCCTAGTACTAGGGTGAATCTTTTAGCCTTGGGATATGATCTTTCCTCTTAAGGCATGGCCCTTTTGAAATTTCAAGGAAAAGTCTGAGATGTTTACCAAAACCTTATAACTTGGTGAAATGAGAATTCCAAACTGTTTCTCCTGTGGTGCACAACTGCTTGGATTTCCCTTCTGCCCTTTTAGCCTTTCAGGGGCTATTTTCCTTAAACTCTCTCCTCAGACCCCTCAGGTCAATAAGACCAGAGCTTTCTGCTTGAATTCTATCCACCAACATCTTACTACATGGACTGGAAAATGCCTAGAAGGTAAAATGCTACTCATTGTGGATTTTAGCTATAAGGGTCTCATCCTTCAAGATTTAAATCGCTTCCAGTTTCTGCTTGTTCTTGCTTGCTCTTTAGAGTTTTCAAACAGTTGTTTAAAGGTATTTAGCCAGAGTTTATAATTGTTACCACCTGGGAGTTAGTGTCACACAAGCTGCTCTGCCATTATTGAAATCCAGAAGTCCTTGGCCATTATTTTTATGTGTATGAAGTATTATGGATACAGTCACATTATAGAAAGAGTTATAATGTGGGAAGTGCTAAAAAAAAGCATGTGTATATTTTTTATGATGGTACTGTGTTACTCTGTTTTGCATTGCTATAAAGAAATACCTGAGACTGGATAATTTGTAAAGAAAAGAGGTTTATTTGGCTCACAGTTCTACAGGCTGTACAAGAAGCCTGGCACTAGCATCTGCTTCTGGTCAGGACCTCAGGAAGCTTTTACTCATGGGGGAAGGTGAAGGGTGAGCAAGCATGTCACATGGCAAGGGAGAAAGGAAGAGAGAGAAGAGGGAGATTCCAGACTCTTTTTAGCAACCAGATCTCACATGCACTCATTACCACAAGGAGAGAACCAAGCCATTCATGAGGGATCCACCCCTATGACTGAAACTTCCAAGATCGGCCCCACCTCCAACATTGGGGATCACATTTCAATATGAGATTTGGAGGGAACAAATATCCAAACTATATCAAAGACTACGTGGAGAAAGAATTAACTCACCCCAGGGATAAGTTAGGTTTCTCAGAGAAGATGTTATTTGAACTAGATATTGAAAAATGTGTAAGTGTTCATCAGAAAGTAGGACTAAGGATATGTTAAAAAAAAAGCATGAACTAAGTCGACGCTATGAAAAATGTTTGGCAAATAGTCTGTTGTGGCACAGAATGTAGGTTTTAAAAAGGACACTTAAAAGACACCTAGTCTAAACCCTCTTTACAAGTGAGAAAATTGAACTTCAAGGAATGGTCATCGAACTAGTTAAAAGAAGAGTAAAGGACTTGAATCCATCATTAGGCTCCCAGCCAAGCCTTCTTTTGATCCCATCTTGTTATATATAGTATGCATTGGACTATGTATGGCAGTGTTATTGCTCCTAGGGCTGGTATCTATAGGCATCTTGTATCTAGCCCTTTTCTACACAGCCAACATCATCTCAGCCCACAAAGTGTTATCATCATCTCCACTCTCATGGTGTTCATGTCTTCATCCTAACCTTTGCTTTTGCTCTCTCTCTTTCCTAGACAGCTTTCATTGCTCTCTTCTTCCTTCTCACAATTCCTTATGACACCTAAGGAGCCTCTACTCTGTGCCATGTATTGTTCTAGACAATGAGATTACCAATATGAAAACAATATTTAGTCATATGTTACTTAACTTTGGGGATACATTCTGACAAATGCATTGTTAGGTGATTTTATTATTGTAAAACATCATGGAGTGTACCTACACAAATCTAGATAGTAGAGCCTACTATACACCTAGGCTATATGGAATAGGCTGCAACATGTTACTGTACTGAACACTGTAGGCAATTGTGACACAATGGTAAGCACTTGTGTATCTAAACATAGGAAAAGTACAGTAAAAATATGGCATTATAATCTTAAGAAACCACTGTCCTATATGCCATCCATCACTGACCAAACTGTCACTATGTGATGCATGATGTAGTTCCTGTCCTGCAAATGTGTGATGAGAGAAGGCGCATAATGCTCAAGTAACTACAAAAAATCTTTGATTAGAAAAATACCAGGGGATGTGGGAATGTAGTAGAAAGGTACCCAATCTATTTGGAATAGGTTGTGTGAATCACAGACTTGCTGCAGGAAAAGGTGTTCAGGTTAAGATTCAAAGGGACAAGATGACAGGAGGGAGAAGGAAAGTGTTTAAGTAGATGGAAGAGATAGTGAATGGGGTTTATTTGAGGAAACCAAAAGATGATTTAATATGGATGAAACATGTGCTTTAATGGGATCTGATAAGAAAGGATGTTGAAGAGGTGAGCATGAGGCAGCTCAGGAAAGGCCTAATAAGAAACAGTGAGGTATTTGGGCTGGGTGCAGTGGCTCATGCCTGTAATCCCAGCACTTTGGGAGGCCAAGGCAGGTAGATCGCCTGAGGTCAGGAGTTCAAGACCAGCCTGACCAACATGGCAAAACCCTGTCTCTACTAAAAATATAAAAATTAGCTAGGTGTGATGGCGGGTGCCTATAATCCCAGCTACTCAGGAGACTGAGGCAAGAGAATCACCTGAACCCTGGAGGCGGAGGTTGCAGTGAGCCGAGATCATGCCACTGCACTACAGTCTGGGTGACAAGAACAAAATTTCATCTCAAAATAAATAAATAAATATAAATAAATAAATAAAATAAAGAAACAGTGAGATATTTGGACCTTATCTTGAGGGTAGTGGGGAGGTATTGAAGGTTTACACAGAAGATTGACACATTCTTGGCTCATCACTTGATGCTGTGTAGGGACTGAATTGGAAATAACAAGTGTGGGATCTCGAAGGGCTGTGAAAAGGCTATCACAGTGGCTAGGGAGGAGATGATTGTGTGGATTAGACGATGGCAGTGGCAATAGTGACCTAACTGAGATAATTTTGGAGGAAAAAAGTTTGCAAAATTTGCAATAAAGTGGATGTACATGTGAAAAAAAACAGAGAATGGCTCCCAAGATATTGGCTTGAAAAACTAGGTACATAGTAGTACCATTTACTGAGATGGGGAAGACTAGGAAGGAACTGGATGGGGTTGGAGGGTGGGGTCAAGAATTCTGCTTTGGACTGGTTACGTGTGATGCATCCACAAATAAGACATCAAAGAGGGCCTGTTGATCCAAAATCAGATTGGGAGCAAGTGCTCAGAGCAGGAGGTTGACTTTTGAGTGTTGTCATCTTATAGTGGCATTTAAAGTCACAGGATTATTTGAGATCACCTAGGGAGAGAGTATATAGATGAAAGAAAATTCATAATCAGGGCCAACAGCACTGATGTGAGAGGTAGAGAAGGAGGGTGCTCAAAGAGAATAGAAAGAAATAGTCAGGGAGGAAAGACCCTCCCCTCAAATATGTCAATACATGTTATAAAGGCCCTGAGAAGACCTGAAGTACGGAAACATTTTCTTTATTTAACACAGCTTTTCTTAAGCTTATTTCTTCATGAGATCCTAGAACTCCTAATCAATTCTCCCTGAAAATGCACCTTAACGTAACAGGAATTGTTAGACCCTGTATAAGAAATGATGTTTTGGCTGGATGTGGTGGGTCATGCCTGTAATTGCAGCACTTTGGGAGGCCGAGGCGGGCGGATCACGAGGTCAGGAGTTCCAGACCAGCCTGAACAACATGGTGAAACCCTGTCTCTACTAAAAATACAAAAATTATCCAGGTATGTTGGTGCGTGCCTGTAATCCCAGCTACTCAGGAGGATGAGGCAGAAGAATCGCTTGAACCTGGGAGGCAGAGGTTGCAGCGAGCCAAGATCATGCCACTGCACTACAGCCTGGGCCAACGAGCGAGACTCCGTCTCAAAAAAAAAAAAAAAAAAAAAAAGAAATGGAAATGATATTTTATTTAACTGAGACAGGTGAGAATCACTCTCCTAGGCAGGCTGAGAAATTGCTTCCAAAAAAAAAAAAAAATCATAGTACTTGCGGAAGCCAGAACAAGTGGACAAAGGCTTAAGGTTTAAGAATTCTAGTTTCTTTAAGCAAACATCTCTGATCATCAGATAGTGATATTTTGGTGTTCTGAGGATGGACTCTGAGGACTCTAAGATGGAAGGCTGCCAGGATACAAGGATTTTTGTTTATTAATTTATTTTTAAAAATTTTAAGAAGTAATTGTTTATACACTACTTTTTAGCAGATCCTGTGTTTTAAGAGCATGATCAATTTTGAAAGCAGGTTCCATCATTCTCCCCAATTCACAGTTGAGCCACTTGAGGATTAAAGTGACTATGTAACTTGTACAGTGGAGAAACTTGAATTTGAACACAGGTCATCTGGCTCCAAGCCTATGATGAGAAATACCCTGCTGTACTTACTGGTGGGCATCAAACCTGGACGTGCTTTGTCTGTGCCGACCTGCTTTCCTTTCATCTCCCCTTGACTTGACTCTTGAGGTGAGGAGCTTGAAACCCCAGAGGGTGCTGATCTGGTTTTCCTTTTTTTTGAAAATTTCTGGGGTCCTTGATATTTCTGTCACGGCAACTGCTTAAAAGGCTTTTTTTTTTTTTTTTTTTTTTTTTTAAAGCACTTGATGCTTTGACTTTTAATTGTATCTTGTTGTGGTTCAGACCCCTTCCCTGCTGGGCTTTAGCATGGAAAATGCACTTGGCCCAGCTGAACTTTTGGATGGGGACCAACTTTTGGATGGGGACCAGTGGCTGTGGGATGAGAGGTTTGGGATGAGAGGTTTCCAGCCCAGGGAGAGAGCTGTATCAAACCCAGACAGCCAACCCCTTTCCACAGCCAGTCCTGCCTGACTGTGGGCTTCAGCATACACTTTACTTACCAGGCAATGCTTTTCCAGTGACTGCTTCCTTTATGGTCTCCGAGCAGTGTGATTGGCCTTGGTGACTGCTACTGTCGGTTTGCCCTGAGCCCTGGCATCCTAGTGCAGCTCCAGCTCTCTGTATGTGTGCGTTTAAATTTCCACATGTCCAGAGGCTTTCTTTTTTGTTTTTTATATATATATACTCTATATATAGTATATAATTATATAATTATATATATTATATATATTTATATACTATATACTATATTATATAATATATATATAATATATATTATATAATATATATATAATATATATTATATATTATATATATAATATATATTATATATAATATAATATATAATATATATTATATATAATATAATATATAATATATATTATATAATTACTATATAATTATATAATATATAATATAATATATATTATATATTATAATAATATAATAATATATTATATAATTATAATATATAACATATAATTATATATAATATAATTATAATATATATTATATTATATATAATATAATATAATATATAATACTAGTATTATATATAGTATATAATATATATTATATATAATATATACTATATATTTGTATACATATATACTATATGTTATATACTATATATTTATATAGTATATATATTTATATACTATATATGTATTTAGTATGTATACTATATATATTTATATAGTATATAAATATATATAATATTTACAAAGTATATATAATATATTATATATAAAAATGTATGTTATTATATATTATATATAAAATATATTATATATAAGATATTTATATTATATATAAAATAGGTACATTATATTATATAATATATAAAATATACATATAATATTATATATATTATATATCTACGTATATTTTTTTTTGAGAGGGAGTCTTGCTCTGTTGCCCAGGCTGGAGTGCAGTGGTGCAATCTTGGCTCACTGCAACCTCTGCCTCCCAGGTTCAAGCAATTCTCCTGCCTCCGCCTCCTGAGTAGCTGGTACTACAGGCTTGTGCCAAAATGCCTAGCTAATTTTTTGTGTTTTTTTAGTAGAGGGAAGGTTTAACCATGCTGGCCAGGCTGGTCTTCAACTCCTAACCTCAGGTTATCCACCCATCTCAGCCTCCCAAAGTGCTGGGATTACAGGTGTGAGCCACCACGCCCAACATGTTTTTTTTTTTTTTTCCATGATTTTTTGAATGTCCTTTCATTGTGCCTGGTGCTGAATCTTTGTTCTCTGAATGTTTCTTTAGGTCTCAAATTTATCATCTATAAAATAAAAAGATTAGATTATGTGTCCTCACAGGTTTTTTAAAAATAATGACAATAATGTGGCCAAAATCTCCTCAGGGTTTACTATGTGCTGGATCTCTGTCCTTCTCATCCACTATCTCATTTAAATTTTCCAGTGATCAGAAGAAGAAAGTGAGAAAGAGAGAGATCAAAGTACTTGCCCAAGAATACACAGCTCACAGGAAGCAGAGCTGGAGTTTGAATTCTGACTGCAGAGACTTCATCATCATGCTCTGCTGTCTGCACTTGTGAATAGTATAGGATGTTCAGCAGGGTTTGTTAGCTCCATTTCACAGATAGGACATGGGAGCCTTATGGCTCACAGAGGTAGGCAGCTAAAAGGGAACTTCAGAGCAGAGCTTCTGAGCCTGGCATTTGTGGACACCTGTGGGAACAACAAATGGATTTCAGGCAGGTCCCACAATCTTCTTAAAATTGAAATTTTGTGCGTGCATGCATGTATGTGTGAATGTGTGTATGTGTGTGTTTTCTGCATTGGGGATTTATTTTCCTTTATCAGATCTCAAAGGAGTAGTGACTCCCAAACATAAAATGTACAGTTGTTCTTAACATTTTGGGGAGCCCATTGAGAGTCTTATCAACATATGGATACTCTTCCAGCAAAGAACAAGACAAAACCAAAATAAAAACAAAAGAACCTTTGAGATGACTAGGAGATAGCATCTTATTCTATAAAAGAGGGAACAGAGGCTTAGAGAAGAAAAGTGATTTGCTTGCCCAGTGGTGGTGATGAAGTAATAATAGACTATCTGGAATAATAATATTATCTATAGATTAATGGTGACAATAATGATGATGATGACAACAGCAACAGCAACTGCTATTTACTGAGTACATAACACGTTCAAGGCACTGCTCTAAGCACTTTACATGGATTATCTTGCTTAATTCTGACATCAACCCTGTGAAGCAATTATAATAATTAAAATGATTTATTTTATAGATGAGGAAACCCAGGCATACAGAGGCTTAAGAGCCAAGTATCACATAACTAGAAAGTGGCTGAGGTGGTAACAGAGCCCAAGCCTCTTGCCTTCTATTCCAGGACTCTTGTACTACACAAGAGACAGAAGGAAGCTGGGCTCCTTGCCCTGGAATCCTGAAGCCTGCTGTCATTGATGGCTCACTTGTAGGAGTTGGGAGCATCCTCGTGTCAGTGTATCATGGCAATATTTATCGCCAAAGGCCTCACAGATGGTGGAAATGCCCTCATCTGGGAGGTGGGTTCCCAGACATCACTTGTGGTGACACTTATAGATGAGACACATTTTCTTAACAAATAAGAATCTAATGGATTAGGTCTTATCTAATTATGCATTCTGCATTAAGCTGTAGCATCTCCCTGCCTCACGCTGCTGGCATAATTAAACTTAATGTACTTTTAATGATGCCTTCTTAACTCAAGCATTCACATGCGATTAGTGTCAAACAGAGATGAGCTGCCACAGGTCCAGGGGCTGTTTTTGACCAAGCCCCCTATAATAAGACTCAGGTTTAGATATGAATGATTCATTGATTTCTTTTCTTTTTTTTCTTTTTTTTTTTTTTTGGATACAGTTTCACCCTTGTTGCCCAGGCTGGAGTGCAATGGTGTGGTCTTGCTCAACTAATTTTTGTATTTTTAGTAGAGATGGGGTTTCACCATGTTGGCCAGGCTGGTCTCAAACTCTTGACCTCAGATGATCTGCCCGCCTCGCCCTCCTAAGGTGCTGGGATTACAGGTGTGAGCCACCGCGCCTGGCCCATTGATTTCAAGGTTTGCAAATATTCGCCTGGGGAGGGGGTAAAGGCGACTTGTAATGCTGGTCACCCTACTTTGAGTCAATAAACTGGCATCCTCTTCTAGCCTGGCTTAAATTCCAGGTCTCAAGTCACTGAAACCAGTATGCACTGTAAATTTTGTTTTGTTTAGACTGAGTTGTTGGATGGATAATGGGTATAGAAAAGGCTGGGGAGAAAATGTGTGAGGGAAAGGGCATTCATTGTATAGGGAGTCACATACCTAGGCTCTAGTAAGTTACACCCTCTCTTTGAGCCTCACTTTATCTGTAAAATGAAAGGGTTAAATTAAATGGCATTTAGGATTCTTTTCAGCTATAGAGATTGTTATTTAAATATGATTTCCCTGATGCTAGGCCCTCCCCTATCTCCAGTCCATCTTCCTTAATACTTCAACTAGTAACTTCCAAAACAACAGCGTATGTAACTCCCCATCCCTCAGAAATCCTCTATAACAGCAAAACTCACAGTGTTTATTGAGTACTTACTGTACCCCAGGCAATATATTTATCTTACCTTAGTATCAGCTGCCCTGTGAGGTTTGGTATTTCTCAGTTTTACTGATGAGGAAACTTAAGTTAGATAAAAGGATTTTCCCAGCTCTGACAGCTGGAAAGTGGAGGAGCTGGGATTCAAAGTTTGTACTTAACCACAATGCTATGGCCCTTCTCAGGTGGTTGCTTTTGCCAAGAGAAAAAATCTGCAATTGAGGCAGACATTCATAGCCCTCCTGATCTTGCCCCGGTTTAGTATTCCTTGCCTTATCTCTCCTCCCACCCTCCACTTGGTGTCCCCTCCTGCCACCCCTCGATGCCACTCTATTCATTGCTCCTCACATAGATCCTGGTGTTCGGCCTCTGTGTTCATGCTCAGGTTTTCCCCTCTGTGGGTCATGGACATCACTCTCTTGCACGATATTATCCCATCACAGCATCATGTGCCAGTTAGATCTCACCTCCAGTAAGATTCTTTTCTCAATTCCTCATGCTTCCTTCTCCTGATTTTCAAAGCACATTATTTTTATCTCTAATACAAGAAACGCTTTGGTGTGTTATAATTGAGTTATTCATTTATTCTCTATTACCTAATTTGATTGTGAACTGCAGAGGATAAGAGATGCATATTATGCCTCTCTTCTTCCCCCTGCACCACGTATATAATTCTGTGCTTATCACATAATTGACTCTGATGCAAGGATAATATTCAAAATAATTAACAATGGTTTGGCATGTGCACCGACCATAAGAATGGATTCTGTCTATATTGGTGTTAATATGGAACAACAACCCTACTCTTATGTGTAAATTGAAATAGCCAATGGAAAGACTGCTAAGTGTAGTTCTTGTTTGTTCCATCGCACTTCACCATACCACTTCTGCACACTTCCATCCTGGTCCAAGGTGGTTTCCCTTCCAGGTACTTTGTCTTTCTGATCTCATCTTTGTTTTACTTACCGGACTGTAGACCTCTGTTACATTTCTGAGTCCTTCCAGCTGAAGCACCTTTGTTTTCCTTTTTTTTTGCTTTTCAGACAGTCTCACTCTGTCGCTCAGGCTGGAGTGCAGTGGCGCGATCTTGGCTCACTGCAACCTCCACCTCTCGGGTTCGAGCGATTCTCCCGCCTCAGCTTCCCAAGTAGCTGGGATTACAGGCACGCGCCACCACACCCAGCTAATTTTTGCATTTTTAGTAGAGATGGAGTTTCACCATGTTGGCCAGGCTGGTCTCGAACTACTGACCTCAAATGATCTGCCTGCCTGGACCTCCCAAAGTGCTGGGATTACAGGCATGAGCCACTGTGCCTGGCCTTGTTCTCCCTTTCCCCTCTGGCACAGATGACTCTTCCCCCAGCTCTTCCCATAGCTGGCTCCTTCACATTGGTCAGCTGTCTGCTTAAACATCACCTTAGAGGGGCTCGCCTGGCCATCTGGGTACAGCTCCTCTCCACTCCCCTTGAACAATATCTTGCATCATCCCGATTATTTCTTTCAGAGAACCTACTACAATTTTTTGTTTGCTTATTGGCTTACTTATTAATTTTCTATCACTTATCAGAATGTATGTTACATATGGGTATGGACATTGGCTGTCTTGCTCATAGCTATATCCCCAGCTGGTACAGAGTAGGTGCTCAACAAACTCAATTATTTATTGAATAAATAAGTATACAAATGAATACATGAATAAATGAATATCAAACGGAACCTGTTTTATCTGAAAATCATTAGTACCGGAATACACAGGCTAGGCATTTGGGGCATACAGGGATGTACCAAGAAGCAAATCTGGTGAGGTACTTTGGTTGCAATGAAATCTCTCAAGTTGTCTTAGTGCTTGGAGGGATTTTGCTGGGAGAAGGCAAAGGGACTGTAGCTTAAAGTGGGAATTTTTTAGGATGTGAGACTGGGCTTGCTAAGTTCATTTTGACTCTTCCTATGTCTCTGCATCTTTGCATGCACCTGCTTTATTCTTCTGTTGCTACCAAGTGTAGCCCTTTCTCACCCTCTGTGCTCTTCCAATTCCTCCGTAAATTTAGCTTGCACATGGTTTGGACTTGCCATCTCCTAATTAAAATCTGATACCTCCTTTCACCATCTGGCTCCACTAGCAATTCTCTCACTTTTCCTACTCCTCATTCTTGAAGGACAGGCATGGATTGTTCAGTTCCTCTCTTGTTGCCAGGCCATAGGACAGTGCCAGACAGCCTGGGGAATGGCTTTACTTGGGTTAATTTCAGCTTCTTCGGCAGCGGAGGTTGTAGGCAGGACAGATTTTCATTGGCCAGAGAGGAAGTGGGGTAATACAGTGGTATTGGGTATCAGAAAAAGGAAATATTATTTTGGGGGATCATTTATTCTTTTTCCCTCTATAGAAACCATTTTCATAAAACATAAATAAGCTACTTGGAAGTATCAAAGACAGAAAAAAAAAGTTTATTAAATACGTACACAGAGGCCATAACTAAGTTCAAAGTTCTATTTGTCCTATATTAGAAGTTACATTTTGGTGGACAGCTGGGTCATTATTTAAATGCATTTGTCCTACATGTATTTAAAAGGCAACTGTGACTATTGCCCAGATTATCTGGCTTCAGCAACTTAAAAAAATGATGTATTAATACCTGATTTTTCATCGTATGTTTTAAAAGAAAGTTAAATTTGAGTTTAGGGCTTGTATAACTAGGGCAGGCCATATCACAGCAATAAATAAATAAATCCAAACATGTAATGGCTCAACAAAATAATTTCTGGCTTACATAACAGTCAAAAGAAGTTCTGATGGGTGGGGGTTGCTGCTTCATGCTGTCAACCAATCATTAGCTGTATGAGAAAAAGAGCATTAAGTACCATGCATGGGGCTTTTTTTACGGTTTAGGTCTGGAAGTGGCGCTTATCTTTTTCTGCTCATCTCTCATTGGCTAAACTCAGTCATGTGGCCACATCTAAGGGCTGCTGGGAAATGTAGTCCAGTTGTGTACTTAGGAAGAAGAGAAAATGGACTTTTAGGAAGAAGAGAAAATGGACTTTATTGAGCAGCTTAAAATCTCTACCATTAAAAAAAGAAACAAATCTAGCATAAAAGATTTGGTGTTTTCTAAATGTAAGAACACTGCTGCAAAATGTAACCATTTATTATCTACACCTTCATATAGTTTATTTCCTTTTTATATCTTTCTTGTTTAAGAATTTCAGAGGTGAGGGGGACCTAAAATTCAATGGCTTTTAATTGACACATGAGGCCAGGGACGTTTGCTCGGAATAATTCAACCTCATGTTGGGTTCTCTGCCATCTCACCTTCATTGCAGAAGGAACATCTAGTTGGAGAAATATCAGGATATGTGTTTGAAAGTCAGGAAGACACAAATTGAATATTGATTGATGATCATAAGCTATTGGCATTAGAAGGGGATGCAAACTGACCTTCACTCAAGGACTTTCCTCTGCAGCATCTTTGATAGTTGTCTGTGTTCTACTCCTTGAGGACACTCAAACCAAGTTACCTCCTTCTTTTATCTAACAACCCTTAGGAGAGTGTGGTGATTCTTAGGTAGTGTACTATGAAGTGCTAGGGTCTCAATAAAAGGTTTCCAAGGTTATCACCTTGGGCTAGGTGGAGGGCTGAGCCAGGGTTGTGTTATGACTTTTGTGGTTCCCTTCCAGAGAAAATATTTAAAATTACTTTTTATGACTATTGGTATACAGATTAACTTACTAATATTATATATTACAAGATTTTTTGACCTAAAAGTTTATCTTTTTCTTCTTATTTTGAAATAAACTAAACACACTTTGTGGGTTCCTAAAAGTATTATGGGTCCTAGGCACTGCACTCACTTTGCCTCATGGATATTTTTCCCCAGGGCTGAGCTTCTCCACCATCCCTATAGGAGATGCTAACAAAGTGAAAAATGTATGTCTTATAGTTGATAAGAATCAACATCTCAAATCATAGATGAGAAAACTTGGGTGTGAGAGAGTGACTCACAAGGCTATTTAGTAGGTAACCTCACAGCCTGGACGACTCTTTCCACATCCCATGTCTTTCCATTTATCCATGTATTAATTCATTCACACCTTCTCTATTTAGTGAGATCTATACTGTGTCAGTTGCAATACACCACAGCATCCCATATACTACATGATCCTTAGGGGTAGGGCAAGTATTATTATCCACAGATGGGCTAACTTGGACTTAGAGAGGCTGGGCATGAGGTTTCTCCACAGTCTTCTTGTTGCAGAGAACAAGAATACAAGTTTTGTTATGCCACTTCCTCATCCCACTGCCCTCTTCAGCCTGGTATAATGAACAACTTTTATTTTTTAAAGATCTTGGATCATTGAGATTCCTGACCAAGTTCAATTTCTGTTTCATCTGATTAATGAAATGTAACATGGAAGGCACCCAGCACAGTCATTACCATCTGTTCACTTTAAAAGTAGCCACCATTGGATCACTTGAAGTCAGGAGCTCGAGACTAGCCTGGCCAACATGATGAAACCCCGTCTCTACTAAAAATACAAAAATTAGCCAGGCGTGGTGGCATGTGTGTGTAGTCCCAGGTACTTGGGAGGCTGAGGCAGGAGAATCGCTGGAACCTGGGAGGTGGAGGTTGCAGTGAGCCAAGATTGTACCATTGCATGCCAGCCTGGGCGACAGAGTGAAACACCATCTCAAAAATAAATAAATAAATGAGTGAAAATTAAAAATAAAAGTATCCCCCATGCTTGGGTGGTACATATGTACCCAGTGCCATTAGTACTTCTGTCATCCCCAGTTTACCGATGGGAAAACCAAGCTTCAGCGAGGCTCTCAAGATTTGAACCCAGCCTGTCTGACTCCTGCCTTCCCATTGTTAATTGTTGAACTCTTCTACCTCCCTTTTCCTGGTTCTCTTCAGCACTTTCCCTTAGAAAAGTTTCCTTTTTCTAGTTTTGAATCCTACAATGAAGCATATAGGAGATTATTCAGCTGTCTAATCATTCTTTATGGATCAGTCAGCACTTATTCATCAGGAAAGTTTAGAATCTCACCTACCACCCAAATCAGCAGGTCCTGAGTGGTCGAGGAGAGCAAAGTTCATTTGCATCCCCTCCCCAACCTTCCCCCCCACCCCTCCACCCCCAACCGTGGCTCCTGGGTGGTCAATCCCACAGAGTCCTCCTACCAGCCAAATGCCCCATGGGCTTTCTTCCCTCAGTTACTGAGTAGCACACACTGGAATCCCTTTCCTTGAAACCACTGCAGCTGGTGGTAATTAAAATAATGCATTCATAAAGAAGTCTTTTTATTTCTAAGTCTAAGGTAATTTTCAAGATAGTGAAGTGTTACGGCAAAGATTTAGATGCGTAAGTATGCACATATGTGTTTTTAATCACACACAAAGGGGCCTGAAAGGATTCTCTTCGAAGTAGAAACAGCGGTCCCTCCTGGAGTATGGAGTGAGAACGGGGGAGGTCCAATCTTTACGAGACATTTCTATATAGTTTTCATTTTTTTTCAGTGGACAATTGCTTGTTTAATTAAAGAAATTAAATACTAAGAAAGATTGTGCTATGAAGAAATGGTTATGATCTTGGGTAAAATCCCACAACCTCTCTGGGTTCTGGTTTTCTCATTTACAAAATGAGAAATTAAATGATCTCTGAGGGCCCTATCAAGGCACTAACATTCTTCAATTCTTTCTATTTTGTTTTATAAAGCACATTCTTTGTTGACCGGTGGAATCACCAGCAAGTATAGGGGACTGCTGTAATTTGCTTTTTAAGAATAAATAAACTTATGGACTCAATTTCTTCTGCTCCCACAAGCTATGCAGCATTACATCTGGCTCATTCATTTCACAGATACTTATTGAGCACATGCTGTGGACCAGAGAGGATTCTGGGTGCAAGGGGCAGAGCAGGGAACAAGAAAACAAGGTCCCTGCACTCATCAGAAAACAAACACAAAGATAAAGATGTCATATTCATTACAGATTATGATGACTGGCATGAAGGGACCAAAGGTGTATGGAGAGGGTGCTCAGAGAAGCCTTTCCGAAGAGGAGACATTTGAGCTGACATTCGAAGGATCAGAATGAGCAGGTGTGCAAATAGCTGCAGAAAGGGCATTCCAGGAGGAGGGGCAAGTGCAAGGGCCTGGAGATGGCTTGGAGGAAGAGAGAGGAGGTTGGTGAGGCTGGAAAACAATAAGCCAGAAGGAGAGTGAGATGAGTGAGCTCAGAGGGTAGGCAGGGCCAGGTCCTGCACACTAATGCTCTTGGGGGACCAAAAGTTAGATTCCACTCTAAGAGCAGCAGAAGTTGATGAAAGATAGCAGGAGAGTGATGTGCTCTGATAAGGCTGTCATCAGTGGGGGTGGGGAGAAGTGGAAGGACTCCAGATATATTTTGAAATAGAACTGAAACGTCTTAGCAGTGGGGTAGATTAGGAGACAGAATAAAAGGTATGAATGAACAATATCATGGAAGTAAGTGGCCACCCTAACCAGAGTCCTGCCAGGGAGCCCCAGTCAAGGGTCAGGACTCAGATAAAATGTTATTTTGTTTAAGCACAGTGTTCCTGCTTTATTTGTAGGGTTGAGGATGGAGGAGCTATAAAATATGGAACTGAGCTTGCAGAGCTGAAAGGGCATTTTTAGGCTGGTGATATACACATGCAAGGGGCAGCTACACTCTAAAAAAATGCCTGCGAATTTGATGACACTCCTATTGAGATGTGGCATCTGCATCCCCTTACCTTGAATCTAGGTGAGCTTGTAACTGCTTTGACCAGTAAAGTATGATGGAAGCTATGCCATGTGCTAAGTGTTGCCACCCATTTGAGGGTGGGTCATAAAAAGTATTCCTTGTTCATGGGAGTACCCTTGCTTGGAGCCTGAACTGCTGTGACTACCTAGGAACTGCCATGCTGTGAGGAAGCCCAAGTCATGTGGAGAGGCCACATGCAGGGTAAATGGCAGACCAAATCTTCACTTCATCCCAATGCAGGTACCAGACAGGAGGGCAAAGAAACCTCTAGAAAATTCCTGTGTGTGTGTATGAGTCATGCTTGTGAAACTTTGAGTCTTCCCACCTCAGTCCCAGACACTGTGGCACAGAGAAGAGATGTCCCTGCCATGCTCTGTCCACTTCTGGACCCACAGAATTTGGCTACTTCACTGAGTTTTGGTGCAAGTTTGTCACACAGTAATGAAAATGAGAACAGCCATCTGGGTGGGTTGGTAAGTCCCTAATTGGAATGTTTAGGAGGTCTGGATTTTAGTCCTGGATTGACCACAATATCACTTCTTTTAGGTTTTGATTCTAAGCACAGATATTTATGCCATTTGGGGGCTTGATGTTAACTTCCCTTGATGCTAGTCTAAATGGTCCAGGAGGAAAGAAAACAGTTTGGGCATCCTGAACCCTGGTATCTGCGTAAGTGGTGCCCTCTGTGGGTGGTGCTTTGTTAGATGCAGAATCAGCCTGTGAAGTCAGCTCAAACTGTCTCAGCTGTTGCAGGGCGGCGTATTTATTGCCTTCCTCTCTTCTCACAATTCCTCTCAAGGATCTTGGGCCTTGGAAACAAATGTCATGGGAGGCTGTTGGAATTCTGGACTCTCTGCCAGCAACTTAGCCTGAGACATTGGACAAGTTCTTTTTCTTCTTTGGGACCCGGTTCCTTATTTGTGAAATAAGGATTTGGACAAAACAAGAGCTAAATAGCTTTCATTTGTTTGTTTTTGCATGAGAGCCAGTTGAATAAAATTAAGAAAGGTTTGAAGTTTTGAGAAACATTTCTCTTTTTTCCCTTGAATTCAAAATAAAATGGCTTTTTGAGAATGAAAAGCCACACTGAGCTACTTAACTCCTTCTTTTCCATCATAACTAACATTGACTAGATATGAGATTTAGAGTATGCCAGGCATTGTGCAAAGAGCTTTATATTCTTGAGGTCATTTAGTCAACCCTTTGTGGTAAGCATTGTCATACCCGTTTCATAGATGAGAGAGCAGAGGCTTGGAAAGGTTAACTAACTTCTCAGTGTTATCCAACTGCCAGGATTTGAAGGCAAGACTCCATATTCTCCACTCTTAGCTAGCATGCTGTCCTGCTTTCGGCTCATCCCCAAACATGAAGACCTTTTCCAGAGCTTGTGCTTTGTAATTTTTGAGATTTTCGTGGGCCCCTCCTTCAAGAATGACTTCATCAATGGCCCTGGAGAAGAGCTGGGACTCAGGAGGGTGGAGCCAGGTCTTCCTGACCACCAACTTCCACCTGCTTAACAAAACATCCAGGCAAAGTGCAGATGTGGGGCTTCCTCAGCACTCTGTGTCCTGACTGAGCTCCAACCTCTGAGAATGACAGTGACAGAGGCACCTGCTACCACACCACCTGCTTTTTTCTTGCTCCATTTCCTAGACCACTTCCTCTTTGAGGACAGGGACCCTTTCCCCAAAGTATCGAATTCCTAATGAATGAACAGAACAGAGCAGATGATGGCCTCTCACATTGGGTGACTTCCAAAACCCTGTAGTCTCATGGTTAGAGGGTCAGGAGCTGGAGTCCCACAGATTTGGACCCAGATTTTAACTCTACCTTTTATAATTTTCAATCTTGTGCAAGTTACTTGTTTACTCTTGGCCTTAGTTTCTTCATCTGTAACATGAGGATAATCACAGTCTCTCTTTTTTTTTTTTTTTTTTTTTTGACACAGAGTCTCATTCTATCACACAGGCTGGAGTGCAGTGGTGCGATCGTGGCTCACTGCAAGCTCCACCTTCACGCCATTCTCTGCCTCAGCCTCCTGAGTAGCTGGGACTATAGGCGCCCACCACCATGCCCGGCTAATTTTTTGTATTTTTAGTAGAGATGGGGTTTCACCGTCTTAGCCAGGATGGTCTTGATCTCTAGACCTCGTGATCCGCCCATCTTGGCCTCCCAAAGTGCTGGGACTACAGGCGTGAGCCACTGTGCCCGGCCAGCACAGGGTTCTTAAGAGGATCAAATGCCATAGTGATACAAAGTGCTTAATTAACACTGTGCTCATTAAATATGAGCTGCTGTCTTCTTTCTCTTTTTGAAGATGAGGGAGTTGGTGATGTTGAGATATCTGGGGGTTACCTTGGGGTAAAGTGACAAACTGAAGCATCACTAGAATGCAGAGGAGGAACCCAAACTATGGAAATAATAATAACAATAATGCTACCTTACAACCAGTATAGCATGCTGCAGATTACAAATATTCTTGCCTGTACAATACAGAGACATACATACATACACACATATAGCCTTAGCTGACCCTTAACATGACCCTGGAGAATGAGGAAATCATGTCACATGATGTATTACTACTATTAAAAAATTTTTTAGAGATGGGGTCTTGTTATTTTTTTAGAGATGGGGGTGGCTCAGTTCTGGTCTTGAACTCCTGGGCTCAAGTGATCCTCTTTCCTCAGCCTCTTGAGTAGCTGGAATTACAGATGCGAACCACCATACCTGGCTACACAAGGTATTACTGAACATTGTGGAGATGTTTATCTTAAAAAAGTCTGAGCAGGCTATATGTGAACCCAGTTACCTGAAGGAGGTTGGTGAGTATGCATGTTCCTGGAAGAATGCAAGCAAGAGGCATGTTAAGATAGTGACCCTCCAGCTGTTGTAATTGTGAGAGTTCAAGATTCTGGGAACTTGTGTATGATTAACCCAAGATGAAGAAAATGGTAATCCTAAATCCTGGGCATATGCGGTCTCTCTTCACCTTTCCCTCCCTGGCACAGGCATGGCTTCACGTTCATAATAAGATTAGTGCAGCAGGAAGTCATTTCTGTGGGGTTGGGGCAGCAAGTCTCCTGTGATCTTCTGGCTTGAATTCCACATATGCTTCTTGCCACTGTCGGTCCTACTGGGCTGGATTGAGAGAGGGATGGGCAGAGATGACTCATGCTGCTGCCAGAGAGGCAGGGGGCAAGGGAAAGTGTGAGCTTCGGCAGTGTGCTAGCCAGTGGGACAGGAGAAAGCTGTAGGATAGATGAGAAAAGAGCAAATGAACGCGCCTGCAGGTGGGCTGATCACACTCTGTGGGGGTGGGGAAGGCCAAGTTGAAAGGAAATGGCACTGCTGACACCTCTCTCAGGGGAATAGGGGGAAGGGCTTCTGCAGATTTGACCATTTAATGAGTCTTCGTTTTCTGCAGCAAGGAAAGCGCTACATGTAGAGAATTTGAAAGCACAATCCTTCTGAGATATAGTCCTTGCATTAAGTCATCTACTATTAATTCATTAATTTATTGAGTACTGAATATGTGCTGGGCTTGGTGAGAGAGTGGAGTGGGAAGATTTCTGGAGCTGTAGTTAAAAGTTCTGGGTTGGCCTTGGGCAACCCATTAAATCCCTCCGAGCCTGTGTTTCCTCATCTGTAAAATGGGGATGTTGGTGCCCACCCTTTGCCCTCATAAAGTTATTGTGAGACTAGAATGAGGCTAGATGTGCAGAAAATATTTTGCAAACTGGCCTTGCTGCAGCTCTCTCTTCAGTGGGTATGGGAGAAAAATGAAGATAAATAACTGGTTTTTATTGTAAATCCATATTTTTGAAAAATGGACCATGAGTTAGTTTACAAGGTCATTATTCTAGAGTTTTTTGTTTTCTGGAGATGGAGGTCTCACTATGTGTTGCCCAGGCTGGAGTGCCATGGCTATTCACAGGCACAATCATATTGCACTACAGCCTGGAACTCTTGGTCTCAAGCAATTCTCCTGTCTTAGCCTCCCAGGTATCTGGGACTGTAGGTGCATACCACCATGCCCTGCTTCATTCTGGACTATTAACGAAGATTCAGCATTTACCTTTCTGCCAGGCTGGGAAAGTCCAGAGATAGATAACTTTGAAATCTAAACCTGACTCTACCAATTGACAGTTCTGTGACATTGGGCAAGTTAACCTTTCTGAGCATCACAAGTGAAAATGCAGATAACAGTGCCTGCCTCACAGACCATTCTTATGGACATTAAAAGAGAGAGCATATCATGCCATCAGGCACAGGGCCTGGCTTATAGAAATTCACCTGTACCTGATTGTGACCTCTTGGTGCCCCAGCAGCTGTATCATCTGGAATTTTTCTGATTAATATTCTTTAAGTATATTTATTATTATACAGAGGACAGATAATACACAATTAGGGGAAATGGCAGCACCATCTCTCTTTGCATGTCCTTCAGAGAAATTCAAGGGTTCTTGGTAACTCCTTAGAAGACATTCACTGCAGTCACCTGGAGGGCTCTCCTTGAGGCATTCTGTTGAACAGAATTTTCCCCACCTCCTTAAATTTCTAGTGAACAGAATTTTCCACACCTCCCTAAATTTCTAGTGATGGAACAAGAACATCTGTCCTGTCAGATCATCCTTCAATTCGGTTCTACCTGCAACCAATATTAGTTTCCTTCTCTTCACTTTTTTATATGTAGGGACAGCTCTTGGCCAATTACATCTTCAAGTTAACTGATGCATGTTTTTACTCTTTTCCTCCACGTAAGGGATATCAATCACATCCCCAGCAACTGTCTGTCATTCTCATTTGGCAGAGTGTAGAGACCATCATGAGTTGGGATGTTCATATTTTAGCTCCAGCTTATCCACTTTTGCTTGTGTGACTTTGAACAAGTCTCTTGATCTCTCTAAACTTCAGGTTTTTAATTTATAAAATAGGAAGAATAATCTCTACTCCATCCATATTCAGAACATTGCTGTGGACCAAGACAGATGACAGTTATGAAAAAGTTTTATGGCTATGGAATTCTGCGGCAATGTGAAAGATGATTATTCCAGAGCAATCATCACTCTAAGTAAAAGAATCAAATGTAGTGAGTGGAATTTTGTGTATGAGTCAACACATGGTACAGATTTTTCAGGGGCTTTTTAAAGTACTAAACTGCACGTTGGCCTTGCTGGCCTGTGTATTAGTATAATTTGCGTCTGTCATTTTTCTGTTTATACACTCTCATTTGTCTATGCAACCTCCCTCAAGTCCTCATGGAATGTATGCATTTAGTGTGTTTTTTAACAACAGTGGAAACACAGTTAATGCAAAGTTGATAGCCAACTGTAGGTGTCCAGTCTCTGCTAAAGAAAAAAAGTAAACATGAACAATAAAAACTCCCCTTCTCTCCCTGAAATGATTCAAAGGGAGAGAGAAAAGTGAGAGTAGGGAGAAGCTCTCTGCTAATAGACTATTTTCCAAAGGATGAAGAAAATAAAATTTTATGGACAGAAAGGCACCCCTTTGAGGACTTATTTATTGCATCCTTAACACCAAATCTTTTTCAGAGAGCTTTCAATTATTTATGAGTTAACACTCACAGCCCCTGCTCCAGCCCCTAGGAGGGGATTCTTTCCTCTGACAGCAGAGGAGAAAATGGAGGCTGACAGGAGTCAGGATGGTGACATTGGAGCCTCAATACACTAACATGGATCTGGACATGAAAAGTTTGAATCCGATCAAACTCGTTTGAAACCAGTTGCTAACTATGGAAGCAACTGGTTGTATCTCAAACGCTGACTTCCTTTTTCTTAGTTATACGGTTTATGGCTTGTCACTGATTGATGGATCAGAATTCCTTTGGTTATTTGAGATGGAAATCTAACTCAAAGCAACTAGGCAGAATAAACAATCGATTAGTTCATGTCCCTGGGAAATCTGGTTAAGGGGGCCGACCTCTGGAAAATCGGGTCCAGAGACTCACATGCCATCAGGACTTTTTCCCACCGTTATGAATTTTGGATAAGTTATCTTTGCTCTTTCTTACTGTAGAGAGGCTTTCTCTACATGATTTAGAAGATACCCTTGGATACTTTTTGCTTGGATTCAAAAGTAAGACCTCCCTCTCATTTGATCTCCAGATTTAAAAATCCTGGAGACGGATTCTAATTGGCCCAAATAGGGCCATATGATCATATGTAGCTCAATCATTTAGGCCAGTGCAAAAGGATCCTAATTGGCCCAACTTGGGCCATATGATCATATCTAGCCCAGTCACTGTGGCCAGTGCAAAAAGCGACTATAGTTGCCTGGGCCAGAGGTGTGGGTGGGGCAGGGTGCTAAGACTGGCAGTACAAACAGGATCACATGATTTGAGCTCCTTCCCAAAGGGAGGAATGCCCTGTTGCCAAAATCCACAGATATCTACTACCAGTATTATACTGTTTTTTTTTTCCTAATGGTTTTCCAATGCCCGAGAAGCTAGTTTCTATATCATTACTAAATGGGGTCTAACCAGTTCATTAAGCTGATTACTCAATCAAATTGAATTAATAGTATCTTTTTCTTTCTTTCCTAAATGAGTTTGTATATGAAGACAAGATCTCCAAGTCACAATGCATTTTTTTTAAAGAAAAATCAAAATGATTTTTTTTCTGATCAGGTTTCAAAGCAAGATGGAGAAAAGGATAAGGAGTTATTTTATTTTTCTAGCATATTTATATAAATATCAGTTTAATAAAATCACTTCTTACTCCTGGAATCATTTAGATAACTACCTAATCTTCCGCTTCAAACTCTAGATACATTCAGAGTATCAGGCTTCTCTGCTGAATAGCCACTTTTGCTGTCTTTCATGACTATTTTTTAGGTGTACACACTAAAACAAAGGCTTCCCAACTGTAAAATTGTGAACTTTGCCTTCAACATCCTCTAATGGTGAATTCTTTTCTTACCTTCCTGCTCATTTGCCCTATCCTTCAAGTGCCTCTCTACAATTTCTTTCTTTCTTTCTTTCTTTTTTTTGAGACAGAATCTCCCTCTGTTGCCCAGGCTGGAGTGCAGTGGTACAATCTCAGCTCACTGCAACCTCCGCCTCCCAGGTTCAAGCGATTCTTCTGCCTCAGCCTCCCGAGTAGCTGGGACTACAGGTGCACACCACCACACCAGGCTAATTTTTGTATTCTTAGTAGAAACGGGTTTCATCATATTGGCCAGGCTGGCCTTGAACTCCTGACCTGGCGATCTGCCTGCCTCGGCCTCCCAAAGTGCTAGGATTACAGGCGTGAGCCACTGCACCTGACCTATAATTTCTATTAAAAGCTATTATTAAGAAAACACCTTGTAACAGGTATATAGGGCAAGTTTGACTTTGCCAGATATTTTTGCATACCAAGTGCATTTACAAAGAAACTTAACAAACTTTGTGGAATAAAAGGCTTTGTCTTGGATAAGGAATTTGGGGGGATACAGTAAACATTAAGGAAATGTTTTTGGTTGGGAGAAATTTGGTCATGATCCTGAAGTCCCACTAGCTAGGCATTTCCCTACTCTATTGAGATTTCAGTCTAGTCTTAGTTACAGCTTTCAGCAGCCTCTCTCTAAAACACCTTCCTTAGATCATGGCCCAGTTTATCTAGATACCCTCAAGTAACTCTACAAAAGTAGGAAGAAAAGCCAGATGTTGAGTTTTAGGATTGTTTAAATGTGAGAAAACCTCTTTCTTACATGCAGAGTACCCTGGACTTTGAGCCAGGAGAGCTAGCTTCTAGCTAGTCTCACTAGGAACTTATGTGACCCTAGGCAAGTCACTCATTCTCTAAGGTTTCAAGTTCATTTATTATATTATAAAATATAGTTGGATAAAATAATGATTAGATCATTTCTAACATCCCATTCAACTCTTAAAGACTTTTCTGAGTCTTCGTTCATTTATTTAAAACATTTATCCAGTCGAAATGCTACTATCTCTTTCCAAATATATTGTGAGCATGAAGTCAGACCATGTATGTAAAATGCCCAGCGCAGTGTAGATGTTCAACAAATAGCAGTGGTAATGTTTATAGCTATTAATTATTTTACCACATAGTTCCCATGGCTTGGTATTTATGGACTGATTGTGTGTGCTGTTTTCTTTGTTGGTTTGTAACGACAGCCTTACTGTGGTAATAGTCCAAACACTTACATGTAGAGCCCTTACAAGCACTAAAGGAGACCCTACCATGTGGTACATATGATATATTATTGTCAACATTTCCCATGGGCCAAAAAGCCTACAATTATTCTGGAATTGAGGAGAATGTTCTGCTATACCAATGAAGGCAGATATGTCACAAAGAAGCTTCCCTTCTTCATCTTGTGCTCAGGGTGATTTATAAATCCATCATGGTTCCCTTTTTTTTTTTTGAGACGGAGTCTTGCTCTTGTTACCCAGCTGGAGTGCAGTGGCACAATCTTGGCTCACTGCAAGCTCCACCTCCTGGGTTCATGCCATTCTCCTGCCTCAGCCTCCCGAGTAGCTGGGACTGCAGGCTCCCGCCACCACACCCGCCTAATTTTTTGTATTTTTAGTAGAGAGGGGGTTTCACCGTGTTAGCCAGGATGGTCTTGATCTCCTGACCTCGTGATCCGCCCACCTCAGCCTGCCAAAGTGTTGGGATTACAGGCTTGAGCCACCGCACCCGGCCCACCGTTCCCTTTTATTGAGTATAGACTGGGCTCAGAATCCTCCTCAACACAGTGCCTTTGTTAGTGCAACACCCACTGGGGCCCTGGTTGTTACTGACTCCTTGTCTGGTGACTTTCTTACATAATCAAGCAGTGCCATCCACAGGTGGCAGGTCTTCCCCCTTCTGGTAGTATCCTTCTGGGGCTTTTTACTGGAAACTATCAAGTGGACAGATGGCTTCTAGTAATCTGTTATGTGAGTTCCTGTGTTGTAGGAATTACATAAAATCTAGGTGGCTAAAGTTCTGCTTCTACTTCTGAGCCTCAGTTTGCACACATATAGAATTAGGATGGTGATCCTGACTCATAGAGTTGCTGCCATGAGGGTTAAATGAGAGGAAAGGTGGAGTGCCTTGCACAGTACCTGGCACATAATAGATGCCTACACTGTGCTAGTTTCTTGCTAAGCTTAATACCTGATACGTACATGAATTTCTTTTTCAGCTCCAGAAACTTCAACAACTCCTTATTTCATGACGAATTAAGCATCAGCTCCCCATGTCCAGTCCATCCTTCTCTTTTATTGCTCTCCTTGGCAATGTGGTGCCAGCTACATTTAGTAGTCACACTTTCCCAAAGAAACCTTGCCTATTTCCGTCTCGATGCCTTAGCATTTCAGCTCTACCTCTCTCATTCATTATGTCATTCAGTGAATACTGATTGAGGAATTATTACATGCCAGACATTGTGCTGGGCAGAGAAGGTCCCTCTTCTTGTGAATACTTATTCTAGATGCAGGCAGGGAAGAGAACAATAAGCAAGTAAACAAGATATTATTAGGTGGCGATGAGTAATGCAAGAGTGAGTAACCTTAGAGCCAGTTTAGATAGGGTGGACAGGAAATGCCATCTGAGGAGATGACATTTTGCATTACCATGTGGATGGATGGGGAGCCAGCCTCACAAAGATCTAGGTGAAGGGGGTTTCAAGCTGAGAAAACAGCAAAAAGTGCTGAAGTGGGACTGTTCTTGGCATGTTTGAGGAACCGGACAGAAGCTGGAGTAGCTAAAAAACAGAGATCAAGGGAAGAGGGGTATAGATGGTCATGTAATCCAAGGTCAGAGGACCTTCTTCAGAGACTGGACACAAGAGGATGATGGCATTTGGAAGATGACCCAGGCACTTTGCCTTTATTCCCATCTGGCATGTACCAGGTCGAAACTTGTTTTACTTAGTGGTGCTTACGTGTCTCATTTTTCCTTCCTGACTGTCAACTTTCCAAGGGACAGGTCTATCACTTATTTGTCTCATTCTCCATGACATCTACTTGTGGACATGGGTGCTCATTACCTATGTTTGTTAGAAGGATGCATGTATATTATTCTGGGATAAAAGTAAAAGTGAAGCTTATTCAGTCTCTTGGGGGAAGGGAGGGCTCACCGATAAGTCTCTAAACTTGTTCTGGCTGCAGAGGCACCTGGCAAAAAGAGCTGGGAGACTGGGAAGAGCATAAACCACATTTGCAGGCAAAGTCCCCTGCTCTCTCTTGAGCCACGTTGTTAGGACTGTCTGATTGCCTGATTGAACCTCTGACCTTGGCTTCTCTAGCCTGTCTACGTATAGGGCCGAACTCTTCTGACTGCAGCTTCCTTCGCTAAACTCAACTTCTTACTTGCCTAAATTCATGTTAAGTGTTCATCTTCTCTGAAGGTTTACCTGATTTAAGATCTTCATCCTGCTCCTATTCAGCCTTATCTGGTCATCGTCCACATCCCAACATGCTACTGGGATGCTATAATTACATAAGACACGATTTCTCAGCCTTGGCACTATTGACACCTTGAGCTGCATAGTTCTTTGTTTTGTGGGGCTTCCCCGTGCATTGTAGGCTATTTAGCAGCACCCCTGGTCTCTATCCACTAAATGCCAGTTGCAACTCCATTCCCCAGTTTTGATAACCCAAAATGTCTCCAGATATTGCTAAATGTCTCCTGGGGACAAAAGCGCCCGTGGTTGAGAATTACTGAAAAACAGGATCTTAGATATTGTTAGGTTTATCTTCTTCCCTTCGTTTCACAGACTAGGACACTGAAGCCAAAAGTAGTGAAATGAGTTGCCCAGGGCCTTTACAGCATATTGATAGTAATGCAGGCAATAGACTTCATGTCTTTAAAATCTCTGTTTGCTGCTTTCCTTAGCACAGTGAAATCTCCCCAAGAGGTGGTCAAGTAAAGTGGAAATGCTATATGTAACTTTGGAGACAGACTTGGATTAGAATCTAGGCCAAGCCATTGGTTGGCTGCATGACTTTGGGTTCTAAGCTTCCATTTCCTCTTATGATGGTGATAAATCCCCATCTCACAGGATTGTTTTGAAGACAAAAAGATGTACTTGGAAACCCTAGCTTCCTGCCTGGTATGCAGTTAGTGCTGAGCAAATGCTGGTTCCCATTCCTTGATGTGCTATAAAAATGGCAAATAGCATTGAGGAAGAGGACTTAAGAGTTAGAGTCACCAGAGGACTCAGTGTGCCCAGGAAGATGCAGTTGATGGGCAGTGCCTTCCAGTGGACTTTGTTAAAAATGCAGGTGGTGTGATCTGGTGTCTATAATGGAAACAGCCAAGTAGTTTTCCGGTTTGGAAAATAACTGACCATGTTGAAGGCTGACTCATTTGACAAAGTTGTTTTTTCCCCTTTCCTGAGGAGGGACCTCTGTGATGATTATCTTATCTCTAATGTCTTGTGTCTCTTCTTATGCCCAGCAGAATGTTACGTTATTACAAATATGCCTAAAGGGTAAAAGAGCATGTAGAGCTCAAGTTGGGGACTCTGTCTTTTCCTCCTCTGATATCAGATAAATATAATGACATTTTCCTCTTTGGGACTATGGAGATTTGATATCTGGGGCTATCTTGCCCAGTCTAGGCTCTTACTCACTGGGACTCCTAGATAGAGGAGATACTGTTCACAGGTGCAATACTGGCCTCTGGCTTTCACAAGAAACCCAGTTCCCTTGGCCCATAGACATTCTTACAAGTCAGAATGTGCCCAGAGCAACAGAAAGGAGAAACCATACTGAAAAAGTGAACTACTATCAGGTGACCCGGGCTCTGTGATTGGTCTGGCCACTGACAAATACTCCTAATACAGCACTTCATAATTTTCAAAGAAGTTTTCATGAATGCTTTCTTTGATCCCCAGGATGGCCAGATTGTAGTAGTTCCCAACTTTGGCTGCACATTGTAATCACTTGGGAGTTCAAAGCAAACAATAATAATTATTATTTTAAAAAACCTACTATGCCTGCGCTTCATCTCAGACCGACTAAATCTGGAGATGTGTCTTGGACATTGGTGATTTTTTTAAACTTCCCTAGTTTATTCTAATGTGCAAGCAGGGTTGAGAATCATTGCCTTTGTCCCATTTCTTTGATGAGTAAAATAAGACTGAGGGCAGTACACTTTCTTGTCCAAGCTTGAAAGACAGAGCAGGGAGAAGCCAGGTATTGTAAACCCTAATCCATTGGCCTTCCCGCTATTGTTTCTCTACTCATGGTGTGACCTTTGGAAAGTAACTTCTTCAAGAACCCAACTTTTCTTCTTCTTTTTTTTTGTTTTTGAGATAGAATCTCTCTCTGTCGTCTGGGCTGGAGTGCAGTGGTGCGATCTCAGCTCACTGCAACCTCCACCTCCCAGGTTCAAGCAATTCTCCTGCCTCAGCCTCCTGAGTAGCTGGGATTACAGGCGTGTGCTACCACACCTGGGTAATTTTTGTATCTTTTCAGTAGAGACAGGATTTCACCACGTTGGCCAGGCTGGTCTCAAACTCCTGGTCTTAGGTGATCTGCCCACCTTGGCATCCCAAAGTATGGGATTACAGGCGTAAGCCACTGCGCCCAGCCAAGAACCTCACTATTTTTTTTACCTTTACCCCCATAGAAATTCCTTCTTAAATAGCACATAAGCATTTGTTATGGAACAAACTTGCTATTTTGTCTCTTATTCAAGATAGGTTGATTTTTTTACTTTATTTCAGTGAAAGACATCCATGCCCGCTCTGCAGGGCCTTGCTGACTCCATCTCAGTGCCCATCAGGGTGTAAATGACCAGATGAGCTAAAGAATAGGGATATAAAAGATTCAAGAAAAAGTCTTGGTGATCTTGACTTCCTTCCTCCCTCTTCCCCTCTCCTGGGCACACAGAGGACATCAAGTTAATAGTGAACTCTAAGGATCTGGAATGGAAGAAAAATCAGAGAATATGCGTTTCAACGTTCACACCTGTAGCATCTCTCTGACAGGGGGGTGCTGTTCTAAGTCCAGTGTTAACCTAATTTTACTATGGAGTTACTTTGACCACTAGTTGAACCTAAGTCCAATGCCCTTGTCATGACCAGAACTGATCCTGAACTTGACCAAACAGAAAAAGTTATCTCCGTTTTCCTCATGAAGGCTCTGGGGACCCTCTTCCAGGCTGGATCAACCATTGCTAATGGAACCTGGTTTTTAGTACCCTCCCTTACCTGCTTGCTACTCCTGAGCCTAGATCCATTGTAAAGCTGCTACAAATGCACTCTTCCCTCCTCTTTTCTTTTTGCAATCCTGTCTAGATTAATGATCTCTCCATGCCCTGAGCATGGAGTGGCTTTCCAAAAAGAGTAGCAGGTGTGGCTTTCACCATTCCATTTTCAGTTACTTTGGCATAACAGGTAGGTAGAGAACTCACTTGGTATTTCCTGGCCATCGTTCATCATGACCTGGTTAACAGTGACGTGGGTAGTTAGGGTTGTAAAGCCTTGGATTTAGACAGACTTAGTTCAAATCCTGGTGCTGTCACTTACAGGATTGTGAGCAAGTTATGTAATTTCTTTAAGTTTCAGATTCCTCATCTGAAAGGCCCTACTTTGAGGGCCTTTTTCATGATATAGAAGGTATGAGGTGTGCTTAACATAGCAAGTGCTCAATACATGGCAGCCTGTGCTATGATAGCCATTATGACCATTGTCCAAGCTATTTGACAGTAAGGCAGCAGAAATCGTCTTTCTCTGCAGTCAGCTGGTGTTAAGTGCTTCCTCACTCAGAGGTACCCTAGATGCTGCAAGGTGTATGCAAACAATGACTGTGGTTTTACACAAGCCTGCCAGTTTCTCTTCTTTCTCCCAACCCTTTTCTATTGTAGTAGTTATTGTCCATGCTACTGTTTGAACTTCCCTGTTCATTTATTCTAGACCTCTGGTCCTTGTTAATATGCAGTGTTCCTTGGGAAAGAAAACACTTGAAGCTGTTCTTAATCATTGATATCTAAGTATCAACAAATGTCAGATCCTTTACAGAAAGCCATTTTGCTTAAGGGGGAAAAAAAAGCTTCTAGGCAAGAATGAAAGTTGTGGTGTCTGAGGACCAAAATTATCCTCTAGATAATCCAGACTTATAAGCATGGTCTAGATTTGGTTCTGGCTGTGACTTCGTGCACATCACAGCTATACCTCTCCAGTTTGGGGATGTCTGGGAGACATTCCATGTGAACTATCCAGTTCCCTAGAGGTACTGTGATGGCTGCAAGTCAAGCCCTGGTTTTTATGCAATTGGAATTGTAGCTCCTGGAAGCCAAATACCACCGTTTGTCTTTTGTAATTGTTGTGGTTATCCTATTTGGATGAATAACTCACAATGTTCTAGTTCAGCTGAAATGACTCGAGAGCTGTTTGTGAGTTAGAAACAGTGGTCACAGTTAAAAACCTACTAGTCTTAGGCTCTGCCATAAGGAAATAATCTCTAGAGCCCCGGCTTCAGAAATGGCACAAAAATGGAATGGACAAATATGAAAAGTAGATAATGGATCCACAGTGATTTAATATTCGGTGATATTTTCATTTTATGCAAATACCAAAAGAAAAAAACCTGGCTATTTGAAAGAAAAACAAGAACCAAAAAAATACTTAGTGTTTGATCAAGCAAGAATCCTTTCACACATCTGCCAAGAGAGTTAAAACAAATATAGATGTTAAATAAAAGGCCCAGGTACCAAAGAGCAAAATTTAATGAAAGCCAGAACTGTTAAGTATGGATTCCTGTTGAGAAAAATGTCAGTCTCTTTCAGAGTTTTCCCAATGCTCTATTTTTAAGAAAAGTGTAGTAAAAATACATAATACAAGTTAACTTTTTTCTTGCTTGTGTTTTCCTTTCATTTCTCCATTGATGAAAAAGCACATTTCGCCAGAGTCTTGGACCCCCTCATAGCATAGACCCTCATTTCTAGCACAAACAAGTCTCTTTTTATCCGCTCATGTTACTTGTGGGCTCAGTAGCTGGAGAGGCATCTTACTAGGCCAAAGGCAAAAAGTCTTTGAAGCATGTTGATGTTAAAGGGTTATTTCCAACTCTTCCAAGATGCAGACTCCCTAATGGTGGGTCACATCGGATTCTGCAGTGGTAGGCTGAAGGCTGAGAAAAATCTTGTATGAGGGCAGGGGCTGAGAGACATCAGCTGGCAGTAGTTAAAAGCAATCATCCATCTTGAGGGTCCGGTTTCATGAACCATGACCACATTGACACGCGAGAGACTGAACAACAACACTTGAGTCAAAAAAGTGAAGAGTTTGATTTTGGAAGGATTCTTTGCTATGGCTGAAGGCAGGAGAGTGGAGAGACATAGAGATGGTGTGGGTCCACTGAGAGAATCCACAGAAAAGCCAATAAAGCTGCACCTACCCCTAGGTGGGCTCCAAAACCTTTAGCATGTCAATTGCTAATGATAACCCCTAGCAGAGAAAATTGGATAGAAGTAGGGGGTAAGGGAACAAGCCAGAATATGGTTATCAGTAAAAGCTAATGACACATGGCACGCACTGAATCATGCACCTAGGAGAGTGACTGCTGGAGAGCTGGAAGCCAGTTGCACCAAGAATGAGAGTTGGGATCTCCAAGAAAGCTATATGTCAGGGATTCTCACTTCCAACAAAAGCTGAACTCAGCCTGGGCTTCTCTCTATAAACCCTGCCACTTCACCAATCTTGCTTTAGTTCAGCTTTGTAGCCCCAATCATACGTATATTGGAATACAACGTCCTCATGCTATCTTAGCTGGGGGAAGGTCAGCCTCTTTGAGTTAGAACCTGGGATCAAAGGTCTTAAGTTGCCCTAAATGTCATTATCAACTTAATCCATCTCCCTATACTCCTTCAATTATTTCCTTGGTTATCTCACTTTCTAAAGATGACAGAGCATCATCTGGCCACATGCTAAAACAACACTTTATATTAACATAAAAACCCAAGTTCTTTGCATCAGCATAAACTTCATACGTGTTTTCTTAAACCTAGGATAGGGCACACCATGGGAAGCTCTATTTTGTGTGAGCTTTTGATGAGGCTTCCTCTTCCAAAATTATTCTGTCACTTTTCTTTTACACTTAGCTTGCTTAGCATTGCTCCCCATGTCAGAGGCTCCATAGAAGAAGAGAGTCTACTCCACAATGGGTTCCTGCTTAGATGCCAGGCAAAGAAAAAGTGAGAATCATGGGCAATATCTCCCTGGCTGTTATCTCTTCCCAAAATTCTGCTTGGTTTAGGAGGCCAAGTGCCTTCAGCCACCAGACTGCCGTTGAGCCTGAGCACACCAGGAGGACATACTTCTCAGGGCCAAGGTTGACTCTGAAGAAATATACCATACCACCTATGACCTATGAAATGGCTCTTCCACATTAAAGGAACTGTTTTTCTGAGCAGCAGTAACTTCAGGAGTCCTTCTCTGACTGCACATCTGCCCCTGCCCTCTCCACCACCCTCATCCTGAGTTGCTTTTCACCTGTGTTCTCCACTGAATAAGTGCTTAAGCAGTGCCCCACTTGGGGAAGGCAGCCCACTTCTCCAACAATGTCTATCTCCATCAGAGGTTTGGGCCAAGGAGTGGAGGGTAACATGGAGAGCCCCCATGGAGAATTAGTTTGAAGGTTGCTTTTTTTTCCTCTTGCTTGTAAAGTGGAACAAATCTTGAATCTCCAATCTGAAAACTGAAGAGGGGTGGGTAGGGAGTTGGGGATAAGAAGTAAGGAGAAGGAAAGGGCCTAACAGAACCTGCAAACCATGGATATTAGTAAGAAAAAAAATTGCACACACTAAGACACACTAACAACTGAATTAAAATAAAACAGTGCAGTTTCCTCATTAGTGTTCCAGTGACTCTACTCTCAGAGACACAGGTTTCATTAGACAGGGTTACTCTCCCCTTATTGCAGTACAGTGTTATTTTTTCATCCTCACTTAGCAAACAGAAAAGGGTGAAAGAACATCAAAAAAGGAAAAGGGACAGCAAAATGGTTTTTCAATTCTTCAGGAAAACCTGTTGAATCATCCTTCTTGTGGTCGCAGTGGTTGGTGGTGGTTGCGTTTCATTTTGTTGTTGTTTTTGGCACTGAAGGGTTTGGGATGGGGCTGGGGAGCCCGAGCCTGCTCCCCAAGGGGTCTCCATCTGCTCCAGTTACAATCCCGTGGCTCCCAAGGGCATCCCTGAACTGTGGCTCATGCAAGGAATCGATTGCATGGACTTGGGGAAGTCATGGCTGACCACCCGACCATTCTCTCCACTGCCGCCGCTGCTGGCTCCTGCCCCGCTGTTGCGGGGGAGGGTCGATGTCCGTATGGCTTCGTTGATGGATTGCTGTGGGATCAAACAAAAACCCTTTTCAGGAGGACCGGGGGTTCTTCCCCGGGTCCTTGGCAATGACAGGCAATGGGAATGAGTCAAGACTGGACTTCAAATGTAAATCCAACTCTGCTTTCCCATCCACCCCCTTTCCTATTCTACAACGCTAATTCTGACTTCTCAGGAACACAGAAAACTATCACTTGGCTCTGGACATGTCTGATCCCCTCTCTTAGCCTCAAGTTGAATGTTCAATGAAGTGTGTTAGATTGGGTGAGACAGAAGATCCTTTCTTATTCTTACATTCTGTGATTTCTAAAGGTGGAATATTTCCTTGGTATTATTGATTAATGTGTGATGTAGCAACACAACTAAGTGGAAAACCTTCCGGGAAAGGGGTTTGGAAACTTGGATTCTAGTTCTGGTTATGACATTAATTAGTCATGTGACTGTACATATCTCCTTAGTGTTCTAGAACTTTTAAACCTCCATGTCTATGACATGATTATCTATGCACCTACACACTGTTATTATAGCAAGAATGGTGCTACCGCATGAAAAATGCTTTGAAATGTTCAAATAAATTGAGGATGTGATATTGTTTGGTTAAAATGGAAAACTACCTCTGATTTACTTCAGAAAAAATTCTAGCCTACCTCTATAGCGGCATGTGTTAAGGGAATGTAGGACTCGTTTGAATAATACAATATGCAAAATCTAATTGGAAAGGAACATGTGCTAAAGAAAATGAGAATGCATTCCAAAGATTATCATCTGTGTGTCAACTGCTTCCCATCAGCATGTAGACCCTGTACTTCCAGACTGACATATCAGATCAGTGCCACTAAGCTTGTGACTTCTAGAATGTTGGAATTCTAGGTCTGAAAAGGACTCCAAGGATCACCCCAGAATCAGATGAGTTAAGTGGGATATTCAAGACCACAGAAAAGGTCTAGAACCATATCGTCTTAGACAAGAGGAAGCGTTCTGTTGAGCGTTCCTTTGGAGAAAGACCATTGATGATAGGAAATCCAGACTCTTATATTTTACTGTCCATCTCAAACTTTCCATTAAGAAACAATCACAGAATTTTTGAGGTGGGGTTTGGTTTCTTGGTGGGAATCAATATAAAGAATTGTCAATGGGACCAACCCTACCTCTTCTTCAAGGTGCGTTCTGTTCTCACTGTCGTCTTGAAGCCTTCCTAGACTACACCAGCCTGCTGTAAGTGCTGGCTCCTCTCATCTTGTACTCGTGCAGTATACATTCTCTTGTAATGGTTCTGCCTCCAGTGTATAAGTTTTGTCTTCTGTAAGACAGCTTTCTGGAGGAGGGCAAGGGCCATGTCTTCTCAATCCTCAGCTATCCCACAGAGTGTCCAGTAAGAAATTAGATGCATAATGATGCTTTTGAATTTGTCTAAGAAACACCAACCACCTAGGATCCATCTCAAAAAGTCTATGACTTCCTCTCTGACATATTGCCATTATTCTAGTGACCAGAGAAATCAGTCAACCTTCTGTGGCCAGACAGAGATAAACAGGGCAGTTTTGACCCATTTTTTTCCCCTGCTATCCTTGTATTACTGGCAGTTCTGACAATGTTTTAAAATGTTCTTTTTAAAATCCATGATTCAGACAGATTTGCCCCATATGATGCACCACCCACACTGGTTCTGTCTCCTCCTCAAACCCATGACTTGATTTATTTACATTCTCCCTTGGCTGTCTTCCATTGAAGAAAAAGTGTGACCTGGATTGCATTCTTCTAAGTCAAAGGCCAAATAAATACTACCTTGAAGCTACACCAGGGAAATGTAAAATGAAAATATGATAAATTAATGGTTACTTATCCTCACCTAAAAATGTTGAAGAGAAAATAACATTTTATTTATATCTGTGGGAAATATGGAAACTTCTATAGATTAGCTTGGAATGTCTATCATTCATGATTTTTCTCTGCCACATCCCTTTAATTAAGGAAAAAAGACCACTAAAGTTTACACAGATCACCCTGGACTTTGTTCCTCATAAGGCTCACATATTTTCATAATATTCCATTGAAGTTGTTGGTACTTCCTGAATTTGTCTTAAAGGACAAGATTGATAACCTAGTCAACATTGGTGCTTGCCAAAGTCTGAGATAATTTAGCCAGGCATGTAACTAAAAATCTCGAAGGTCACATCATTAGAGTTGGTATTCAAGGAAGCTGAGCACTTCTCAAAGTCAATGACTCCATACCCTTATCATGGATGGTTACTACCTTCTCACTGGCTTCTTTTTGAATACATTTATGAAAGTCAGGAGAAATGATAAATGGAGCCCAAACTTTGCAGTGGAAAGCAATGCTTAATGTCAACTACATCACTAGTTCTGAAACTTGGTTGCACATTGGAACCATCCAGGGAGTTTTGGGGAAAAAACCCTGATGCCTGAATCCTATCCTAGAGATGCTGGTGTGGTGTATGGCCTTGACATCTGGAGTTTTAAAAGCTCCCCAGGTGATTCAAAAATGCAAGCAAAGTTGAACCACATGATCTAATTTGTTCTTTTACTTTACAGACAACCTGATGACAATGACTGACTTGTTTAAGGTAACAGTTATATGTGACCTAGTGACAAGATGAATGACCTTCTAAATGTGATTCTTCCTACTCCCCCCCACTCCCCGCCCCCCGTCGTGGCTAAACTGTCATAAACTGCTGTCACTTCTCCCCTAGCCTTTGGGAATGTGGCTTTCCCTTATCCCTCCTTGACATGCCAGCCATTCTTAAAGTTCATCCTTGAGGGTGGTGGTGGTGTTTTTGGAACTGATATTCAGAGACAAAGGGATGAGTAAAAAATCCAACTTACAGACCCTAAAATTGGCCCTTTGGGACCTTATTTCCCTAACAGTGATTGCATCCTAACTTCTCAGCCACTTGCTTTTCTAAGAAGAGAGTGCTCAGCCTCTGCACATAGAATATCCTAATCAAAGCTTAAACTTCAGTAATGTCTTTGCTCAGGCAGGCGTGCAAAGCACCAGTGACCACCTGCTGTGGAGGATGCTCCCCTTGAGTTATCAAGTCTCTCAGCTGTTCATTAATTCCAGGAAAATGTGCAAGCCCTCAATTGCTGTAGCTTAAACATGCCCTATGTTAGCACAGCCGTATATAATTTTGAAAGGTCAGCATCTCTAGTGGGGGTGAGAGAGGCTGGGGATTATTTTCCTTTGGGAATGAGGTGGTGAATAATACTTTGCTGCTCTTAATATCAGCTAAGGATTCAGGAGCCAGTCTGTTTGCCCAGGCAGAGGGGAGGGGCAGGGGACCTGAGATTTTATTCAATTTGCAATGTGTCTTAGGTTATGTATTTTCTGCTGTTGTATGACAATTTGAATTAGACCGAAATGTTATGAGCTGCCTGAAGTCCCTCTCTGAGTCTCCCACTCTCACATATCACCCTTTTCCCTCAGTCTGTGTCCCAGTCTCCTTGGCCTTCTTCCCCTTTCTGGGCAAGAGTTCACATCTTTGGGTCTCTGACACTTGTGTATGGCTGGCAATTCATTTTCCTGCTTAATTCTTTTCATGCTTTGAATCTGTTAAATATCAGTTTCTCAGGGAAGCTGCTCTGACTGACCCATTCTTTTATCAGGACAGGCCTCTGCTCTATACTTGACAGCACTGGGCATTTTTTTCACTAACACTCATTGAACATGCAAGTGTTTGCTTATGTTCTGTCTTCCCCATCAAACTCTGAGCTTCTTGAGAAAAGAAGCAGTGTCTGTTTTGTTCTTGACTGTATCCCCAGTGCCAAGCCTTGCCCAGCACGCAGTGGTGCTCAGTATGTCTTTGTGGAAGGGATGCCTGTAGGGTGCCTTCCCACTATCTCTGTGACACTTGTCCTGCTCATCGACATGTCAAAGGGGAAAGAGACCCATCAACACCCAGCAAGGGTTTAAATACTATAGTCAGTCAGATGAGGGGAACTGAAGGGTAGAGCTACATTTTATTTGTCTTTGTGAGCAGCACTGTGGCTGGGACTGGAAGAACAGAGAATAGGTGCTCAAAAATGATCCGTTGCCATGTGGTTGAAGGAGGACAGAGAGATTTAGGAAAAGTGGCTTGGCTAGTACCAAAAGCCCAGGCTTTGTGGAGACCATGTTGGAGTTCTAATTCCTGGTTTTTTAGTTTCTAGCTTGTGTGACCTAGTCAGGAAAAGCTACTTAGCTTCTTTGAACCTTTATTTCATCTGTAGGATTGTAAGAACAACTTATTGCATGGTTAATGAAAATGTGTAGAAATCACTTTGAACATAAAAGTTACTGAAAAATCATCTTTCCTTCTTCGCTTCCTTTCATCTCTCTCTCTCCTCCACCCTTCTTTCTCTTTTCTGCCCCTCTTCCTCTCGTTCTTTCATCCATGAAGAGTGAGGAAGATGTTTTTAAGCACTGTTGAGCCACATGAGAAGATGACCCTGAACGAGTTTAGGGGGTTAAGGCCTTAAGAGTGGGCCAAGGGCGGGGCGTGGTGGCTCATGCCTGTGGTCCCAACACTTTGGGAAGTCAAGGCAGTGGATCACGAAGTCAGGAGATCGAGACCATCCTGGCTAACATGGTGAAACCCCATCTCTACTAAAAATACAAAAAATTAGCCAGGTGTAGTGGCACGTGACTGTAGTCCCAGCTACTCGGGAGGCTGAGGTAGGAGAATCACTTGAACCTGGGAGGCAGAGGTTGCAGTGAGCCGAGATTGCACCACTGAACTCCAGCCTGGACAACAGGGTGAGACTCCGTCTCAAAATAAAATAAAATAAAATGAAAAAATAAAGAAAAAAAAGAGTGGACCAAATACTGTGATAATGGAAAGAAATGAGAGGGAAAGCTCTCATCAAATGCCCATGTCATCACCAATTTGGGTCTCTGTAAGGTTGGGGGCTGCACTTCTGAAAAGAACTAATTGCTTTTGGAGAAAGCTAAGCACAGAAAAATAAAGAGAGCTGCAAAGCTGAAAAGTCTGAGAGGCAAGTTGAATGCATTTGTCTTATCTCTTTCGGATAAGAGAGGAGTTGATGGAGCATCAACAATTAAGGCTGGGTTGATTAATAAAGAAAGTACCTTTTCTGCAGTTGGAAGATGGGAAATTCTATTAGGAGCCTCAGTGAGTTGGGTAGAAGTCACACCAATCAACGGAATTAATTCTAGAAGATTGTGGTGGAAGACATTATATTAATGATTCCAAGAGACCCTGATGTTGGCTTCTGAAAAATTTAACATCTTCATTGTAAAGGGAAGGGTGAGAATGTCCCCAAGAAGCTATGCCATGACTCAGTGGCCTCTTTGAAAGATTCTCATTTTAATCTAAATAGTGTGACTTCAGTGAAGGTCAACATGGTCCCAGTTTTAAGAGGATCCCAGGCATTAGCCACTCTGGCACCACCACCTGGCACTGGTTATGATTATTGGGAGTCACTGTAATCCCAGAGAAAGGGCTGGATGTCCAGGAGCTTTCCTGCTTGGTGGATGACTGGTCTCGTCATAGTTCATGAGCACAAACATGGGGCCAAAACTGCCCCTTGGATGATATTGTTTGTAATTCCTAGACTGGGTGGTTTTGACGGCAATACTTGCTTTAACTAAGAGCAGCTCCCTCCCATGCCCTGCCTCATCCTGTAAGAGATTTTCTCCTTTGGATACAATTTCACATTAATTTTACTAATACTTACTCTCAGTGTGTGGGATGTCCACACAACCCCTTACCTTAAGGAACTCACAATCTATATAGCTTAAGAACCCTAGCTCATGTAAATAGGGATAATAAAAGGAAAGTTTTAAGGAGGATGTATCTGGCCACTAGTAACAACTATTATTTGAAATACTAGTTATCATTGTCATTATTATTTACTGAGGGCTTACTGGGGCCCAGGAATTTTGCCAAGCTCTTTATAATCCATTATTTCATACAATCCTTACAACAATGTTATGAGGTATGTACTACCACTGCCTCCATTTTATAGAAAATGAGGATCAGAGGCCTGGTGTGGTGGCTCACGCCTGTAATCCCAGCACTTTGGAAGGCCGAGGTGGGTGGATTATCTGAGGTCAGGAGTTTGAGACCAGCCCGGTCAACATGGTGAAACCCCATCTGTGCTAAAAATACAAAAATTAGCCAGGTGTGGTGGCACACGCCTCTAATCCCAGCTACTCGGGAGGGTGAGGCAAGAGAATTGCTTGAGCCCAGGAGATGGAGGTTGCAGTGAGCTGAGATCATGCCACTGCACTCCAGCCTGGCCAACAGAGCAAGACTCTGTCTCAAAATAAATAAATAAATAAATAAATAAATAAATAAATTAATTAATTAATTAATTAATAAGGATCAGAGAGTTACTAAAACCTAAGATGACATAGTTAACAAATGGAGAAGATAGAATTTATGCCCAGACGTTCATTCTCCAGAGCTTCTACTCTAGATGATGATGCTGTACTGTGTCTTAGACAAGCAATGAGAAGAAAGGAACTCCTTATAATCTGTACTGGGCCAACTCTGGGCCTCTGGCTTGAGTCATGGTCTATAGAGAAGGTTTTGAGGGATGGTACAGGTTGTAGCTCCCCTAGTTCTTGTCCTGTTCCCCTTTTTTGCCACCGGAGTAACCTTTCCTCATTTTGGAGGGTAAGGTAGGAGAGTCTTTAGTCCTGTGTTTTGAATGGAATGGTCAAAGAGCTTTGAGTAGGTTCTAGGAGTCCTTGTGTGTGTAGCCAAGCTCCTTGGAGGTCTACATTGGGTTTAGAGTCTGAAGCCCATGCCTTTGTAGTTCTTGTCATTTGAGAGGACATGAGAGGGACCTGGAGATGGATGAGCTGGTCAAGAGTAGGATTGGGGTGTTCCTAGGTCCCTGGTGAAATGTCATTGAACTTCCATTCCTTAATTGTTCCTTGTTGTGTCTTGGAGAAGTTGCCTTTTAAATGGGCTCTATGAAACAGAAGACAGGGTGAGGGATCGGCCCATAAAAAGGCACATGAGTGGGAACATGAGGTGGGGGCGAAAGTATGGAGTACGTGAGGAGAGCAGATTGCTAGGGTGGGAGTGGGGTAGGTAGGCTGACAGGGAAATGCTGAATGCCAGGACAGAAGGCCCCCAGCTCCTCATGTACAGAACTAAATACAGAATTTCTAAACAGAATGAGCAAATGTTCAGAGATATCTTCTCCAAGGGCGACCCCGGAGGTGTGTGTAGGATTGAGGGTCCAAGGCAGGGAGAGGCTGGGCAGGAGGCTATGTATGGATCCAAGAGTGGGCATACTGAGCTTGGAGGCAAATGTCTGTTGAAAAGTAGGCTTCTTAGGGTACAATCTAATAAAGCAAATTCTACCAAGGGATCTTGTTAGTCTTGTCAAATCAAGGTAACAGTATAGGTCAGCATATCACCATGGCTGCATTGCCCAGAGGGACTGTACTTCTTTCCCCTTCTCTATCTAGATCCCACCTGTCCTTCTGAATTTTGGCATCTTCCTGGAAGCCTTCTTCAATCTTTCTTCTCTAAATTCCTGTAGGCCTTCCTATCTATGCCATAGATTGCCTCACTGAGTAATTATTTTGTGCCCATTCTTTGTGGAAGGTGAAAGGTGCTGGAGATCATAGAATGCACCTCCCTCCTCTCTGAGTCCTCATGATGCCTTGATCATGGTATTGTTCACATGATTAACTTCCACAAATAATTTCTTACTGAAGCTAAATGTTGAGGGGCCTTGAAGATCATTTAATCCAAACTGCCTTTTGATGCTTGAATCCATATTCTTGTCAAGAGTTATTCATCCTCTACTTGTATACCTTCAGTGATGTTGAAGCTTGCTACTTTTTGGGATATTCTAGCCTTTCTTTAGATAGCTCTTTTAGAAAAGTAAATTTAGTGTATCGTGTTAACATTTATCCTCTATCACCTTTAGTCATCTGTTCTTGTTGTATACTTTGGGACTCCATAGAACTAGCCTGTTTTCTTTTTCCACTTGGAAAATATTGGTATTTTACAGACAGCTCTTAAATCCTCCACAGTTCTCTTCTCCAGTTCCCGTTAGCTACATTTGATGTGGTTTGGGGTCATCTCACTAATCTGCTTACCTTTCTCTGCACATGGTCCTCTTTGTCAATGTCTATTTCTTAGAGTGGAGCCTAAGAAAAGACCCAATTCACCAGGTATGACAAGGTCAGCACAGAGTAGAGGGTAGACATCCTTTCCTCTCTTTTGCAGCCACACTTCTGATGAAACTTCAGAGAGAATGAGCCTTGGTAGCCATCACTCTTGCCTCTCGCTGCGCTACCTATCCATGTAAACCACTAGCCTTCAATCTCACTGACCCCACTCTGGCAAATGCAATTTTTTTCTTGGGCCTTGTGTCTGGCCTGACACACCCCATCTTCCTTCCTTTCTCATGGCTGCCTTTGTCCCCGTCACCTTCCTCGTAACAGCTTCCTGCTTCCTGTCTTGTGCTGACCTCAACCACCTGTCATTCCCCACCCTTTCTAGCAAAGGGACTCCCAGGAAACCCAGCTGCATCACAGAACAGGTTAGGAAAAAGGCCCGGGAAGACGATGCCACCTTCATCCGCTTGGATTCACTACGGGATTTGTAGCAGAACTCGATTAAGGCAACCAGCATGGCTAGTCCAAGTCCTCCGATCAGGATGTAGAACACGCCTGCCACATTGCTGAGGCTCAGAGCGCTTGTCTTGTCCTAAGAAGAGGAGGAGGGAAAGGAAGGGGAGGGGGAAGAATAAAGTGAGTCAAGAGGCTAAAGACCATCCAAGCAGCAGCATATTTTCACACATACACACAACCCCACACCCTCTTTAACATTTGCAATAGCTGGATAGGCTATTTATTCATTGACCAAGTGTTAAACATTCCCCAGGAAAAAAGTGTGTGTGTATATGTATTTATACATTTTCCAAGCCTCCCTGACTATGTTGAACTTGTAATTACAATTCCCCACTCCTCAATGCCTTTTCTAGGGTGAGAGATATCACAAGAAATTTAGGGCAGCTTCTACCAAAATTTGCACCTTTGAGCTTAGCCCATTCTTTCAAAAAACCATGTCCCTTCCTTTTCAGCTCCATTCCTGCCCCCCGCCCCCCCCCGCCCCAATTTCCTCTGTTGCTTGGTAACCCATTGGCCTCACTCATTGTTTATGTCCCCGAGCATTTTTCTGAGAGTTGGTACTTACAATGAACTTTCCCCTAGATGTGCATTCGATTTCAATTTAATAAGACAGTTATTGTATATATAATAAAGACCAACTGATATATATGTTAACTTACTGCTCTGAGTGCCAATTTAGGGGGAAGAAAAACTAGGGGGCTTAGAATAGTAAAAAGGCTCTGAGATAGAAAAATGGCTCTATTAAATCTTAATAATTATGCTTAATTGATATCATTTTTCTGTTGGAGGTGCTTGCTAAAAACACTGGAGGCAGACCCAGGTGGCTGAATTTAGAAATATCTGTTGCCTGAGATAAAAGATCTTACACTGGTTTGGGATGAGCAGGGTCACAGAAAAGGGTGCTTCATTCCTAGGAGTCTGAAGACAAGTACTCATGTCTAGTGGGAGGTGGCCAGGGCTCACCCTGTGGAGCCAGAGGAAGGCCACTGGTCTCCTGAGATCATCCCTGAGTTCTGTCACCTCCAGTGGAGTTCAAAAGTGAAGGTCTGAGGGACAACACCTTCCCAAGTGGTGAGAACAATCAAACACAACTGATGGTCATGGTGGGAGGTGGCCAGGGCTCACCCTGTGGAGCCAGAGGAAGGCCACTGGTCTCCTGAGATCATCCCTGAGTTCTGTCACCTCCAGTGGAGTTCAAAAGTGAAGGTCTGAGGGACAACACCTTCCCAAGTGGTGAGAACAATCAAACACAACTGATGGTCATGGTGAGAGGTAATGGCTCAGGAAGCGCAGCAAGTTGCTCAGTCAAACTCTTGACACAGGCAAAAGAACATCTTTAACTACTAGGAGAATACTCATTCCTAGATGTCATGGCAGCTCTAACACCTTTGTTTATATTGTTTGTTCATGTACAATAAATGTCTCATTGAATTAAAATGAAATGCCTCAATTGGCACAGGTACACACCATCGTTGGCTAGTTGGTGGCATAGGATAGGATGTGGCCTTTATACCTCTCCATGTGTTCCTTTTCAGGTGGGGAAGTAGGTGAGCCATGCAAGGGGTGGACCGTATTGCCCTAGAGACTCTTCGACTGACGTCTGCCTATTAGAATCGGGGCATATGGAAAGGAATCGCTTATTGACCAATAAGTCAGTGGCCTCTGCCCTAGTTCTAGTTGGTGCATTGTACAGGATTCAGCAGGACTGAGCTTGGGGACTGTAGCTGGTAAATAGCAGCATCCCTTCCCTTCCAGTAGCAGCTTTGGCCAGCAGAGCTGTAGGATTATCTAAAGCATGCCCCCTTGGTGGCTTCCTGTATTGCTAAAGCAGATGGCTCTTGAATATAGGTTACACTTGGCAAGGCATAGCCTGGCTTTGGAAGCAGTAGAAATGATTATTCAAAGGACTCAAAGGGGCAAAATTTCTCCTGCTCTTCTATAATGGCCTGATAAGGGTAATGTGCAAAAAATGAGTTCAGTGCTTGGTTCAAGAGTTGGCTGAACAGGTAAATTCCCACTTCACATGATTTTTAGAACACTCAAAATGTCTCCCTGTTTGTTGTTCAGAAGGCATGTATTTCTTCCTCTGGAGAGTAATGCTTTAGAGTCCTTGGGGGACTTAGAGTTCACAGAAGTTCCTATGAAACTCTTCTGTTTAAACAGGGGTAGGGGTGGGGTTAGGAGGCATGTATTATCAGCTCAAACCTTAGTAAAGAGTGGTTGACAGTGGAGCTCAGAAGGAGTAGGTAGAGGGACAGGCCTGAGGGCAGGTGGTAAAAAAGAAAGCTGGAGGCTGCTGACTTCATGAGCTGATCAGTCTTTCAATAGCCAAAGCACACCTTGCCCCTTTGGTCACCAAGCTGTTTTCTTCTTGAGGTTTACCTTGGTTGTGGATAGCCTCCAAGGACAAGGGAGTGATGGGCATCTTTTTCTGTTATTATCTTCAAAAGGCCCTAAGAGGGTATCTGCCTCCCTGGTTTACAAGGAGGAGCATTCACTTCCAGTATATCTAGGAAGGAAGTAGGGTGAGATTTTCATATGGACGGGGGGTGGAAAGGCATGTTCTATATAGGCAAAGAAGGAGGGCCTAATGACTGATTATGTCTGGAGGTGAAGAGCATCCTTCACTTTAGAAGAAGGTCTCCGGCCCAGGGAGATGGCAATGTGTGTGAGGGGGGATACATCCTTTACAAAGAGGACAGCTAGACGGTATAGGAACTGCCACCTTTTGAAGGATGCACAATGTCATTGATCACTGTTTATGCTGACACAGCTCTGTAGTAGAGGAATCAGGAAAGACCTCTGGAATCAAGGGAGAACCTGGGCCCAATTGCCACCAATATCACAGGTAACACAACCACCTAAATTCAGATTTATTTAATAGGATGTGGGATGAAGGACTGGTGTTGGTGTAGTCTTAGTCCAGATAGCTGAGGAGTTTCAATTTACACAAAATGTTCTGATTCCCTTTAAGCGTGTCATTAGCTTTTTGATACGGTCTTTCTAAGGAGGCCTCAGGCCATGGTCTTCTGTTTAGTTGCCTTTACTGACTCTCTTTGTCTCACTCTGTGGGAATAAAATGGGAAATCCTGGGGCAGGGACAAAAATTCCTTTTATTTGAGGACCACAGCTCTGGTTCCTCTGGTCTGCAGTGTCCATAAAAGAGGCAGCTTCCTCGTGGATCTGTGTATAAACAGCTACTCACATTTCACAGCTACACACTTCCCAGCTGTGATCGGGGACAGGGGAGAGATGGAGTTTGAGTCTTCTGAGCACCCCTCAGGGTACCCCATTCTCCTATTCCATAGCAGCTGCACACCAGAAAAGCTAGGCAGCTTGTCAGGGGGGGGTGGAAAAGTCACAATTCACCTCCCGCCAGGAGTGGGGAAAGAGAGTGACAGTACCAAGAAGAGTGACAGGTGAAAAGAAAAATATAACTCCTGTCTTGCAGAATCGCTGGGCTTGTTGCTATGGTGACGAATGGTGACGAGTGGTGATGAAACCCCCCCACTCATCTGTTCTCCTTAACCTGTTGTCTTGATTTGCTGTCTCCCTCATATGGAAAGGAGATTTCCCCCCCTATATTTCTCCTTGTTCTTTCCACATACTGGGGGACTGTCTCAGGTTCCCTCTGTGCTTCTGAGCCAACATCCCTTCCAAGAATGTAGGGCTGATTCATGAGGAGGTCTGAGCTAGTCCTAGGGTAGAGAGACTTGAAACTTTCTTTATGGAATAAGCAGAAAGCTCTAGGGAGAAGCCAAGGCTTTTGGCCGTCAGACCAGTGACTTCCACTGAGACTGGTGTTGCCTGCCATCAAGACCTGCTAACTTCAGGCCAAGCTTCAGTTTCTCCAAATGCTTTCATTCCTTCTTATCTTCTTGGAGAAAGTATAAACTCGTACAAAGCAAAAGCAGTTTTGCTTCTCTCTATATCCTATCTAAGTTCCATACAATTTTCTGTTATGTTTACACCTGGATTTTTAGGGGAAGCCTACGTGCCCTCCACATGCTGAATCTGTAATCTGACTTAGCCTTTTAGGGCCACAAAGAAAGGTCCACCCATTAGCTTTTCTGCTACAGTAGGCTTTCTTTTGTGCTTTCTCAAAACTTGTATTTTTGGCTTAAGGACCGTTTCCCTGAGCAGTTGACTACTTCCTGGGAGTGAAGGCTGAGTGGTTGGCTAGGCTCACTCATTAGCTAAGACCAAAGTGAGAAAATTATGGGGAGGTGGATTTGGTTCAACCAAAGGAGAGCTTTTAAATAAACAGCTGTCAAAAGGTGGAATGCACTGCCATAGGAAGTGGTGAGTTCCTCAAACATGAACACATTCAGGAAGAAGATGACAAGGTCATGTAAGGAATTCAAGCACTGAACACAGAACTGGACCAAATGACCTTTGACACTTGTCCCCACCCCCAAAACATTTGAGGCACCTAAGGAGTTTCTAGAGGGTCTGGGATCATGCCTTTTAAAAATTCTCCCTAGAGACTAATACCTTTAGGGAATGCAAAAAAGGAGCTCGTGTTAATTGGTAACGTCTGCTCTTCCATTTCCAATCTAGGCCAGTTCCCTAGCCTTCATATTTTCCCCAAGAGCGACATGGGATGAGAACTGGCCCATTGTTCTAATAATCAGCAAGGCAAATACTGTGAAAGTGATGGCTGTGGGGGTGGCTTTTCTCAGCAGTGTGTGCTCAGGGACCGGCTGCTGTACAATGCACCGCAGAACATCCTGACTCAAAACAAAATTGCATTGAGGAGATGATGTGGCTTGCAGAGGGGAACCCAAGGACTGGCTAAGGCTGAGGCCTCTTCAAAAGGGGGAGGTATTTTTCAGAACAGAAGCATCAGTCTGAGTGTAACATGGGTGTCCCCACAGAAAGCCTTCACTCTGAGTTGAATATGTGCTTGGACTATGCATTGGTGAGCAGGGGCCTTGTGTGTTGGGAAATTGTCCCCAGAGGTGTTTCTGGCTCAAGGTCCAGAAGAGAGTTTTAAAAGAAACACTTTTGTTTTTGTCTAGTCCCTTCCTCTAGGGCAGTGTTAGAAAATTTAAGGATGTGTGGCTTTGGGACTTTGGACAGGATCCAGGGTGTTTTGACATTCAGTCTCTGATATGGATAACTGTTGTATGTCGGACATGTTATCTTGGACCACACATAACTCCCAGAAGATTCACCTAGAAGTCACTGGTTCTCTCCAGGCTGTTGCCTACTGTGCCTTACAGAAATCAGGAAACCTGACCCTGAGCAGGAACATAGCTGGAGCCCAAAGTCTCTAGGGCGTGGGGGTAATGGAATGACTTCTGCATCTCTTGGTCTCAAGGGCTTTCTTTCTCCACTCACGTCCCTCTGACATTGCCCTCCTGGGGTCTCTTTAGTGCAGGAACATTCAGTGGGAAGGGGAAGGAGCAAGCGGAGCAGAGCATCATTGTGTGAATTCCCAGGTCCTTCCAGATGGCCAATGCTCTTTACCTGTGAGGAGGGCAGGGATGGGGCTTGTACACAGTGTGTTTTCAGTCCTTTTGCCTTCCAGGCCTTGCTGACAGTAGGGGAAAGAAAGTGAGTACATCCAGAATGGATGGACTTACCCTGCTGATGGTGAAACAGTGTGGCATTATATTATAAAACAAGCCGGGGGGTGGGGGTGGGGGCAGGATATCTAAGCTCAGTTCATGAATTCATGCCCAGCTTTATCATTGAGTCACTGGGCAATCTTGGGCGAGTCACACAGTGAGTGTTGCCCACCTCTGGATGGTATGGGAGACAGTGTTAGATGATACACTGAAGTAAATGACATTGACTACAAAGTGAGGATGTCATTCTCTTTTCAATTCTCTTTTAATCTTTCTGAGTAAAGCCAACAAGAAAATCTCAGTTTGGTGCTGATCATCTTTAACACTGATCACTTGCTCCTCTCGCTTTTTAAGAAGCAGCAGCCCTCAGTTGTAAAGGTGACTGTAATTTAATATTTTTTTGTTGTCATTATAGTTATTTATATGGTTGCCTTCTTTTTTTTGCAAGAAGTACTGACTTTCTACTTGTGATAGTAGTGCTGCTACTTTTTATATGAACTCGATTAAAGTAGTAATGAAGATAGTAGCTTTAAAGGAACACGTGAAGCAAATAACGACACAGGTGGTATGTGAATGCTTGAAGTTTTGCCAGGGTGGGATTAAATCCTCTGCAGGCTCTCTTTCAACTCTAAAGCCTGGAATTTGTGATAGAGGTAACAAGTTCAGGTCATGAGACTCTCTTCCTTCAACTCATCATGAATTCACACCTGTACCTGGATGGAGAACCCTGCTTGGAGGCCAATTCAATGGCCCTTGAATGTGTAAGCCAAAGGGTATCCTTAAAATAAAGGTGAGGGATCATGCCAGCTGCTTGATGTCTGACTTGTCCAAAAAAAAAAAAAAAAGTTAAAAAAAAAAAGAGTTCAGTATCCCTGAGCAAGACCCAGACCATCATTTTGGGTAAATAATTAGGGGTAGCCAAAAGGACCATCCTGGGTTGTGTGCTAAACGGCCCTGTCCCACAGCAAAGAGTACTTGCCATGAGGTGACAGCCTTGCATATAACTCCTCACTGGTTTGCTTCCATTTTTTTCAGAACACAGTGGATAATGGAGCCTTTTGAAGGGGTAGGATCAGGTTCCATGGGGTTGGGAAACACTGGCGTGCTGATATTCAAACTTTTTAACCCTGCCTGGACTCTTGGACATCAAGGCCCTGCTGGGGCCCAGCTCTCTAAGGCCTCCAAGCCTCTCTGAGGCTCGGAGGACACTGTTCAACACTGTGCATTTTTGTTACAGGTGTGCGTGACCTCTGTAGCCGGTGACTGACCTTACTTCCGGAGTCCTTGCTTCCACATTCCCCTTTATCGTACCACCATTTGCTTTTCAGCTTGTCTAAGACGCCTTGCTCACTGAGTTTCAAAACCGCTAGGTTTACGGGACCTCTTCAACCAGGGGGGAAATAACATAAATAACATTACCAATGTTATTTTATGTTATTCAGCACAGACAGTATTCATTCACATCATTCATTGAACAAGATCATATGCACTGACAAAGTGATACTCTAAAATACTCCATCTGGCCCCGCCCCACCATGTCACTGCCCGCCCAACACACTCACACAGTTCTTTCTCTAGTATAGCAAGATGAGTATCACTATATCACTTTGAGTAACCAGCAACGTCTACCATCTACTGCTGAAGATACTGGCCCAAGTCCAGCTGCCATGGGTGCCTGGGGACCCTCCCTGTCCACAGGCTCTCTGGCTGCTCACCCAGCCTTGGTGTGTATCTCAGAATCTGCTTCCATGCCTAGGATCCAGAGCAGGCCCTTTGAAAAAAAGGGCACCCTGTAGCACACAGACCCTGCCCTCAGTTGGAGGAGGTGGAACATTTCTGGAAAAGAAGGTCCAGGCACAATGTCCTCATATCTTGGTTATGGGACCAGAGCAGATGCTGGGGTCCTGGGGACTGGAAACTGTGGTAAACCAGAAGGCCCCTTGGAAGAGAAGTAGAGGATAGTTTGATGCTACTTCTACTCAACCAAAGGGCTTCCCTTTGACATTAATTTATCTTTTCTTTTTAGTATTAGGAAGCAGGATAGGTATTGGGAGAACAGTTGCTGGTTACCAGCCATGCTATTTCATACCCACTAGGTTTTTTTTTTTCTTACTGGGGCTGACCTTGGAATCACCTCCCCCGCTGCCGCACTCGCCCTTGTCGTACCACCATTTGTTTTTCAATTTGTCCAAAAGCCCCTGCTCGTTCAGTTTTAACACTGCCAGGTTTACTGGATTTCTTTAAAAACGAATAAATAACACTCGATGAGTAACAGGTGGAGAACACTCAGCAAGTCACGTGACCCAAGGGATCGGTGAATCAGCTCCATTACCCAGCCTGCCAGGTTGCCCTTTGACCTGAGGATGCCCTGCCCCCAACATCACTGCAGGAATTGGGGGATGGAGCCAAGGCATAGTCTCCATCATTGACTCCCATTATGGAGAGGCGTCATTGTAACCTAAGTTTTCAGAAGTTGGGTATTTTGAAAGCAATGGCCCCAATAGTTTTCCCCTCCTGTCTGCTTTTATAGATTTCTTTTTCTTTCTTTTTTTCTTTTCTTTGCAAAGTGGACTTTAATACAGCCTGAATGAAAGACGGGCATCGGTGCTCATGGTTAATGTTCAAGGGTCAAAGGAGTTATCAACTTGGCAAAGTAGGGAGCAGGGGAAGGCACCTGGCTCACCCATTCCTCTGAGTGTTTCTCACATCACAGTAGACATAGAAAGAGAGATATAAAAACAACATGATTGGCATTCTATTAATCAAGTCACATAAAGAAATAATTAGGCAAATTTCAGGAAAACCTGAGAAGTAGAAGAGGACAGAGTCAGATTAAGGTGTAATTAAACACTTCAGACATTTCAGGACAGAGGAAAACAGATTCATCAGAAGGCCATGGTTGAGTCATTTTCCTGAGGCTTTCAGAACAATCTTACTTCATTTACATGACTGCTGTTTAGGCTTAAAAGAGAAAGGCAGTGAGGATCATGAAACTTTTAGTTGGAATCACCATGCTTAACAGTTGACAGCTTTGGAGGACCACAGACACCTGCTCCAATAAGTCAAGTTAGTATTCGGCAAATCCCAAGGCAGGAGTTTCTGGCCACATCAATGACAACATGTACATATAACATATCCAGGGCCATCTGCAAGGGCCAAGGGAGTCCATCTAAATTTCTCTATGGACAACTCCTCACTTGCCCTCTGAGACCCTGTTCAAGTGTGACTTATAAGGGTTTATGTGCTGGGCCCATTGGTGCATGAGCCACAGGCTGGAACAATTTTGTTGGCTGAGTTTGCCACCTCATCCTTCAACACCTAACCTAGTTCTTTAGACAAGGAGTTGACCATCTTTCAGGACATAACATGCCTCATCTTCTATTTATCTACTTTCTCCTAAGGATTACTCTGATGATGGTATCACCTTAAGTTGAGGCCCAGTGTTTACTTAACTTAGGTGAGATGGGTTCACAGACCATCATGAGGCAGTAATACGATGAAGGAGGATGTCCCCAATGGTAGGTGGCAAGGAGCACTGATGGAAGGCAAAGAAGCCATCAAACCCAGACTGCTCCCCATGGCCTGACCCTTTTACTATTATGAATCCCAGGTGCCTGTTCCATTCCACTGCTGAATGTAGACAGTTGACAGAGCAAACATTTTTATTTTCATTGTTTTCATTATTTGTTTGTTTTTAAAAGAGCTGAACCTTGGCTATTTGGTGACTCTAGTGTTATCAGAAGCATGTTGATCCCTCCCTGGGAAACACTTTTGACTCACAGCAGCTCTGATTACTATAACCGTTACCTTTTATTTATGCTTGTCAGTCGCTGGGCAGCTAACTAGACTGTGGCATATGGATCCCTGAAGGCAAGGAGAGAGACTCCAAATGCTGGTTTGCTGTCTGAAAAGGAGTTCATATTTATGATTTTGCTTACCCCACATTGGGATTTTAAATGTGGCAATTTTCAAGCTGGGAAAGCAATTTCCATTAACAGATCCCAGAAATGCACTCTTTAGTCTTTTAGGTACCTTTATGGGCCAGTACTCCTCTCTCTCTCTCTGTCTTTCTCTCTCTGTTTCTTCTTCTCTCCACTCTCTCCCTCTCAAAAGAAAGAAAGAAAGGAGAGAGAGAGAGAAAGACAGACAGAAAGAAAGAAAGGAAGAAGGGAAGAAAGCAAGCCAAAATGGTCTTTGTGCCTGAATAACACACAAAGGGTATTTTTCCTGAGAGAGGCTCAATGCTAGGGTAAGTAGATAGCCACTGCCTATGTTTTGTTACCTTTCCTTCTCTTGTCTCCTCTACTTCTCTGTTTTAAGGGAATGTATGTAGAAAGACTCAAAGTGGGAGAGGAAGTGGTATCAGTGCAGGGACAAAAGGGAACTGGGCACAGCAAGGGAAGCTATAGGGATCAACTAAAAGAGAGAACAAAGGTTGGGGTTCCCAAGGTTCTAATTCTCATTTTTGCTGTGAACTATAAGACCACTTTTCTGTATTAGAAATAAAGTCCTCACTGTTCCACTCAGGCAAATAATCCTGTTTGGGGTCAATAGTGTGAAGAAGTGTTTAGAGAAAGTAGACGGTCCTCACAGAGCATCTCCCACAATGGGTGAGGTACGAGGAATTTATATCCTACATTGATGGGCTCATGATCTCACAATCAGGTCCAACAAGGGACTGTCTAAAAAGGCATTTAATTAAATTTCACCTCAAAATGTTCCCCTTTCTGGAAGATTCTCTGGACTTGACTTTATCTCTTATGCTACAGTGCTGTTCTAGCTCATTGGTATGTTGGCTGGGTCTCCTCAAACAGATGATTAGTTCCCTGGAGCTATGTTCTCTGTGATTTTAGATCCTTCTCCAAAACATGTAGTATGGGATAGTCCATGCAGTGTGGGAGTACAACATTTATTACAGCATGCTCAATGCTGTGTAGTTTTTTTTTTTTTTCCAAATGAACAAATGAATGGCCAAAATCTAAATGCAATATCACCTACGTATCTATAACCTATGTGTCTCAGCTATTTGGTAAACTCACCTATCTAGAACAGAACAGAAAAGGACCAGAAAGTGAGCAAAGAAAATGCACAGGGATATAAGGTGATCGTTGTAGTTAATATTTATTTCACTGAGGGCCTATTGTGGGCCAGGCATTGTATTAAGCACTTTACGTGCTTTATTTCATTTAATCCTTATATCCCTGTTTGGTTATCATTTTTACTACTTCTATTTTACAGATAAATACTTAACTTGCCCCAGGCTGTCACTCAGCTCTGTGTGACTAAAGCCCATGCATATAACCATTGTGCTTCACGCTGAGTGCAGGTGGGGTACTGTGTGATCCTTGCCTGGGCTCACTTAGACCTTCCCCACCCCCCACTACTCAGTCCTTTTTAAACTTTTACTTTGCACACAGTTGTAATACCCAAGAATCTCCATTTTCTAAGCCCAAGCAGAATAAAGTCAGCAAATAAGAAAAGCCTCATCTTATGCCATTTCATAAGATGCTAATTCACAACTTCACAACAAGGAAGGAGCCAAAGCAGGTTTTTTCTTTTCTTTTCTATTAATTTTTTTTTTTTTTTGGTAGATATGAGGTCTCACTATGTTGCCCAGGATGGTCTCTAACTCCTGGCCTCAAGCAATCCTCCTGCCTCGGCCTCCCAAAGTGCTAGGATACAGGCATAAGCCACCTTTCCTGGTCTTCTTCTTCTTTTTTTTTAAGGAGACAGAAACGAATTGCTAAAAGAATGGTGGCCCGGGGGCGATTCTGGTTCTGGAAAACTGCCCTATGATATTTGCCCTCCAGCAGATTCACTGTATTCTAATCCAATGCCATTGATTATTGATCATGATAGAGTTATCCAGAAAAGGTTGTATTTCACATGTTCAAAACAAAAGTTAAAGATGTGAATGTGATTAAAAAATATTTCCTTTATAAAATATAAAGGCTCCAAGGCCAGGAACCTTGGAAAATCTGGGGGTCTTGGATAGCAGAAGCTATCCCTTAGCCTAGCAGTAGTTTCTAGATATCTAGTTTTCACGGATGAGAAAAAAATAAAGTGGGTGTGGGAGGACCAACATAGGTGTGTGTTAAATGTTAACTTCACTAAGTAGAAACGTTTAAAGAGAACAACTACCATCTGCTGGCAACTTCCTTTTATAGAAGTAAAGATGTTCAAATAATCAAAGAAATAGGAAGGACAACAATAAAGAATGAAAGGAAGTCTTTAGGTTGAATGAATTTAGACACATTGCTGTTATTTTCCTCATTTTACCTCACGCTGGTGAGAACTTTGTCTTGGGCAAGCAGTGACTGGTCCACAGACTGGTGTTTGGAAGGTGCTGTTCTAGAAAAATCAATGTCTTTCAGTTGGCTAGATTTGGGGTTCAGTTTTGCATTTTCATCATGCCTACCTAGGAACAACTCACTAAGGTCAATGTGGAATGTTTTGTTCTCTTCCCCAAGGTTTTTAATAAAAGGAGAGTTATGAAAAATAAGAGTTTTAGTGACTTATTAAGAATGCTTGAATACGCAAATAAGAGATTGGTCATTTTTTGTCTCGAAAAAATTAAAACAGAATGGGATGAACCTCAAAGACTAAAATGTCTTCAGAGAATACGTGGGTATTCCAGGCAAGTGAGTGTTCCTTTTGTTATAAACTTCTTCCAAATGCATTAGCCTCCTACCTGCCTCCTGTGGCTTCAGATTTTCCACTTGCCATCAGGGACCATCTCTGGGGTTAGCCTTGCTCTGAATAAGAATCCCTGGTACTGGGAAATTCTCACTGCAACTAACTACAACTAGCCCTAGGCTAATCTATGTCAGCCATCTGAGCTTCAGTGTCTCCATCTGTCAAATGGGATAATAGAATTTCCAACTCAGAATTATCAAATGGACTATCAATGAGCTGTTTCATGAAATGACTTAGCTACTACTATTGTTGATAAATAACAACAACAACAACAACAACAATATTATTATGATTACCATCGAGCTGACCATCTGAATTAAGTCAGGAGACCTGAGTTTAAATCTTAGCCCCAGCACTTATGGTGTGCCATTAGGTAAATCAGTAAACTTCTCTAAGCCTCAGATTCCTATGTGTAAAAGAAATTATAACATATGCTGGGCCCATAATAGAAGCTCAGCAAATACTCGTTAGCTCTAACTTACCTAGGATCAGAGGTGTGGAAAAGCAAAAGATGGCACAACATATGGATTAAGCTCTAGATTTTACCTGGAAATGATTTTACAGACTAACAAAAAAGATTCCTGAGATTACTTTATTTTCTTTCTCCTAAAAGTGGAAGTCAGTTGCCCACTGCAGTTAATTAGATATTCTTCATAGATTAGTGTTAATTAAGTTTGGCCTTACATATTTTAAAGAAATGTCTAGATAAAATGACTTGGAAATTGTTTTAGTTTCACGAGCTCAGGATGCTGTTGATAATTATATATATACAAATTATCATATATATACACAACATATATATTTATTTATATCATATATGTAGGAGATATATATATATATATATGTAATATCAAAAGAGGTATTAGAATCATACAAAGGAAGGTGATGGTCTTCCATTATGAACTTGTTCCATCTCCTTTGGAGTCTGGCACTCATTATTAGACAACAATTTTAAGAAACAATAACAAACTGGAGTGTGTCAAGAGATCAATTACCAGAATGATGTGGATACCTCTGGAGCCATCATGTGTGTGGAATAACATTGAAGCAGGTGTGATTTAGGGCAAATATAAGAATTGTCTTCAAATATCTGAAGGATTAATTTAGAGAATTTAGAGAAAATTATACTATGGGTTCCTAAGGAGGAGAACTATGACCAATAGGCAAAAGTCATGGAGGACATTTGAGTCAATATGGAAAAGAAATGACAATAGAGCCAAAGGAAATGGAATTGGCTGTCTTAAGAGGAAACCCTTGGAGAGGAGGCATTCAGAAGGAGACTAGATGGTTATTTGTTATGATTTTATAGAAGGGACATCTACATTGAGTGGGAAACCATAATACTTTGCCATAAACCCTCTTTAATAACCATGAATATAGCTGAACAGCTACTATGTGCTAGCACCACGAGAGGTCCTAGGTATGTACTAATGCATAAGACAAACATGGTTCATGCCCTAGTAAGGCTTACAGTCTAATTGGAGAAACAAGCAATAAGAGAATATGTGAAGTGTTATAAAGGAAACAAAAGGTGAAATGACAGAAAATGTCAGAGGTGGTCAGGAAACATGGGTCTGAGGAAGTGACATTTAAGCGGAGACTAGAGAGAGAAGAGGGTTGGGTGATAAGAGATCACATTCTTATGGGGAGATGAGGTTGGAGAGGCTGGCAGGGACTCTGCAGGCCAGGATTGAGCATTTTATTCTGAGATTGGAGGGTCTTAGCCAGGGAATGACAGACCCTTTTAAACCAAGTTAATAAGTTCTCCCAATGCAGGGAGGAGAAGGGACTAAAGGGAGGCAAGTGGGGAAACATGGAAGCCAATGAGAAGGCTAGTGGAGGAGCCCAGGTAAGAGTGAATTAAGGATTGGAAAGAAGAGAGGCTGTACGTTCAGGATACATTTTGAGTAAGGGAGATAGATTGGTTATGGGGGATTGAAGGAAAGATTCGAGCTGATTTTTCCCTTGAGATTGTGTAGACTGAGGGACCATTTGTGGAGATGAGAGAGACTAAAAAGAGATGGATTTGGGAGAAGCCCAAGAGTTCAGCTTTGGATGCACTAATTTTTTTTTTTTTCTTTTTGAGAAGGAGTCTTGCTCTGTCGCCCAGGCTGGAGTGCAGTGGCATGATCTCAGCTCACTGCAAGCTACGCCTCCTGGGTTCATGCCATTTTCCTGCCTCAGCCTCCCGAGTAGCTGGGACTACAGGCGCCTGCCACCACGCCTGGCTAATTTTTTGTATTTTTAGTAGAGACGGGGTTTCACTGTGTTAGCCAGGATGGTCTTGATCTCCTGATCTCGTGATCTGCCCACCTCAGCCTCCCAAAGTGGATGCATTAAATTTAAGATGCCTGTTAGATGTCCAAGTGGAGAGTCAGTTTTGTGGGAAGAGGCGAATCTGGAAGTCAAAGGAGATGGTCAAGTTGAAGACATAAACTTGAGTTTATAAATTGACTAATAAAACAGACCTGCGAGGACCATCAGCCAAAATTTTGTAAAGCATTCATATACGGATGGCTATAATAATTACTTACTTGAATAAACAACCTCTAGTGGAACTTTTCTTATGCTAAATCCTGTGCTTGGCACTGAGCAAAGTAAACAAACATAAAGCAAACAATCAAACAAAAAAAGAATCAGGCATGATTCTAATTTGGCAAAGTTAGAGTCATCTGAAAATTCCAAGATTCAGAGAGATGTTCAGCATAAGGGAGATGATGGTTGTGGGTCATCAGGGGATGAAACCAAGGCTGTAGTCACTGACATGGTGACATACATGGCATTTAGTCCCCAAGAGGGCCAAAGAACAAAAAGAATCCTCTAATGCCTGAGCCCTGATATTCAGCCACTGGAACTGGGAGGTCCAGGGGAGCATTCTAAATATTGAATTAGTTTTGGAACTCTTGGGGAGGAAAGACTTGGTACTCTAAAGACAATTTCTAGGATGAACTTGTGCACATTAAGGTCCAATATATCCAGCCTTGTGCTCTAAAGAAACTCAATTATCATATACTTGCAGGGAAATTAAAGTTTGAAAAAAGCAGCCAAGGGAGATATTTCAGATGGTTTTAATTTTGTCTCAACTTATGAAAGGCAAAGGACAGAATGTTGGGCTTCAATTCTGTAGCAATTGTCTACACTTCCACTTTTGCCTTCGAAACCTTGAGTTTCAGCGTCTGAGGAGTGTTGGATGAAATGACCTTTGGAATTCTGCCCAGCCTATGATAATATGCTTTGCTTGTCCTCCTACAGAGGGAATTTCTGATTTAATCAGACCAGGCTGCTGGGCATCCTACTTTCTCAACCAGTGTGCCTCTGCCTGCTCCTGTGTGCTTGCTTCTTGCTGTTCTCCTTAACTTCTCTTTTAAGACCTGGTTGCTCTGCAATGCTCCCCATGTTTTCCTTGAATCTGCCCTTGAGCACTTTATTTCTCATTGACCTTTCCTTTAAACTTGCCTGGCATCTAGCAGGCAGTTCACTGCATTGTCTACTACTATTTGATGTGTATTGGTCTTAGTCTTCAACTTGATTATAAAGCCTTCAGAGTAAAGAGTTAGTGTCTTTGGGTCAACACTTCAAACATTTATGAAGATCAATCAAGTGTTAAGCATTGTAGGTACTTACTAGGAATAACAACTTGAACAAATTGTAAACCTCTTCCTTTAAGGACCATGCAATCTAGTATGTGAGGCAGAAATATTTCTCAATAGTTCATGAAAGACTGTATCAGATTTTAAAATAAAGGGTTATGGAAGCACCAAAAGAGGAGAGAGGTGAATTCTGACAGTGGGTGGAAGTTAGAAAACCTTTAGGGAGTGTTCTGTGAAAAGGGCAAAGTCCCCACCCGAGGAGTGTAGTCATGATGAGGGGACCTTCGGGGAGATGAGGTTAGAACAGCTGACAGAGTCCTAATCATGAACTTCCTTGAGTGCTATGCTAGAACATCAACACTTTACCCATGGGCAAGGGAGATACAGGAGGTTTTTAAGCAGAGAGAGGCCTCAGACCAGAAGCTCATCTACACTCAGCAGAGTGAATGATACAGTCAGTTCTAAGCAAATGTATATCAATTAACTGAAAAATATAACGGCTTATATGAGAGGAAGAGACAAGGTTGAAAATTTTAACCCTGGATCCAGGGATCATGGAGATAGTGGGCCACTTCAAAGCAAGCAGGACTCACATGGAAACTTGAGGTTGGTTGTCAGTGGAAGAGGAATTAGCGTTATTCTCTGAGATGCCAGAGGGCAGAATTAGATCAGGGAGACAAAGCCACAGGGACACAGATTGCTGCTTAGTATGACGGCAAACCTGGAATTATTAGCACCCTCTGATAATTGCTACTTGAAAAGTATGATTTGTTGGGATGTTGTTCATGGGACAACTGTTTGTCAGGAATAACATGGAGGAAATTCACGAGCTAGATAAAAAGCTGGGATTAAATCAGTGGTTCCCAAACGGCTCATCCAATGAGCTGGAACTGGTTTGTGATAGTTTTCACTCATCAATGGGAAAAGAAGGAAAGATAAGCGTTGTGTAGTGAGTTTTCAGGACATGGAACTTTTCCATTTAAAGGACAGACCTTTGTTTGTAATTGTTTCCTTCATTAATTTTTAGTGTTAACATATTCCTTCTGTTATTAAATGGTATTAATAAGAGACGGTAATTTTTTTTGTTTCCTTTGTCTTTTCCTGGCAATATAAAATATTGTCAAGTGTCCACACTTTACCATTTTATTTTTTTGTAATTTTACTGATACATGATATCTGCAGTTTGGGAACCACTAGGATTCTAGGGGAAGGGCCTTCGAGGAACTCTCCATCTACCCTTAAGAGGGGAGAGCAGGTATTGATGAGTAAAGTTTAAACACATTTATGGGGGCTATTTAGGGTGAGAATTTGCTTGCACTGGATTAAGGGTCAGTGCACAAGTGAGCATGGTCCTTCTAACTCTTCCTTCCATGGGGCTTGAGGGTTCAGGGGTGCACAGTTCTCCCTCTGTGAAGAAGATCCAGTTCACCTTTTCCTCCTTTCTCTTTTTACACTTCTCCCTGAACTAAGCAATATTCCACAGTCCCTCACACATAGGCCTGTGGAGGATAAAAAACCATTTCGAGGGGATGACAGAGAAACCTTCTCTGGGTGGATTTTTTCTGCCTCTTTTCCAAGGCTAAGCCGGGGTTCTTTTGCTGGGAGTGGGGACCAGAGCCTCCGTAGGAACCAAGGCTCATTTACCCTGCCACTGCCGAGGAAAAGCATGGCTGAATTTAGGCAGGACTAGTACTGGTGGGCCTGGGTCCTAGATGCACTCCTTAATGGCTTCCTTTGGACAATGGTCTCAAAGTCCTCTGTCTTTAGTTCAGTCTATGACATCACTGGCTGTGTGGACCATTTAAGGTAAACTGACTGGGCAGACAACTCAGACCCCATAGGACTCCGCTGACTCAGGAGGTTGGGGTGATGAGTGAACTGGGAGAGGCTATCCAGTGACCAAGCAAAAGAAAATAGTTAGTGGGGTTATATCAGGAGCCTCAATTAAAATGCAGACATCCCCGGGTTCCTTAAGGAATACAGGTAGGATCAAATTTCCCTTCACACCTGACCATTCCAGATGGTGTTCCCCTCTTGAGTATACTCAAGGAACAGAGAGTTCTGCGATCTTATGAGAAGAAATGCTGGTCAGGCAGTGAGTCAGCAGAAGACAGAGGCTTTGTCTTTGGTTTCTGACTGTACAAATGACACAAATTAATTTTTTTTTAAAGCAAATGATATATACAGAGTGCTCACTTAATCACTCCATGCTGGGTGGAGGAAAGAGTCTGAAGGCGTGATTTGAGTACCTCATTCATCTCTGATCAAATTATGTGACATGTCATGTAACTACAGCTAGGGTAACCAGCTGTCCCAGTTTTCCTGGGACAGTCTTGGTTTTTGCACCCAAAGTTCCACATCCTGGAAACCCCCTCAATCCTGAGCAAACCAGGGTGGTTGATGACCCTAACTGTACCTCAGTTTTCCCATTTGTAAAATGGGAATAATTGCATGCTCCTGCCCCAGCTGCCTGTAGAGTTGGGAGTAAATGAGGTGACAGATGGGAAAGTGCTTTGAGAGTAATTCTGGACAAATTCAGGTAGCTGGATTGGACTAGGTAGCATAACTAAAGCTCACCTCTGCATTGGCACATGTACTACCTAGGACACTTCACCACTTTGTGGAACCCTAGTCATCTTACACGCTTCTGATGTGTGTTGTTCTCTGCAAATACTCCTGCAGTGACCCAAGGCAGAATGGACTGAGCCTTCTGGTCCCACTGTACTTGCATGTTTTATCACAGCAAACTCACCATTCCCTTATCCATCTCCACTCATCTAATCTGAGCTCTATTGGCAGGAACCCTGCACACTGCACAATAGCTAACACAGTAGCTGCTTCATAAATGTTTGTTGAATGAAGGAGTACTTTTTAATTTCTGAGATAAACCATAGGGGTTTCTTGAACCCCTCAAAACTGCACAGCAGTTTAAAATGTGCAAATATTTATTTCTGGCCCTGTAAATTTCTTCAGGGTTCTGTGAAGAAACCTGGTTAAGATCAGTGGATACAGCCCAGAGACCTGGATAGGGATCTGAAGTCTGGCTCCTCCAACAGGAATTCTAGAGACAGCAAGCATTTCTAAGGCAAGTGTGATGCCTAGCCCACCCCACATTGTGAGAAGCAGGTGTCAACAGTTCATTTGCAGCTCACAGTAAACCACATCTGGTCCTGTAATGCAGAAGCATTTGTCAGCAGCAGCAGGCACACAGGTCTGTGTCAGATACCTTGGAGATGCTTGACAAAAGATAACAGAGGGAATGAATGAAGGTCCCCCCGCAATTAATGGAGGGAGTGGAAACACTATTCAGTACAAGAGCCAGCTCACTGGTCTCATCTCAGCCACCCCTGGTTCAATGAAAGGAAGAAAAGCTGGGCCAATTCTAAGGACTGCGTGAACAGGATGCAGGGGAGGCCAGCAGGTCCGTTATTTTCTTGTGGACTTTTAAATACACAGGGTCACAATGCTGGAGAATTCTCCCCTTCAGTGACAGAGAATGGCTCCTGAGGAAGAGAAGAAAACTCTGCTCCTGCAGGTCTCCCACCTCCAGCCTGACCCTGCTGGCCCTCTCTCTTCTTCCTCTCCCTTTCCACTACCACCTCCAGCCCCTTATCTCTTGCAGCTCCACTGTATCTCTCATTTATAATGGGATTCCATGAGAGGTTTTGTTTGGGGAAGTGATTCCCTGCTGAAAACAGCAACAACAAAGATTGAAAAAGAATGCATGAATCACCCTTCCCTTCACTCCTGTATGGTATGCTTGCGGTGGCTTTTCCTGAAATACCTTCCTCCCCGTCTTCCGCCTGGCTGTTCTCTCTACTGGTTAAGGAACTGTTCAGGGAATGCTGCCTCCTCCTGGAGGCCTTTCTAGAGCTTTCACCCTGGGGATGGGCAAGATATTAATTCTTAACTGCATGTTTTCCTCACTTTGCCTTATTTATTTATCTATTTATTTTTATGGTACTTCCAGTCTCCTTTGTATTAGCGTTAGTTGTTAGTGGGTTGTGCCTTCTCTTTATCCTTCTCTCTTAAATGTGATCACTACTAAAAAAGTTGTATAGTTTATATAAAAATTGAGATTTCTAGTTTCTTTTGAAAAATGAGAATATGTGACAACATTCCTACATGTCAACATTAGACTGGAATGAGTGGAGACTGTCCCGTCTAGATAAGACACATAGCCCTGTTCACTAGTCTTCATCATTTCCTGTGATCCTCAGTGTCAGCTTTCATTTATAGCATTGTGTGATTGATAAGAGCATAGACTCTGAACTTGGACTATCTGGGTTCAAATTCTGGCTCTGCCACTTACTCGCTGTGTGAACTTTGACAAGTTAATTAGTCTCTCTGTGCCACTGATTCATTATCTGTAAAATGAGATTATTAATAGTACCTACTTCATTGGGTTCTTGTGAGGATTACATAAATTAGGAAATGCATATGAGAATTTAGAGATTGCTTGCTATAGATAGCAAGTCTTCAATAAATATTAACTATAATTATTATTTACCATAGTGTTTGCACTGTGGATTTGTTTCTTAGAGAAATATTGTCTGTACTCATGACTCTATTAAAAATGAGAAAACCACATAGGTTTTACCCCTGGCCCATTTTACTCGTCTTCTTTACCTGGCCCTGGGGTGTTTGAGGTTGCGGTCCCTGCTCTAGATGATGAATCTTGGAAGTGCTAATGTCATAGTTTATTCATCCTTGTTTCCCTTAAGAGTACTGACTTGGCATTTTGAAAATACTATACTTGGAATGTTGGTAGAAATAAATTGCATGACCATGGTCATGTACTTGCATTTGTTGCCTTTAGGATGTTTATTAGTAATGGCCAAAGAGACCTACAAGTTGTCAGTTGGTTTAATTTGTGTTATGTGGTCTATATAGTAGGACTAGTATTTCCTGATTCTCCATGAATCAGACAGACCAGGCACAGCAACTGATTTGATTATGTGCTCAGAAAGTCATCATGTACATCGAAGTTGGCTGGGTAGGAACTGGTCTATGTGATAAGCAATCAGCAGGGGTTTCCTGCATGCTAAATTCTCTGCTAGATTCTCTGGGAGAGTTGGCCTTTGCTTCGTTGACCTGGAAATATGGGTGGAGGGCAGAAGGAAGCAATACAAGTGAAGATACAGGAGTGGGGGAAAGTTGTGTTTGTGGGCCACAGGGAGACTGGCTTGACTAATGCAACTATTTTTTTTTTTTTATTCCTCTAAAGGAATACATTTTATTCCCATGGGAATAAAGAATATGATTAAGAGTTCATTGTGCTCTTTGTTTACTAGACGTTTGTTCTGAGGAAGGATGAATAATATATGCAAATTTCCCTGCCTGATTTTCTTTGTTTGGGGACTCTGCTGGTTTACTGTGTGAGAGGAAGTTGGTTCCTTTGGTTAGGATTCACCTGGGCTTTTGCCCCTTTCACTCTGAGGAACAGGCTGATTAGATATGATTGTTAAGCCATGATCTTAGCCTGTGGGACCATTCACAAAATGTTACAGGGACAGATGGCTGGGAATTTCTCAGCATGGGTTCAGCTCAGGGCTACCCCTTATTCCTTCCTTTCTGCCTGCCCTCCGAGACTGGGCTTCTCAGACACTGGAAATTTCTACCTTCAGGCATATAGAGGAATGCAGTGTGGCTGTTAGCTGAACATTTGGTATTCTGAAATTTCTGCCATATTGCAATGTTAACAATCGTAGTGTGGTGTAGCCCAGAGAAGGTAATTGCCACTAATTTGGGTCAGATACTCACACAAACAGAAGAGATGGTGAGTGTGGAGGGCCGAAAGGGAAGGAGAACAGGGAAAAAAATGGATTCATATTCAAGAACTCCTCATACACCATGAACTCTTCATAAGGGATTCATTGTATTCACAAGACAATCTTATGAATCTCATAGGAAGATCTCGATTGGAAGATGAGAAAATTAAGCTTCAAAGACATTAAATAAGGATAATTAACACTTGTCAGTCATTTTACTATGTGCCAGGCACTGTGCTAAACACTTTGTATTATCTCATCTAATCACACTTGACAACTATGGAAATAAATGCCAGAGTTACCTCCAGTTTTTTACATTTGGTGAAAACTAAGTCTTAAGGAGATGAAGTCACTTGTCCAAGAAACAGTTGTTATTAACTAGCAGACCTGGGATTCATACCAGTCTTGACTTCAGGGTGATACTGCAGCTTGCTACTTTCTCAAGATCACATGGGTCGTAAATGCGGGAGGCAGAATTTGAATTCAGGTCTCAGGAACACCAAAACACATTTGCTTTCCAAACCCATAAGCCCCAAGTGGCAGAGCTGAGACAGATATCCAATCCGTCTCTTTCCTGGTCTTCCTTTGTATTACAGCAGCTGCCTTCCTAGAAAACGCAAAAGACCTAGCAAGTCTGAAATTAAGTTGCTGATGGGAGGGAGAGAGAGGAAAAAAAGAGATGCTATTTTTGACCAAGACAGCCTCTTAAAAGAAAGCAACATGCAATTTGTGTATCAGCAGGAGGAGCAGTGCTTCAGTGGGCAAATCACAGCCTGCACTGAGCTGCTGTTCTCACCTAGGTAAAGGCCATTCATTTCCCTTATTTATCTTCCCAGATACATCCCTGCCACCTCGCTTTCACCACCTTCCTCCTCTCTCTCTTTAATGTGTTGCTTTGCCATTTATGAGCTTCTCAACCAGGCATTATAAAATGGAGCTCTAGGATGGGCATGGTGGCTCATGCCTGTAATCCCAGCACTTTGGGAGGCCGAGGCGGATGGATCATGAAGTCAGGAGTTTGAGACCAGCCTGGCTAACATGGTGAAATCCCGTCTTTACTAAAAATGCAAAATTAGCTTGGTGTGGTAGTGCACGGCTGTAATCCCAGCTACTCGGGAGGCTGAGGCAGGAGAATCACGTGAACCTCCAGGAGGCGGAGGTTGCAGTGAGCTGAGATTGCGCCATTGCACTCTAGCCTGGGCAAAAAGAGTGAAACTCCATCTCAAAAATAAATAAATAAATAAAAAATGGGCTCTAACCAGAGTTACTGCCCATTTGTCTTTGTGATTTCACCAGAATCCTCCAAAACAAATAAGCAGCGTGGATCTGCAGCCTAGCCTAGTGCTTCAAGACAGAGTGCTTGGTTTGTGGAGGCCATCTGACATCTCATGTCCCCTGATGTTTTCCCTGGACGTTTTGAGGATGCCACCTTTTAAGGCAGTGATGCGAGTCTTGATTAGCACAAAGGTGGGCTGTGGAAAGAATGAGGATTTCAGAGTCAGGGTTTGTACCTAAGCACTGTTCCACAAATCACTTTGAGAACCTGGGTAAAGCATTACCCTCTGAATCTTAGTTTTTTAAACTATGAAAGGGAAATGATAATATCTAAATCAAAAGATGAGGGAAGGATTAATGTATGACCATCACAGGGCACTGAATGCATTGCCCAGCACATCATTGGTATAAAACGAATGTAAGGCTCCCCTACCCCACCCTCTAAACTTATGGCACAGTTGGTTTAAAATGACCTGTTTTACATTGCTGAAAGAAACAAAAAACATATAGAATTTTCAGGAGCATAAAAATCTTTAGGGATGTTTTTGGTTCAATCTGTTATGGACAAGCAGGGGAACCTTAATATGCATCAGATGCACAGTTTTGCATTTTTATGTAGTTATAGGGTAAGACATCCACCTGTGATATGGCTCTGATCCTGGAGAGGTTCCTTATTCCCCACAAGTACAAATGGTGCAGTCAAGCAAGCATTCCCTAGGGAATTCAAATAGAGCAGAAAGAAAGCTTTCTGCTGTTTTCTTATTTGTATATTGTATAACCTGTTTTCTTATTTGTATATTGGTTGGGCAGGACCAATGCTATTTGTGTGTGTGCGTGTATGTGTGTGTGTGTGTGTGTGTGTGTGTGTGTGTGTGGTGGGGGGTGATGATTAAATAATCTTTATTATCTGAATAATCATCCCTTCCTCATAATTTCCCTCCTTACATCTTTGAGAGGGCATTCTTGCCTAATGGGTGAGAAGAGGTCTGGAATCAGGTTGAATTATGTGATGAAGGTGAAAACAATATTACCTCCACGGTGTTGTTAGGATTAAATAGGATAATGCACATCACTTCTTAGGAGTGCCTGAGATGAGTCAGTGTTCAATAATATTAACAACAAGTCTTATCACCACCCCTAAAATGCTAAATAAAGCGCTTGCCACTCCTTTGTCTGGACTTTTGCACCGGACTAGCGCACCAGTCTCTTAGGAAGCTTTCTTGGTACTCTCTGAAATGCATCCCACATGTCTTGACCTGAGAAAGCTTCTCTCCTTTGCAAACCTCCAGTCTCTATTGAAACACACACACACACACACACACACACACACACACTCTCTCTCTCTCTCTCTGTCTCTCTGCCTCCCTCCTTCCTTTGTCTCTCCCTCCCAACCTCCCTCACTCCCAACCTCCCTCCCATTTTTTTCTATCTCTCCTTTTATCCCCCCATTTCCTCCTTCTCTTCCTTTCTCTCCAGCTCTTCTGAGGATGCAAATAAATCCAGCCTCTCCACTCAGAGGGCTTTGTCTCTGATCAGGCCCGACCTGGGTCACAGAGTTCATAGGGTTACCATGACAACAAGCATCCCTGGCTACCCATCAGGAGGCAAGGACTAATTGAAAGGGACTGTCATTTCCCTGGGACATACTGTATTTATCAGCAGCAGCAGGCTCTGCACCAGTACTATACTATGGGAAGACAGGCTGTTACTTGTGAGAGTGGGAGGGAGGGAGAAAAAGAAATATTAGGGCTTTATTTTTTAGCATGTTCTCTGTGGGGGAGGACCACAAATTGTTCTCAGAGATATTTTATTTCTAATGCAGCCAGTGTGTGTGAGGGGGATGAGGGTGGGGCTCATATGCATTTCTGATGAACACAGTTGGTTTTACAAAAAAGAAAAAAATAAGTTCTTTGGCTCAAAAGTGACTTTTTAGTAGGTCTAATGGGAGGAGGAGAGGGGTAGAAAATGAACACTAATAAGTATCCTCTGTAATGGGCACTTCATGCTATTTCATCAGATCATCAAAGCAGCTGCACAAAATTATTATTCCAATTTTTCAGATAAGAAGACAGACGTTTATGAAGTTCTAGTGACTTACCCAGTGAGGTCAAACTCTGGCAAGGTAACGGGCCTTATACTTGAGTGGAGGTGATCTGACTCCAGGAATTCGGGTTGTGAACCATTCCATGAGGATTCCTGGTCATCTCCCATCATATTCATCCCCCTATTCCTTCAGGGCCTCCTCCTCATGTTCTGCCTCCTCAGACCACTAGCACATCGCCTCCCTGACCTCTTCTAGCCCTTGTTCCCAGAGTGGACTGCTGTTTACTTAGAACAGAGGCACCTGGGGGACTTGTTCAAATTGCACATTCCTGGATCTGCAAAATCAGAAGTCTCAAGGATTAGAGTCTAGGAAAGGGCATTTTAAACCAGCTCCCTAGGTAATTTTGATACACACCGAAGTTGGGAAGGGCTCTTTAGAGCAATCGACTTAATGCCACACAAAAAAGCACTTGCTTATTTGTTTCCCAATTATTTTCTGGGTCAATGTGATTCTCTAAAAGAAGAGAACTCTCTATGGCCTTCTGTAGCACTCAGGTTAGCATTAGGCAAAAAAAGGATTCCAGGGAAGGCCTACTGGACTTCATGGAAGATACAAGCATGTTTTATCGTCCCAGTATGGGGGATGAGCAACTAGGAGGAAACCCTCAGTCCCTGAAAGTGACAGCCTTCCCTACAAAACCTTGGTGATACCTCTTCCCGACTCATAGCCTTAACCACCCTCCTTTTCTTTAGCCAGATGCCAATATACACAAGCAACTTTTGCTAGATATTTTCCAGCACAGGGTTGTGTGAAGAGAGAAAAAAATATACTCAATGGGAATGCCAGTGAGGCTAAAATGGTGATGAACAATTCTGAGCTCATGTGATATGAAAAAATTGATAAAGGCCAGATATAGTCAATGCAGCAGGGAGTAAGTAAAGGTGATCGACGGCCTTCATCATTCTTGCTGGTGTGCCGGAAAGCTTGTGTCCTTTCCAGGGATGCCTTTCTTAACCAGGTAGGCATTTCAGAGGTAAAATTGAGGTGGCAGCAATTATTCTGTTTGGGAGGTAAATCCCGTATTTTTCCATTTTCTGTCCTTGCCAAAATCAGTTTGTACCCAGTCAAGCCTTAGGCAGGGGCACAAAAGCCCCAGAAAGCTTACGTAACAGACTTCTTTTCCAAACCTCCCAGCTTTAAAGTGAAGGATATGACTAGTGACGAACATAGAGCCCACCACTTCTCCCAAGTGTCTGCATCCCGTTGTAACTCATGACCACATTCATTATCTCCTACCAAGATGACCACAACAGGTTTCTAAATGACTTCCTTCCCTGTGATCCTCCTCTCTCTGATGCGTATCGCAAACCACCGCCAGGGTAATCTCCAGGAGCCTGTCCAATCATGTCCCTCCCTGTAAATGACTTTCAGTGGCTCCTACTGACATAGTAAAACATGCAGAGACATTTGAGATTCTTCACAATATGACCGCAGCCAATCACTCCTACCTATTAATGAATTCTCTGGTTAAAGTGGACCCCTTGTTGTTCCTGAAAACAAGCCCCATGTTTTTTTTTTTCCGTTTCTGCATTTGCTCTCTTTTCCTCTTCAGCCCCTAATATGAAGCCTCCTCTCCCCACTTCCCATCTATCACAATTCTTCCACAATTCTTCCACCATTGCAAATCCTACCACGCAAACGTTGACTCTCCTCCTTTTTTTTTTTTTTTGAGTGTTTCTGGCTCTCTTATGGCATTGGTAGGATAATAGGTATCTACATAATTCTGCTCATGAGCTGTATTTGATGATGCATTATTTAAGCACTGGGATTGCATCTCTCACTGCCATTCCCTGCAGCATTATGCACAGTGCTTTGTGTGAGAAGGTATTTGGAAACCAATCGGTGAAGCTAAATGGAAAGCACAGAGAGTGGGTCTCAGACCTTCCTGGGTGCCCATTACCCGGTAAGCTGCAGGGTGAAGCTGTACTGCACTCCTGCCCCCTTGGCCCATACATCTGGCATAAACAAGACACATGACAGAAGACAAACATGTCATGATCACAGAGACCAAAGAAGACTCCATGTAACCACAGTCACAGCTAAAGACCAGACTTTGACCAATGTCCTGATTAGGGTCTAACTCTTAGCAAATCCGTTAAACTCCTGGTAGGTAGTTTGTGAAAGAGAATCATCAGGTGACATTTTAACTGAGGCCAATCTGGTGTGGATTCTTTCTTAGGTTGATAAAACGTGGGCTAAGCCCCCTCACTTAGGAAATTTGAACACATCAAAGGAAGTATTCATCATAATAAAGAAAAGACATTTCAGTTTAGGCTAGCAAGATACATTAAGTTGGCACCAAAAGGGCCAATAGATCATAATTAGTGGATTTACCAATTGCCTTTCCCTAGTGAGTGACGTTGGCTGCATAGGTCTTTATCTACAACCTGAGGGCTTGTGAAACATAACAGCCCCTCTCCCACCCCCAAACATGCAGTGACAGCCAACAAACAGCATCTGTTTCAAAGAAACACCACCTGTCCAAATGGAAAATCAAGGATTGAACCACCTTGCTTCATCAGAGTATTTGTTTCCAGAGCAGAAGAAACAAACAAATAAACAAAAGCCCCATTCTGTCACTAACACAGCTTTTTAACACTCTATGGGGACCATGGCCTGGCTTCTGCCAAGTAGACTTGGCAAGTTTTGGAGGAACATTTGGGCCTTAGATGTCAGTTATCTGATCTTCTGAAGCATAACTGGGTGATCTGTCTTGGAGAAATCTGGAGCTTGTTCTAGGCAGGCTGTAAGAGAGTGAATGCCCCACAGGCACAGTGAAGTCTGGCTTTATGGAGAGCAAGTAGTGGAGGAGGACAGCCAGAAAGGTCCTCTCTTGATACAACTACAGGCAGTAAGCCTGGAGGACATCTGCCTGTGAAAGCTGCAAAAACCCTACCTTTGATAGGGCTGAAGAGAAGTTTATAATAATACCTGGAACAAACTCAAGCACTTTTTTTGTAGTGTAAACACTTCCAAAGAGTTTGCAGCCTTGTGAGTAGTTAAACAGTCCTTTAAAAAAGTATTTTTTATGATTCAAAATAATTTGAACAAAATTGGACTTCTTCTGCCAGGTTATCTTTAAGCATATATCAGCCCCTCTTCAATGGGTCCAAAGGAAGCACAAATGTCTTTACTCTTCTCCTTACTGTCCACCTCTGTCATGCAGAATGGTTTCCTGGGATCAAGTCAGTGGATCTAGGATTGCTGGAACAGGCACATGTGTTTGTGGTATTTGGTTTGCCATAACTCTTTGGAGTTTGACCATGTCTTGGGTCAAATGGCATCATATGGGGTGTGAAAAAGAGTTATAATGGAAACTTGGCTGGAGTGTGTGTGTGTGTGTGGGGGGAGGGGGGGTTGGGGTGTAGGAGAGGCGTGGTTACTCATATTTTCTGCAACCATTCTTTAATGGTGTGTTTTGTGGAACCTCTATATTATTGGTTGCTAGCAGTGTTCCCTTTTAATGCACAGATGAGAAGCAGAATCCCATTAAGGGTAGAGGAACTTTCCTAGGCCAGACACCTGAGGCCCTTTTAAGACGAGCGTTACTCTTTTGTTTTTGAATCAGGAATTATGATGGCCCCATGACTACCATCAGGTTTGCACTGGAGAGAAAGGAGCGCTGTAGGAAGACAGGAGCATATGACCATCATTTGGGTGTTCTTGACTTGCAGTTCAGTCGTCAGTGATCTGTATTTGAAACATGTTGCTTTTTCATTTCTCTCTCCTTTTCTTTTGCTCTCTTTTTTGAAATCAATAAATGGCTTGTTATGTGTTTACAGAGATGTATGCAAAAGAATTAGTTTTTTATTATGAAGCAGAATTATTTTCATTGTTTGTTCTAGAAAGTGTCTTTCAGCAAGCAAATCCATAAAAGCAGGGTTACTCCTCAAAGGAATGGTGCTGGGTGTGTTAAAGTCAGTGTCCATTATCACCTTTTGCCTTCAGAGTGGTGAGTGGTTGCTCTGGACTTCAAAGGTCTGGTTTTAATTCCCAAGTTGGTGGTTATTTGGCTCATGTGAATAGGTGCAAAGGACCTGGCCCAAGTCCAGTCCCCTGCCTTTAATGGTGCTGTCATTCATAAAGCCCAGTGCAGCATTAGAGTGAGTTACAGCCATAGGCTCTGAAGTCAGACTGCCAGGGCTTGAAATCTGGCTTCTACCTTATTAGCTGTGTCAACCTGATCAGGCAACTTAACTCTTACTCTGTTTCCTCATCTGTAAAATGGAAATAATGGTACTTCATAGTCATGTTGCAAGGGTTATAAGAGATAATGCATGTACCACGGTGAGTGGCACTTAATAGGCACTGACTCAATGATGGTTTTTATTATAGTGGAAAGTCATTTGAGTGCCAAATGGCCTGAGTTTTAGGTTCATGTCACTCCAGTATTTCCAGTATCAGGAAATATACAGTATTTCCTGAGTTGTTACCTTGTTCCAGGAAACTATGTGTGGGATGGGATGACAGAGGTACTCTATTGATTGGACAAATTATGTTATGTGTCTGTGCTTTGTTTTCTTAACTTCACATCCATGTATTTATGTGGATGTCCTTGACTCACGAAACCTTCAGTAAATTGTAATATTGAGGTATCACTGATGTTCCTGGAACTATAAAAACTCACTCTCTACTTTGAGTCTTTCTAGGCTGATGATCAATAAGTTTCTGAGATAAAAGCCTCTTCGTTGCCAAACACTATCATCTGAATCCCCTTTGAACTTTGCTCAAACTTGTAAAGAGTCTTTTAGATTCAACCAGGCAAAAACACATGACTGATAAATACCAGGCCATTTGATTTGTCTTCATTAGTTCATATTCAATTATGTCTACACTTCTCCAGGTATCTTTATTCTCTCAATTTTCCGATAATTACTTAAAGTTCTTCAAAGTATTTTCATTCCTCTTTGAATAAAGACAAAAGTTCTTTATAAAATTCTTCCCCACCTCATCCTCCAATCTCAGCTTAAACATTTCTCCTCTGTATTATTACCTGTGTTCCAAGAACACTTAGTGGCTTTTGGTTAATCGACTGTGCAATGATTTCTTGCCTTAGAATCTTTGCACATGCTATTTATTCTGCCTCAACTACTCTTTTCTTCCCTTCTCCTCACTTCACTTAGTTAACTCCTATTAATCTGTCAAACTGCAGCTTGAAAAAAACATCTTTGGACCTGTCTTCCCAGCCATACCCCACTCATCCTGCAGACCAAATTGAACCTTTTTATATCTGGGTGCTTTGAGATCTTCTCTTTGTCTTTATTGTTCTGCTTTCAATTGAATCAGCTGCTGATTTTTATCTATTTATTATGCTTAAGACTGATTTTCAAATCTGAGGATTTATGCTTTCCATAAATTCCAGAAAATTTCTTTAAAATATTGCCTCCACTTCATTCTCTCTTGTCTCTGTCTGGAACTCACAGCAGACTCAATTTTTTTCTTTTTCATGTCTCTTAAACTCTGTGTTACATTTTCTTTTCATCTTTCTGTGTGTTACTCTGGGGAATGTCCTTTGATTCCCCCCTCCCCCACCTCTGATGTTTTTGATTACCTTATGTTTTTAGTTGTACTGTTAATTGTTGCTCATGTAGATTGTCACATAATTTATAACTTTGCCTTGCTTAGCGTAGTCCCAGAATAATAAGCTTACGCTTTTAGTTCTAGTTTTGATTTGTTTTTTCTTTTTGATCCTAGGAATTTCTTAACTTGCACTTAAAAGGCTATTTGTTATATCTTATCCAGCATATCTCGTTGTTTCATAGTGAGAATTTTGTTCTGCTACATTGCAGGAAGTAGATGTTCTCTAGGTCCCCTTTTATAGACTGTCCTAGTATCTATTAGAATTGTCATTAAATGTTAATTATTTCTTTAATGTCTGTCTCTCCTGCAAGAATGTAGTGGCATGAGGACAGGGACTATGTCTATCTTGTTCAAAATTGTAGCTCCAGCTACTAGCCCAGTCCCCAGAACAATGTTGGGGCTTAGTATTATTAAGATAAATGAATAAAGTGGAGGCAGAGGTAGACCCAGATGTCATATCCAGATGGGTTAGGAATCCCTCTCCATCATTTTGCAAACTTTATTAATCCTTCTTACCCTTCCTGAAATGCAACTCTTCCCCCAAATGATTTAATCCTTCTGTAATTGACATAATGTCTCATAGGTGACTTCACAGTGTACTGTTTTCAGTGACCTTCAACATAAATTATACCATTTGAACTCACAACCACTTCAGACCTAGGAAGGGCTGGGCCAATTATCCTCCCTCTACAGATGAGGAAACTAAGGGCTGGAAGATGATATGTTTTACCTTTTGTAAGACAGTCAGAATTAAATCTAGGTATTGTGACTCCATGTCTACAGGACTCTTCCTCAGCTGTTGAGAATGAATATCAGGATTTCTTTTCGTGAAAGTAAAGTCCACTCTGCTTCTTTACCAAACTGTCTATATCTTGCTAAATAAATCAGTCTCTAGGTAAGAATAGGTGCTATAATTAATTTGGTGCTATTCATTAGATGCTATTTCGATTTCCACAGCCAGAGTCTCAGGACTCGAAAGATTTGATTTTTCATTTGGACAACATGTTTATGTTTCTTTTGAGACAAACATTATAAACCACCTTCTGTCAAAGAATTCAGGTTGCTGGAGAACTCTGTTCATAGCGTTGTTGGATGCAGGGGTGTCTGGTAAAGGATGGGGTGTTACAGATCACACGACAAAAGCACAAGGTTCATTGATGTTTCACGCACTTGGAGGAGGAAGGTGAGGCATGGGGAAGAACACATGGGCAGTGACAGTCACAGCAAGCTGAGGCCCCCAGGTCAGTTTCCAACCTCAGGGCTGAAGATCTTGGGTGGCTGGAATCTTTCAGGCCCATAGGTGTTGAAGAAGAGCCCCCTCAACAGCTTGCATTGTGGCATTGGAGGCTTGTAGCAGACACAGAAGCTTCATTCCTGAGATAGGGAGGGGAGAGGGAGTACCAAGGAAGCAAATCTTGGCTACTTACCTCAGGGCAGACCCCTTGGGTGTTGCAATGCCATAGCCTTTGGAATCCAAGTTACCTCCCACCTTCATGGTGTCACAGGGTTTCCGCTGCTCAATGTACTCATTCATGGTGGACTCCAGGAGGTAGGCATATTTGCCTTTGGATTTCCTCACTCGAATCATCCCCTCCTCTGTGGTCCGCACAAAAACTGATGGCTCTGCTGACTTCATGTATGTCCACATCTTCTCAAACACAGCAATTTTAGACCTCTGGTAGGGACAGAAACAAAGCTGGAATTAAGTGCGCTTGGAATTGGGGTCGGTGCACACATTAATGAAGAGCTGAGTGTAGCTTGATCACACATTCATGAGCGAGATTAGCTCAGGAAGAAACAAATTATGAGTGATTGCAAAATAAGAGGCTCTAATTAGTACCAGTAGGTTCCAAAGTACAAATATCTTGCAAATTCAGAATGAACAGAATAGCTCAGATCTTTTAATTACTTCTGAGTAATTATATTCCTCCTAAACAAGGGGAGAATTAAGAAACTGGGGCCCTGCCTGACTTTTAAATACATTAAAGGACCTATCTATTGTTCAATAAGGCCATATTTATACTAACCAGAAGAAATAGAAAGCTGAATATCAGTGGAATCTGATTTCATTATTGGAAGAAAGCACTGAAGAATTTCTGGATCATGGGTAGACCTGTCCTCAGAATGTATTAGGTTGATGCAAAAGTAATTGAGGTTTTTTGCCATTACTTTTGATGGCAAAAAACCTCAATTACTTTTGCACCAATCAAATATATTGTTGTCTAATAAAGCTGATAACTTGGGACCAAATATTGTCATCTGCTTACATTTAAAAACCTTCCAAATATGGCCCACCTGCCTTCCGTATTTCCCCCTAAACTCACCTTGGGCCTTCTCCCCTTCAGGACTTTGCTTGCACTGTTTTTTCCACTTGAGATGCTGGTTCTGTCTAACCAAATCCTTGTTTCATAGAACAGAATAAATCCTATGTATTTGGAGTCCACCTCAGTTCCAAAGGCAATGGTTTTTAGACTCTAGTAGGCACCATTATCATGTACATCGATTGTAAAAATGCATATTCCCTAGCTCTAAATCTAGAGATTCTGATTCAGCAATTCTGAGGTGGGACCTAGAATACATCTTTTTTAGGAATTGTCCCCAAGAGATGATTCTGATCTGTATGGCCTGTATGGTCCTCACTTTGAGAAACAGTATTGTGAGGGCTGATACTCTTATGGGACACACTGCCTGGGGCACTCACTGGATGGCCAGGCTAGACTGCAAAGATTGCAAGTCATCTCTCCTTGTATGTAGGTCTCAAGTATGTGGAAGCTACCTGAGGGAATGTCTTCCCTCCTGTGGGTCCGTCACAGGGTCTAACTGAGTACCTTGCACATGGTAGGCCCTTAGTCAGGGCCCATGATCCAGGACCATGATCAAACTTCTCATCTAGCATACTGTTTCTAAACGGTGACCTTTTCCCAAAGGGTAGATGTATTTTAGGGATACTACAGTCTGGCTATTACAAATGTTTTCTAAATGGACAAGTGTTAAATACATGTAACGGACTACTTTTTAAAAATAGTTGTTGCTAGAGTCATATATTCTATATAATTCAGTTGTTAATATATAGATTTCAGATTTATTTAATATAAAATTATCATTATACATGCAGCATATCACTTTTTTCTGTATACAAGTATCAGGTTTATTTCCTTGATATTAGCGCACGTCAACTGTTGGTAAGATATTGATCTACAATTGTCATTTGAGTCAGCTGATCAATAAAGACATTCGGGGCCCAGGAAAATCATAGATCTTGAGGGAAAAGTAATGGAAATAGTTGCTATTAAAACTTCAGTTTTAATAGCCTATAATTAGATAAACTATATCACTCGTTTTACAGTCCGGTTTACAATCTAGAAAGGACACTGGACTGGCTGTGAGGAGCCCTGGATATCAGTCTTAGTTCTACTTCTCACTCATGGGTTTGTTTATGGAGAGTCCCTTCTCTTTGGGCCTTAGTTTCCCCATCCATTCCATAGGGAGTTTGGGCATTATAATCTTTAAGTCCCTGGCTAGCTGGAAGTATCTGATTCTTTACCTGAAGATACGTCATTCAAGCAACAATGTCAATGTGAGAAAGAAGAAGAAAGAAGGGAGAAAAGGGAGGGAGGATTCCAAGGTTAGGGGAGGAAATACCCAGAACTAATCATAAGGTCTGCCAATGTATTTAATATTCTCTCACAGGAAACAGGAAAATGTATAAATTCAGCTGTGACCAGATTTGCAGATAATCTTCCAGGCACAAATCAACAAAACACACAGCAGGGCAATTGCAAGATGCAATTTGACCTGACAGTATGGACACAGCAGGGAACTGGGCTGTTGACAGGCAGAGCTGAGGAGCCTTCTGGGCAACAGTATGCAGAAAATTAATATGTCCTCTCAGCCTCACCCCAGTGCCCCAAATGTTAAGGCTGTGCACACAGACACTTGGGATGAACTATCAGGAAAATCTAATCTCCAGGAATGTGAAGGTAGCATGAGTGGCAGGGAAGATTGGAAGCATACTCAGGGTATTTGTTCTTGGATCTCTCCTATCATCCGCAGCTCCCATGACTCTTCATACATCTTAATTAAACTGTCGATGGAGGATTAAGCATCTCTGGGCTGGGGCTGCCAAGAAGTTCTGGGCTGTCATGGGGACAAGAAGCCAGCTTTTTCAGAGACTGGAGTAGAAGAATTCTTGTCTCACTATTCCCTCCTTTTGCCTTGTGGGGGTGGTAGGTAACCTTATCTCCCCACCCACCAAACTCCTGGTGGGATAATTATCCAAGGTCAGAGTCACAGAGATGGAAAGGCTTATGCATGGGACATATCTTGGCAGTACTCTCCTTTTACAGGTAAAGAAACTGAGGCCCATGATGTGGCAATAAACTGTCAAATGTCATGCAGTTTGTTAGTGGCAGAGCCAAGAGTCCCTGACCTCCTGATTGCACACATTGTGCCTTTCCACTGCAACCAGCTGCCTCCCTCATTTTAGGCTTTATATCTTATTAGCTGAAAGACGTTGGGCAAGTAGCATAACCTTTCTGAGCTTCAGTGTTCCTCTTCTGAAAATAGTAATAATACTGTGCACTTCACAGTGTTGCCGTGGAGATTATATGAGAACACAGGCATAACCCAGTGCCTGGCACAAGAAGGCATTCTGTAAGTAGTGCAATGACTACTAATAATTATGCCTTTTTTTTCAGGTTTTACTTTAGGGTAGGAATGCCTCATACCTGGCTTTCTTGGTACCAGTTTCCCTTCCTGTATACATGAGAGACACTGATATCAATCAAAGAATCCTTTCACATCAAGCCCAGATGTGACCTCAGAATCTCTAGGCAACCACTACTGACCTGTCAAAGTAAGTACATGGACTACAACCAATTTGTCACCAATGTAGTAGGCCTGGGCACAGAACTTGTAGAATATGCACTGCCCTGGTTCCAGGTTCTTAACTTTGTGCTGTGGACAAGAGGCAGTAATATGTCAACTGACGTAGTGATTAACAAAGACTTTTGAAATTTTAAATCCCAGCTGTGCCTCTCATTAGGTAGGGCATGACCATTTTCTTCTCTGGGCCTCAGTTTTCCCAACTATAAAATGGTACAGTTAGACTAGATGTGTCCACAAGCCCAGCTGTCATCCTGAGTGATCTTTTTAAAAATGTTTGTCAGTTTAATGACACCACCACATTAAGACCATGTGGTTCAGTGACAGGAATACTTGGATTGGAACAAGAAAACTCAGATTTGGTACCCACCCCTGACACTTGCATCAAAAGAATTTCCCAAGTTTTAATTTCTTATCCGCAAAGTGGCTGCCACAAATACCTCTTCTGCCTGAGGTCACAGGTGAAACAAAAATGAAACCATAGGTGCAAAAGTACTTTGAGGACTGGTGCATGTTGTCTATGCTATAAGGATGAGAGCATTGTTAAGTGAATTAGATGGTTCCCTAACTGCATTAGCAGGGGTTGGGGCATAGGACAGGCTTTATGGACAAGTAGAAACAGGCACCTTCTTCACACTTTTGTTGCAGGCTAAAAATGTCAGGGAATTGTAATGAGATTGTAAGTGGCTTTTTTATTAACTGGCTGGGTGAGCTTAAGCAAGTAATGCCTCTCTCTAAAATGACAGCCTCTGACTAGGTGACCTCTAAGGCACCTTCCTGCTCTGACACATTGAAAATTGATGATTTTAGCCTTGGAGTTAGGATCAATGATGCTTAAGGCTTTGTTCCCTTTCCTGTCTGTCATACAGAATACAAAGCCCATGGTCAAGAACCTGCAGCATCTCCCACAGTGGTTTGTTCGGGGCCTGGAGTTTGCTCCAAGAAGTTGTAGTGAGATAACTAGGTGAGTCTGTACAGGATCCCTTCTCTTTTGCCTGAGGCAATATGGCAGCGTGCTGTCTCTGCTCCTTCTGCTACTAATTAGCTGTGTGATCTTAGGTGATTCTTTTAATTTTCTGATCTATAAAATGGGGACCTATCCTAACTCTGAGCTATAAAATAGGGACAATCTCTAACTCATCTTTAATGAGAGGATTAAATGAGATAATTTGTGTAGGGTGTGCTTAGCACAGGACCTGGTTCATATGTAGGCGGTAGCAAATGTTTCTTATTATTCTTATTTGATCCATAGATGGTAGTTCCATGTACTGTTTCTTCAACTCCTGGGATAAACATCCCTAAAGTCCAGGGAAACCACAGGTTTTCCTGCTTCTCGGTGTCTGTCCAAGTTGTTCCTTTTGTCTAGGTTGTACTTAGCCTACTCAGGTCTGGCCTGGCTTTGTGATATCTATAAATGTTTACAGGTCTACCCTGGCTTTGTGATATCTATAAATGTTTACACGTCTACCCTGTATGGCTTTAGTCTCTACCCATTCTTCAGAATGACTCCCAAAGGTTTGCATTTCCTTGAAGTCCTAATGGTATATGGAACCTCCACTGATTGTTCCTTGTTTTGCCTCTAATTTTAGATACCCTATCTCTTTTAGTCTTGTTAAGCTCTGATATAGACATTGTTCTCCTCATTACATGGATGAATGGAAATGGTGTCACAGAGGCTAAGTGTACAGAACAAGTAAGGGATGGAGCCAGGTTCTGGGCCTCCATCTGCTGAACTTGAAGGCTGTGCTCCTAAGCTCTCTGCTCCTTTGCTTCCGCTCACTGTCTTCTGCCAAAACACATCTCACCACCTCCACTCCCACTTCACATTTTCTCTCTCTCCTGGCACCATTTAATAGATCACCTTTTCCAGTTTTTTTTTTCCCATATACTATCCTCTTATTCATCAAGTCAACAAACATTCACTGAGCTCCTTCTATGAGATAGGAGGGGACACAAAGAGCATCAGGTCCAGCTGTTGTCCGTAAGCTGTTCCTAATTGATTACTAACTAGACTATAAGGTTTCCGTGATAACAGAGAGGAAATTGTATTTGATGTCTTTTGCAGCCCTCAGAGCATTAGCACAGACTGATACAGGCAAGGGATCCAAATCAATGCAGGAGCTTTGAAGCTTCTACAAATGTAGAAATGTAGATTTCTCAGGGGGGTGGTAGAAAGCTTAGAAATGTCCTGAGTTTCCCTGACTTACAGTCAGTTAAGCACTTGCTCTGGCTGCCTGTTATCTCAGGCTATATAATGAGAAGGACATTTTAATGACAGTTGTGGTTCCCTTTTGTGAAAGTGTCTTGGGACAAAGGATGTCCCTACCCTGAAGAACTCCTTAGTAGATCCTGCTTCCAGCGTCCCGTAGGCAATTTCTGTCTGCTTCGCTAGGTCCTCTGCACTCTCAATGGGAGACACCATCCTCTCCACGGTCAGGAAGGCGGCCAGATTGGCTGTATATGAGGAGATGATGATTAAGGTGAAGAACCACCAGACGCCACCAACGATGCGACCAGACAGGGACCTGCAGGCCAAAGGGAAGAGGCATCAGCAGCATGGACATCAACTGTGGAAAGCTCTGGGGAGGGACTGAGCACGGGTCCGGGGCTTGGCAGCAGAGCGGTCAGGCCCTATTGCACCCTTCTCATCTGTCAGCAAGATGTGAGAATTCAAATGTTGTTAGAGAGACTCCATATTTTGTTCCTTATTACGGACATGGATCTGTGGGGTTGCTGTCCTTCAGGGGTGATAAAGCCCACATGCACGTATTCACACTCCCTTTTACACATATATAACAGCAAGACACATGATGACAAAGACACAGATATGTCAACACTTGCCCACAAAAATCACAAATATGTATAAGCAATTACATACACAGCAAATGTTTTGTGCAAACATGTATGAATGCAAATGCATTTATACACATGATGCAAACATTTGATTGGTTTAGACATGTTTTCAGACTGCCTTATTATTGCTCTCCTGGCTGGCAAAGGCCACCAAAATAGTGGACTAGAAGGAAAGGAAGGAAGAATACATTGGAAATAGAATCAGAATAGTCATAGTCCAACCATTGTGGGGAATGCCACCATTGTGTGCAGACACAATTCTTTCCCCCACTCACCCAAGGAAGATAATTTGGTTGAAATAAAAAAGATAAAAAAAGGCAAATATGATAATCAATTATGAGGTGAGAAATTTATCTTTGAACTTTTCAGATTGCTATTCCCCTCTCTTATCTCCCAAACAATGAAGAGAAACATAACCAGCCGAGAGTTCCACTGTTATCTCTCTGATCTGATAGGATACTTCCAAGTCCAGGGCTTCCCAAGATATTACAAGATGATTTGCATGTGACTTGTGGTGATTTTATGTGGTAAGCAGTTAGGGCATCATATCATAATGAATCCTATGGTGGTAAAGTTATTTGCATTTCATTTCTCTTTCCATCCTGTTCAATTTATCAAGGAAGTGTTATTCTGGAGCCCCTGTACCTTTAAGCCCGTTCTGACAAGTGCTCTGACAGCCTCAAGCTCAGAGCCTTCAATAGGTGACAGTGTTTAATTGAAACCCTATATTTAACAATCAGAGAAATCACCAATGCAACCCATGAGTTTTACCAAGAAACCCAAGAGTCTACTGTGCCTCGGGACAGCAGTACGCGGGCCTGTTGGCTGCTCTGTTGTTCCACACTGCTTGCAAAACCCTTATCTGTGTTGACCTTATATGTGTTATTCCTACATCCCTTGACACTTCACTTTACCTTGATTTCTTGGAGATCCCTTTTCACTCTAGGCAGACAGGGTTTACTCCAAGAAATCCAACAAATATATGTCATTGCTTGCTATGTGGAAAAGAATGCTCCTAGGCGTTTCACACGGAGGGGAAAATAAAAGAGAGGAACACTTGTTGGAATGGATGAGACCAGGAGAGCGGAGCAAAGCTATGTCGCATGAGGAGCAGTTGCAGGAACAAGGAACATTTAACCTGATGAAGAGACTTGAAGAGACATGTTCACTGAAGAGTTGGCATGAGGCTTGTACTATGTGACCTGATTTAGGAGAACTTTGTAGAAGTTTCAGGAAAACAAATACTACTTAAATATGAGGAAGATATTTTTGATAGGTAGGGTGTGCAACATTGAGATGGCTATCCTGAGAGTGAGAGTGTTTCTCCATTTCTGAAGGTGTTCAAGTAGTGAACCATTTACAGAGATATACTTGGTGGTGACTCTTGGTCCCCCAGGACACCAAGTGCTGGGAATGCAACTCTAAGGAGGACAGAGAAGGGGTCAAGGTTCACATGGGGTTAGGGACCAGTTGCTTCCTTTTACACTTTTCCATTTATGAGATTGTGTGATTTAAAATCATAAGTAGGTAGACCAGGATATACGAATTCCATTAAGCAGTCAAGCAAGATAGTTACAAAGGGGCAAAATCACTCCCCCAGTGCCCCAGAACCAGTGCACAACAGGTCTGAAAATCATACCAGTCTTCACATAGAACTATCCCAGTGCTCTTTTCATCTTAGTAGGTGGCAGATACAAGTGTTGAGGTCATTTGAAGCTGCAGCAGCTTTCCCAACTCTGGATGACCACAATGGCCTCTAAACTGTACCTCTTTCCTTTTTAAAATTTTATTTTGTTTTCAACTGACACATAAAAATTGTAGATATTTATGGGGTGGAGTGTGATGTTTTGATATATGTATACATTATATAATGATCAATTCAGAGTAATTAGCATGTACATCACCTCAAACATTTATCATTTATTTGTGGTGAGAACATTCAAAATATTATCTTTGAGCTATTTTGAAATATACATTATTGTTAAATATAGTCACCCTACCGTGCAATAGAACACAAGAACTTATTCCTTCCATCTAACTGTGCCTTTGCACCTGTTCACAAATCTCTTCCCATCACCCCTCCCCCTCACTTCCCCAGCCTCTGGAACCACTGTTTTACTCTGCACTGCTAGGAGATCAATTTTTTTAGATTCCACATGTAAGTGAGATCATGTGGTATTTGTCTTTATGTGCTTGGCTTATTTCACTTAACATAATGTATTCTAGGTCCATCCATGTTGTTGCAAATGACAGGATTTCATTCTTTTTTATGGCTGAATACTATTTCATTGAGTACATACCACTTTTTTAAAAATCTATTCATCTGTTGATGGGCACGTAAGTTGATTCCATATTTTGGTTACTGTGAATAGTGCTGCAATAAACATGAAAGTGCCAGATATCTCTTTGATGTACTGATTTAATTTCCTTTGTATATTTACTCAATGGTGAGATTGTTGAATCATATGGTAGTTTTATTCTTAATTTTTTGAGGAACCTCCATAATGCTGTCCATGATGGCTGCACTATTTATATTCCCACCAGCGGCATATAAGAGTTCCCCTTCCTCACACCCTTGCTAGCATTTGTTATTTTCTGTCTACTTCATAATAGCCATTCTAACAAGGGTGAGGTGATATCTCACTGTGGTTTTGATTTGTATTTCCCTGATGATTAGTGATGTGGAGCACTTTTTCATACACTCTGTTGGCCATCTGTATACTTATTTTTTGAGAAAAGTCTATGCAGGTTTTTTGCCCATTTTTAATCGACGTATTTGCATTTTTGCTATTGAGTCCTTATATATTTTGAATATTAACCTCTTGTAAGATACATAGCTTGCAAATATTTCTACCCTATTCTGTAGCTTGTTTCTTCACCCTGTTGATTGCTTCTTTTGCCATGCTGAAGCTTTTTAGTTTGATGCAATCCATTTGTCTATTTTTGCTTTTGTTGTCTGGGATTTTGAGGTTCTGTTTAAAAAATCCTTGCCCAGACCACTATCATGAAACGTTTCCCCTGTTTTTATCTTGTACTTTCATAGTTTTGAATCTTATATTTGTGTCTTTCATCCATTTTGAGGTGATTTTGGTACCTAGTGAGAGATAGGGATCTAGTCTAATTCTGCATGTAGATATCCAATTTTCCCAGCACCATTTATTGAAGAGACTATCCCTTCCCCATTGCATGTTTTTGACACCTTTGTTGAAAATCAGTTGGCTGTAAATGTGTAGATTAATTTCTGGGTTGTCTATTTTGTTCCATTAGTCTGTGTGTTGTGTTTGTTTTAATGCCAGTACCATCCTGTTTTGGTTACTATAGCTTTGTAGACTATTTTGAAGTCAGGTAGTGTGGTGCTTCTAGCTTTGTTCTTTTTGTTCAAGATTGCCTTGGCTCTTCAGGGTCTTTTGTTATTTCATACAAATTTTAGGATTATTTTTCTATTTTTGTGAAGAAGGTTGTTGACATTATGATAGGGATTGCATTGAATCTGTAGATTGCTTTGGGTGATATGGATATTTTAACAATATTAATTCTTTCAATTATGAATAATGGATATCTTTCCATTTGCTTGTGTCCTCTTAAATTTCTTTCATCAATGTTTTATAGTTTTTACCACAGAAATATTTTATCTCCTTGGTTAAATTTACTCCTAGATGTGTTTTTTGGAGCTATGTAAATGGAATTGCTTTCTTGATTTCTTTTTCAGGTATTTTTCTGTTAGACTATAAAAATACTATTAATTTTGTATTTTGATTTTATACCCTGCAACTTTGTTGAATTTCTATTAGCTTTTTGGAGGGTTTCTAGGGTTTTCTATAGAGAAGATCATGTCATCTGCAAACAGGGACGATCTGACTTCTTCTTTTTCAATTTGAATGTTCTTTATTTTTTTCTCTTGCCTGATTGCTCAGGCTAGGACTTCCAGTACAACGTTGAATAGAAGTGGGGACAGTGGCCATCCTCGTCTAGTTCCATATCTTAGGGGAAAAGCTTTCAACTTTTCCCTATTCAATATGATGTTAGCTGTATTTTTCATATATGGCCTTTATTGTGTGGAGGTATTTTCTTTCTATAGTTAATTTGTTGAGGGTTTTCGTCATAAAAGGTTGCTGAATTTTATTAAATGCTTTTTCTGTATATATTGAAATGATCATCTAATTTGTGTTCTTGATTCTATTAATGGGATGTATCATGTTTATTGATTTGAATATGTTGAACCATTCTTGCATCCCTGGGCTGAATCCTACTTGATTATGGTGCATGATCTTTTTAATGTGCTGTTGAATTTGGTTTGCTAGTATTTTGTGGAGGATTATTGCATCTATGTTTATCAGGGATATTAGCCTGTAGTTTTCTTTTTTGTTGTGTCTGGTTTTGGGATTAGGGTAATTCTGGCTTCAAAGAATGAGTTTGGAACAACTTCCTCCCTTTCAATTTTTTTGGAATAGTTTGAGAATAATTAAATTAGTTCTTCTTTAACTATTTGGTAGAATTTGGCAGTGAAGCCGTCAGTCCTGGGTTTTCTATGATGGGAGACTTTTTATTACTGATTCAATCTCCTTGCTTGTTATTGGTCTTTTCAGGTTTTCTATTTCTTCTTAATTCAATTTTGATAGGTTGCATGTGTCTAAGAACTTATTTTTTTCCTAGGTTTTACAATTTGTTGTGTATAGTTATCACAACAGTCTCTTATGATCCTTTATATTTCTGTGGTATCAATTTTAACGTCTCCTTTTTCATTTATAATTTTATTTATTTGAGTCATTTCTCTTATTTTCTCAGTCTTGCTAAAGGTTCGTCAGTTTTATCTTTCTAAAAAGCAACTCTTTTTGAGCTTTTGTGTTGTTTTTAGCCCCTATTTTATTTATTTCTGTTCTGGTCTTTATGATTTATTTCCTTCTGTAAATTTGAGATTTAGTTTGTTCTGTTTTTTTTTTTGGTCTTTGAAGTTCAATGCTAGGTTGTTAATATCTTTCTACTTTTTTGACATAGGTATTTATTTCTATAAACTTTCCTCTTGCTGTATCTCATAGGTTTTCATATGTCATGTTTTCATTTTCATTTGTCTCATGAAATTAAAATTTTTAAAAAATGTCCTCATTGATTCATTGGTTGTTCAGGAGAATGTTGTTTAATTTCTGTAATTCTGTATGGTTTCCAAAGTTCCTCTTGTTATTGATTGCTAGTTTTATTGCACTGTGGTTATAAAAGATACTTAACATAATTTTGATTTTTAAAAATTTGTTAATACTTGTTTTGTATTGTGATATATGTATGTGATATACTCGTTTTCTATGTGATATATGCTGTAGACTGTTCTATGTTCTGTTGCAAATAACGTATATCCTACAACTCTTGAATGGAATGTTCTATAAAGGTATGTTAGGTCCATTTGGTCTAGAGTGCATCTAGAAACAACTAGTCTGGTGTTTCTTTGATTATCGTCTGTCTGGATGATCTCTCTATTGTGGAAAGTGTTGAAGTTTCTCCTATTATTTTATTGCAGAGTATAGTTCTCTTTAAGTCTATTAATATTTGCTTACATATTTAACTGCTCTGATGCTGGTTGAATATATATTTATAATTATTATATTCTCTTGCTGTATTTGACTCCTTTACCGTTATATAATTGCCTTCTTTGTCTTTTTTGTTATAATTTTTTTCCTGAAAATGTACTTTTTTCTGATATAAGTGTGACTACTCCTGCTCCATTTTTTTGTTTTAATTTACATGGAATATCTTGTTCCCTCCTTTTTCTTTCAGACTATGTGTTCTCTTATAGGTGAAGTGACCCTCTTGTGAGTGGCATATAATTGGGTCTTATTTATTTTTATTAATTCAGCCACGCTATGTCTTTTAATTGGATAATTTAAGCAATTACATTTCAGGTAATTCAGTCAGGGCTTACCACTGCCATTTTGTTACATGTTTTCTAGTTTCAAAAAACAGATTCTTTAATTCTGTTCTTTCTTGCTGTTTTTCTTTGTGATTAAGAGATTTTCACTAGTAGTATGCTTTTATTTTCTGTTTAACTATTAGAAATCCTTGCTTTGTGGCTACCATGAGGCTTACAATAAACATTCAATAGCTCTACCTCTTAACATATTATTGTAGTTATTGTTATTTTTCATAGTTTTGTCTTTCAGTCTTTGTACTAATAATGTAAGTGATTTACACACCATGATTATAATATTAGAATATTGTGAATGTCTGTATATTTGCTTTTACCAGTGAGTTTTATAACTTCAGATGTTTTATTGTTACACATAGTGTCCTTTTCTTCCCGTTTGAAAAACTCTCTTTAAGATTTCTAGTAAGACTGTCTGATGGTGATGAATTTCTGGGTCTTTCATTTGTCCAGGAAAGTCTTTATGTCTCCTTCAATTCTGACAAATAGCTTTTCTGGGTACAGGCTTATTGGTTAGCAAGTTTTTATCTTTTCCTTCAGTACTCCTAATATATCACCAAGAGTACTTCCTCCTGGTCTGCAAAGTCTTTGCTGAGAAGTCTGTTGCCAGGTGTGTTGGGATTCTTACATGTTATTTGCTTCTTTTCTCTTGCTGCTTTTAGAATTCTCTTTGTCCTTGATCTTTGAAAATTTGATTACAACTTGTCTGAGATAGTCTTATTTGGGTTGAATCTATTGGTGACTTTTGACCTTCCTCTACCTGGATAATTATATCTTTCTTTAGGTTTGGATAGGTCTCTGTTATTTCTTTGCATAAGCCATCTACCCTTTTGTGTTTTTCTTCTCCCTCTTGAACTTCAATGACCCAAATATTTGCTCTTTTGATGCTATTCCATAGATTCTATAAGCTTTCTTTGTTCTATTTCATTCTTTTTTCCTATTTTCTCCTTTGGCTGTATTTTCAAGGAGACTGTTTTCAAGCTCTTGATTCCTTCTTCTGCCTTATTAACTTCTGCTGTTTATGCTTTCTATTGCATTTAAAAAAATTCATTAATTTGTATTTTTCAGTTCCAGATTTTTTTGTTGTTGCAATCTCTCTGTTAAATTGCTGAATTTTTTCTCTGTGTTTTCTTAAAATTCATTGAGCTTCCTTAACACAGCTATTTTGAATCACTTGTCCAACAGATCATATATTTCCATCTCTTTAGGGTCCCTCATTGGTGTCATGTTTTGTCCATTAGGTGAGGTCATACTTCCAAGATTGTTCTTAATGCTTGTGGATGTATGTCAATCTCTTTACATTGAAGAATTAGATATTTATTCTAGTCTTTGCAATCTGGCTTTGTTTGTGCTCATCCTTCAGTTGGCCTGTCCAGAAATCTGTTGTCAGAGTCTGTGACTCTGACAATCTAACCTGTTGTCAGAGTCTGTGACTGCTGCAGCTATTTCAACACTAGAGGGTATCCTAATCTAGGGTTCTCTGTAAGTCTTGTGAAGGCTTAGAGGTTGGGATGGTACTCCAGCTTGGTTGGACCTAGAGAAGAGTCAAGGCGGGTACTGGAGCTGTATGGGAAAGATGGGTAGGAACCTGAGTTCAGACGCCTGTCTCACTGGTCCATATGGCTTTGTGTTTTTTGACAGATCCCTGCATAAGTGGGACAATTTCCTGGCTATAGTGAGAGGAGCTGCGGAACAGATGTTGGCAACCCTGCCTACAGTGTTGCAGACATGTATGCTTCCCAGCAGTTTCCTGTATGGCCAGGGCAGTTCTCTTACTGCAGTTTAAGTGGAACTAAAGCCAAGACTGGGCCCCCTCAGGATCCACTGTGGCACAGATGCTGGTGAGCTCACCCCAGTAGCCCAGATGTGTGTACTTCCCAACTAATTTCCTGCATGGGTGGGGGAGTTTCCCAACTGTAGCAAGAGGGGTGAAAGCTGAGACTGGGCCCCCTCTGGATCTGCTGTGGGATGGAATCTTCTTGGCCATCACAGAGGTTCCTATGGACAGGCAATTCCTGGTCTGTGAGGTATGAGTGAGTTTCCCTCTGGTTCCTTGTGCAAGCTTTAATAAGCTGGGCCTGCAGCTGTTGGGGGGCTGGAGCCAAACTGCCAGATAACTTTCAGATCCACTGGCAAGACCAGTGTCATCAGGCAGACAAAACTTTCTGCAGAGGCACGAAGGTGCATGATTTCTCCTGGACCCATTGACAGATGGTTTTGGTTGCAGGCTCAAAGCCAAATAGGGCTGAAGCCAAGCCCTTTGAGGAACAAAGTTGTTTACAGGTTTGAACCTAAGAGCATGCTCAAGTTTGCTACCTGGGTGCTGTTCTACACTCTTAAAACAGCCTGCTTAGGTCTTGGGCTCTGCCAGTGTTTTATAATCTCCTACCTGAATCTCAAAGCTCCTGCAGAGAGACTTTTTTCCTGTGGATGGCTGCAGAATTCTTATTGTTGTTAGGGGGATATGAGCAGGTTATCTCCTATTCTGCCATCTTGTTTTATGTATTATTTTTTAGAGACAGTATCTCGCTATGTTGCCCAGGCTGCAGTGCAGTTGCTATTTACAGGCGCGATCCCATGACTGATCAGCATCAGAGTTTTGACCTGCTCCAACTCCAATCTGGGCCAGTTCACCCCTCCTTAGGCAACCTCGTGGTCCCCTGCTCCTGGGACGTCACTATATTGATTCCAAATTTAGTGTGGACACCTGATTGTCATAACACACTACAGCCCAGAACTCCTGTGCTCAAGTAATCCCCCTGCCTCAGCCTTCGAAGTAGCTAGGAGTACAGGGGTGTGCCACTGTGCCTGGCTCTGCCATCTTGTTGATGTCACTTGAGAGTGAACTGGACTTCTTGCCTCCATCCAGTCCTCTATGCCCCTACTGCCCAGCTGTACAAGGCCACCTGTACAAGGTAGCCAGAGTGATCTTTTGAAACATATTAATTGCACCATGTTGCTTTTCTGCTTAAAACTCACCAAAGCTTTTCTCTTAACACTTGGAATAAATTCAAACTCTGATGAGCCTCGAGGCCTTGTGTGATCTGGCCCCTGGCTCACTCTCCATTGTCACCCAGCAACATACTTGCTGTACTCTGGTCATACTGCTCTTTGTTTGGCCCCTCATATTCAAAAGACTCCCATCCTTATCACATGCTTCTCTTTCCCCTGATCAATGCATCAGCCCCTATTCATCCTTCAGACCTCATCCTAATCATTACATTTTTAGTATTCAGCCGTAAGACTCAGAGCCTCATGTAGCTCTCATAGCAGCAGAACTATGGCATCTGTTTGCCTCTTCTATTGTCTTTTTTCCCTTACACCATAAGCTCCATGAAAGCAAAGGAATCTTTTAGTTCTTTGGTGTAGCATTGTATCTCCAGTGCTCAGCATGGAGCAGGCCCTCATTAGTAAATGAATGCATAAATAGTCTGTCTTATAACCTGGCATCTCCATGCACATTGGATTTTGGACCGTGGGAAGAATTGTCAGGCTGAGGAGAATCCAAAACTGCTTATGGTCCAAAGTGTCTGGAGTCATGGCATCAAACCAAGTATTCAGGATGGCTGCCTCCTTTTCTAACATCCCTAAATTGAAGAACCCAGCGAAGCTATCCCAAGTTCAGGATCATCTAGTGAAGCCCAAAGCCTTCCCACAAAAGTTCCACACACCTAAGACTCCTTCTTCCCTGTTCTCTTTTAATTGACATTTTTCTTTTTGTTGTTGTTGTTGTTGTTGTTTATAGCAGCCTACCTTGAACGATAGTCCCTACATCCCCGCCTACTGAATGACGATACCAAAGAAAGAGTTTGCTGCTTAACAGCCAGCAACTGTCATTTTTGGAATAACTGGAGAGCTAGGGGAAGAAGTTCAAAGTCTGACTTAATCCCAATGCTTCATTTGCATGTGATTCACAAGATAAGAACTTGAGGGCAAGGCAATCCTCCCTACCTTCAATTTGGAACTGGCTCAGGTGAAGCTGGGCCTCTATCCAGGAAAGTTACATTTTCCCAGCTCCATACTAAACGCAGGGAGCTGGAATTATTAGAGGCCAGGGCTGGGAATGAGAGCCTTTTCTCTTTCACTGACCATCTCCACAACTTGGTGAGTCACCTGCCTAGCTGGGCCTCTGTCTTCCTGCTCTGTATAATAGGTGAGACTTACCCTCCTTCACTGTGAGAAACCAACACTTTCAAAACTAGAACGACTCAGTCCATTTCTTTCCTTTAACTGATACAAGCTGCTGGAATTAAACTGGTACAGGGGAAAGCACTTGGAAATTTCTGTTGAAACACAAAGCATTACTTTTTATGATGATGATTATCCTCCCAGGGAGCCACAGGGCAAAGCAGCACTTTTCTTGGCAGGGAAGAAACAGCTGTGATCTGAAGCCCTTGGAGGTCTGTCTGCCTAGTCACCTGAATTTTATTAGCCTTGCAACTTGGCATGGCTTTTCCCAAACCCCCCTGGGTATTTGAGGATTTTTTTTTTTTTTCCTGCAGAATTGGCTATAACTTATGTGGCTTGTTGAATCTATTATCTTACTTCAACCTTATTTACAGCCCTGTAAAATGGATGGGAGAAATAGGAATATTCTGATCTTGGAGATAAGAGAACTATAATTCGGAGACCTAAGATGACGAGCCCAGAGTCACACAGTAAGGCAATGACAGAGCTGGGACTAGAAACTGGGATTTCATATTTCTTATCCAGCACTTTAGCTACTGCAGGACACTACCTCCCTCACCTAATTCTGATTCATTTATGGGTGGACATGGACTTCTTTAACTCATGACTCCTGTGATGTTGGATCTCAGCAGCACTGACTTCTTCAAAGCCCAGCGGAACCTTTGGTCAGCAGTCTGACCACCAATATCTGATATAATTGGATTTTTATTCCATTGTTGTATTGTGTTCCTGCTTGTATTTGTATTCCATTGTTGCATAACACAATGACACAAACACAGCAGCTTATAACAACATTCATGTATTATCTCACAGTTCTGTAGATTAGAGGTCTGTCTTAGGGTGGCTAGATTCTCTGCTCAGGGTCTCACTAGGCTGAAGCCAAGGCATTAGCTGGAGCTGTGGTTCTTATCACTTCCAAGCTCACTGGTTGTTGGCAGAATTCATCTCCTTGTGGTTATAGGATTGAGGTCACTGTTTCCTTGCTGGCTGTCATCTTCTAGAGGTTGCTGCATTTCTCATCACTTGACTTCCTCCATCTTTAAGCCCACAATAGGGTGTCAAATCCTTCTCATTTTTTGAATCTCTCTAACCTCCACTAGCTGGAGATGACTTCTTGCTTATTAAGAGTTCACCTGATTGGGCCAGACCCACCTAGATAATCTCTGTGTCTTAAACTGAACTGATTGAGATTTTAATTGCCTCTATAAAATCTCTTCATAGCATTACATAGATTAGTGTTTGGTTGAAGAACCAGGAGACAGGAATCTCTAGGATTGTGAGTACCATACTATTTATTCATTTACTTTGCAAGCATTTCCTATATGGCAGACACTGCTGGTCACTGAGGAGATAAAAGTGAATATGCCATGGTCTCTCCCTTCCATGGGCTCACAGTCTGATAGAGAAGATAGGAAGGCAGTGGAGCCTACTGATTAAAAAACATATAATTTAATGTTAGACACCATGGATTTCCTGCAAAGTGCTCAGCACAGTACTGTTAGCTCACAGTATATTTAACACTCTGTTAAGCCATCATCATCATCTTGTGTAAATATCATAGACAATAATTATTCTACTATCTTAGTTACATGACAAGTAAGAAAGTAGCATGGAAGGAACACAGAAGGGCTTGCTAATTACTCTGCTAGCAGAGGTCAGGAAAATTTACCAGAAGAGGAGATATTGTGCTAGATTTTGAAGTAGGAGTGGGAGATCACCAAGCAGACAGGTGCAGGGGTGGGAGAACGCCAGGAGATAGATATAAAATAGAAGAGGTGAGTAAGATTTCACCTCCTCTGTAAACTTCCCCAACTTTTGCCAGCATAGTTCTGAGCCACCCCTTCTGTATTCCCATTAAACCACTATCATTCTTCCATTACAATATAATCACTCGGCTGTATTGATTTAAGGTGTTACTATCATGATTGTTTATGGTATTTATTGATTAACAATGATGATGATGGGTGAAAAGTACTGCAGAGCCCACAGAAATGGGAAGGGGCGGGCTGACTGCCGAGATCCAAGTGATAGCATTAAGTGATCCACAGGAGCAGGGGCTGTGGGAGAGGAAAGATGCTCAATGGACAGTTCACGCCTTCTGGGTAAATGAATTCGGACATGGTCTGGGAGTAAGGTGCTGGAAGCAGGCTGTCTCTTTTTGCAAAGGATCTTTTTTCCTTTTGTTAACAAAATAGTGTATGTATCGTTTAGGGCATAACTTGATGCTAACGGAAGATAGTAAGGATCTGATGGGACCATTCTCTGGGTTTCCGATAGGCATTTCTTGTTCTGGTTATTGATTAGGATTCATTGCAGGCCTTTAAATGTGTGCTTCTAATGTCACAGTTTAGATTTGTTGCTTTTAAACAGAGGCCAGCAAACTTTTTCTGTCAAAGTCCAGGTAGTGAATATTTCAGGCTTGTGGGTCTTATGGTCTTTGTTGCACTACTCATCTTTGCTGTTGCAGAGTGAAAAGTAGCCATAGACAATATGTAAGCGCAAGTGCATGGCTGTGTTCCAGTAACACTTGAATGCCAAAACAGGCGGCAGGCTGGATTTGGCCTGGGGGCCATAGTTTGCTGACTCCTGCTCTCAATCTCTACTGCGAATATCAGAGACCTTTGATCTAAGCTAATATGCAACAGTAGTTGACATATTTTAAAAACCATCTATCCAGTTATTAGTTCTTCTGCACAAACACCCAGAAAACCTATTGCCATTATTTGTTTGAAAATTATTATTGTGTGATCCTTAGAGAGAAAGCAGAGGGCACTGTCATTGTTTGTCAAGAGAATGGGCTCAGGGTTCAGATGAAGCTGAAGGGCATCCTGCCTTGTTTCTTATTGGTTGTATGACTTTGGGCAAATCGCTACATCTCTTTGTGCTTACTTCTCCTTCTCTTTTTTTTGACAGAGTCTCGCTCTTGTTGTCCAGGCTGGAGTGCAGTGGCGTGATCTCGGCTCACTGCAACCTCTGCCTCCCAGGCTCAAGCAATTCTCCTGCCTCAGCCTCCCAAGTAGCTGGGATTACAGGTATGCGCCACCACGCCTAGCTAATTTTTTTTGTACTTTTAGTAGAGACGGGGTTTCATCATCTTTGGCCAGGATGGTCTCGATCTCCTGACCTCGTGATCCGGCTGCCTCAGCCTCTCAAAGTGCTGGGATTACAGGCATAAGCCACCATGCCCGGCCTGTGCTTAGTTCTTTACAAAATGGAGTAATGGTTGTACTCATCTTACAGGTATTCTTAAGAATTAAAAAGAAAAATACTAATAAAGCAGGTAGCAAAGTGGCTGGCAGAGTTACTCTCTGCCCTTCAGGATGGAGGTATGCACACAGTGTGAGGAGCAGCAACCTGGGTATAGGGGCAGGGGGAGCAGACACTAAGGCAGGGGGCCTTCAGGAAAGCAGACACTTGGGGCCTGTGTAGGGAGTGGAAAGTTATTAAGCAGCAATCAACTCTTGATCCCAGCAGCCTCCCCTCTAGGACATCTCTGACAAGGAGTTGGATATGGACATTCTTCTTTATTTCAAAAACACGTCGTGTCATCCCCAAGAGGAAGGGGACAGAAGGGACACCTCCTGTGTGCCTTCATTCAACTGAGCTCAAGAGGTCACTGAGTGCAACCTATTTCCCTTTGTCCTCTTCTTCAAATGGCTATTTATAAAAAGGAATGAAAACGGGCATAAAGGCACAGGCTCAGATGGCCTGTCTCTAAATTACTGGGAGAAAAAAGTCCATCTTGACTAATTACTGAGCTGAGCTGTGTTCAGAGAGAGGCTCACTTGATACTGGGCATCGAGGTTCCTAGACCAGGGTAATTAGTGCTGGCCAAATGCAACAATTCCACTGATGAGGCCACTTCATCCAAGATGCTGCGTCTGAGTGGCAAATCATCCCATTTGTCACCAGCTGCAAATCACTCAGCTCTTCCCTGGCAGAGCTGGAGTGATTCATTTTAATTGCCCCAGCTGCCGGTCACTGTGTTCCAGCACTCCAGATGGGGGAGGGCCCTGGACTCTGGGGGTGAGTCTCAGGGTTGGAAGGCTGGAGGTTAGACAACAAGCTCTAAGGAAAGCCCAGTACTCTGTAAGCTGGTGTACTATTCTAGCACTTGCAGGGCTATATTTCAAAGAGAATCGTCCTTTGTTCCTATTTTTTTTTTCCAGTTAGGTAGGCTATGGGAGTGTAGTGTGGGCAGTTTGCAAAAAAATGGGTGTAGATTCATTCATTTATTCATTCATTCATTCTTTGGTTCACTCTCTGATATAGTTTGGATGTTTGTCCCTCCAAATCTCATGTTCAAATTTGATCCCCAGTGTTGGAGGTGGGGCCTGGTGGAAGGTGTTTGGGTCATGGGGGTGGATCCCTCATGAAGGGTCTGATGCCCTCTTCCTGGTAATGAGTGATTTCTTGCTCTATTAGTTCCCACAAGATCTGACTGTTAAAAAGAGCCTGGCATCTTCCTCTCTCTTTCTCCCTCTCTCTCCATGTGATCTGCACATGCCAGCTCCCCCTTGCCTTCCTCCGTGAGTGGGAGCAGCCTGAGGCCCTCATCAGAAGCAGATGCTGGCACCATGCTTCTTGTACAGCCTACAGAAACGTGAGCTAAATAAACTTCTTTTCTTTATAAATTACCCAGCCAGGGGTAAGCCTTTATAGCAACACAAATGGAATAGGACTCTCTCTAAGCCTCAGTTTTCATACCTGAAAAAGGGAGATAATGAATCCCATCTCATGACTTGTGAAGTTAGTAAGTCACATCTCACACTTAGCACAGACACGGCAGAGCTAAAGATGTTACTCATAATGATGATGATGACAATGATTTCTTCTGAAAACACTTCTCTTTGCTCCTAGGCCCCACTCTCTCCTGGGTCTCCTCCTGCCTCACAGGTTGGCTTATCTTTGCTGGTTGTCTCCGTTGCTGGTTTCTTCTTTCTGCTTAATCTTGAGCTATTGCTGTGCCCAAAGCTCAAGCCTCAGCCCTCTTCTTATCCCTGTCTACAGTCTTGCTCTCATGATCTCCTCCGGACACATGGCCTGTATACACAGAGGCTGAAAACTCCCCAATTTAGATCTCTATCCCCTATCCTGTTTTTTAAATGTATATATTTAACTGCCTACTTGGTACCTTAGACCTGAAGTATCCAATTCAAAATTCTCAATGAACCCTCACAAAAAATGTGCAAATAAATAGAAGACTCATTCTTCTCCATTTTCCTCATCTCAGGAAATGGCACCACTGTCCACCCTGCTATTTGAGCCTAACACCAGGGAGTCATTTCTGACTTGTCTCTTTCCCTCACCCACACATCCAGCCCATCCAGTCCAATCATCCCCTCATCTTCATAGGCAGCATTCCAGATAGTAGATCCTAGCATAACATTTCCTTGCCTCTTCTCTTGTTCTTATACAATCCATGTTCACACAAGAGCCAGAGAGATCTTTTTAAACTATAAGTAGGACCATGTTGTTCCCACCCCACTTAAAATCTGTCCCACTTAGAAGATAAAATCCAAATATTCTACCAAGGCACTCCCTGAGCCAGCCCGCGTCTTGTCTCCTCTTGTACTGTCTTTTCCTCCATGCTATGTTCCAGCCACTTTGATCTTCTTGTTTCTAGAAAACACCGAAGTCTTTCCCACCTCAAGACCTTTGCAATTTTTGTTGATCCCCTTACCTGGAACTCACTTCCCTGAAATTGTCCCAAACCTGCCTCCTACTACCCTTCAGGTTTCAATTCAAATGTCACCTCTTCATATGCACCACTCTAAGTATCATTACCTCCATCACCCATCTTTTCTCTTATTTTTTTCATTTCTTTCATAGCACTTATCAAAGTATATGTGATCTTTATATAATTACATATGTACCAACTGACTTGTTTATTCATTTATTATCTATCTATCTCCCTCCACTAATGTGTAACTTCAGCGAGGGCGGGGGTCTTATCAATGTCATTCACTGCTACACCCTCAGCACTAGCACAGTGCCTGGCACACAATAGGTGCTCAGTGAACATACACTGAATAAATGAATGATTACACAAATGTTTACTGAGGACTGACTACACACCAAGCGTGATGGGAAATACTTAAGAGAAAATCAATTTAATAGAAGAGATGTGACCCACACAGAAACAACTGATAGTTGTGCTGCAGTGAACAGCATGGATGGTCACTGATTAAGTGCTAAGGACATGCAGAGGTGGGAAAGGCTACACCCCACTGGGAAAACTTTGGAAAGGTTTCATGGAAAGAGATGTCACGTAACTGGGCTCTGCAGGGCAGGCTGGCTTTGAGCTTTCTGAAACAGAAAGAAAGGCATTTCTTGGAGCAGGAACAGCCTGTACTATGGTGTGGAAGCTTGGACAAGAATGTGAACAAGCAACAATTTCACTTTGCCCCAAACATATTCACCATCATAGCCACTGTTCTCTGAGAACCAACTCTGAGCTGGATGCTATGGAAGACACTTGACATTTATCTAATTCCCATCTCTTTCTTTGGGCCAGGTGGGTGTATCCCCTGAGAGAGTTTGGATGTTCGTCTCATCCAAATCTCATGTTGAAAGGTGATTGTCAATGTTGGAGGTGGGGCCTGGTGGGAAGTGTTTGTCATGGGGGCAAATCCCTTTGAATGACTTGGTGCCCTCCCTATGGTAATGAGTGAGTTCTTGCTCCATCAGTTCATGCAACTGCTGGTTGTTTAAACGAGCTTGGCACTTCCTCCTCCCTCTTGCCCCCTCTCTTACCATGTGACACGCTGCTCCTCTTTGCCTTCTGCCATGAGTAAAAGCTTCCTGAGGCCTCACCAGAAGAGCTGTGCAGATGCTGGTGCCATGCTTGTATAGCCCACAGAACTGTGAGCCAAATAAACCTCTTTTCTTTAGGAATTACCTAGCCTCAGTTGTTCCTTTATAGTGATGCAAAACAAACTAACACATCCCCTTTTGTTAAAAGAGGAAACAGATTCAGAGTGAATAAATAATTTATTTAAGGTCACAGAACAAGTGAGGGGGTTGAAATGTGAGCCCAGATCCATCTGATTCCACTCATGTGATTTTTCACTGTGCTGAGAAGGGGTCCAGCTTAGACCAGGGTCACCACCCTCCTTTCTCGAGATTTACCTTCTCAGGTCTCAAGCACCACTTACCACAGTTCCTAGACACAAAAGAATATTTGGCAACACACTCTTGTTATAAATGGGACTTCCTCCCATTTCCTTCTGTGTATTTTTGGGCTTAAGTTCTTAGAAGAAGCTATTCTCTTTTTATAGCTGCCTGCCGGACGGCCCATAATACCAAAACATATGGTTTCTCTGCATCCAGAGGCCCCCACCCCCAGAGCTCTTACTATCTGCTGATCCATCAGCTCATTTTCAGAGGTGAGATGGGCTCCAAGGGCCTGGGTCTCTGCCTCAGTGGGCCAGGTGTGGGCCTGCATTGTCATCTGTGGCCAAACATATCTCTGGCATTTGAAGTTCTTAGGACTGGGAACATATTTAAATGTGGGATGTTGTGGGCTTTTTAAAAATATACCCCGACCCATAAGCAAATGGGAGATAAAATAACAATATGCACTTCTGCTTTAATTAACGTTTGTTAACTCCAGCACAAGGCACATATTAAAAGGAGCGATTTTACTTAAAATAACCCATTGAAAATCCCCATTTGCCAGGTATTTTTTCACCCTACTCAGTTCCCTGCACACTCAGTCCCTCCCTCCCACATATCCCCAACTGAGCTAGCAGAACAGCAGTCGGAGGCAGGAAACAGTCTCTCTTCCTCTCTTTACTCAGAAACTCCCCAGCCAATTCTTCAAAGGGACACTCAGCTCTTTCCGAGGCAGTAAAGAGAATTATTAAGTGGAAGTTCAGCAGCCCCACAGACTTCCTACCCCTGCCCCCTGCCATTTGTTAACTTGTGTGATTTTGGGCAAGTCATTTCACATCTCTGAGCCTCGGTTTCACCTAGCTGTGAAATGGGGATACCTAGAAAATGGGGATAAGAACAGGAACAACCTAAAAGGGCTGTCGTGAGGACAAGCACAATGTGCTTATCTGGACAAGTGTAGATACCTGGTAGAAGCAGTTACCACTCTCAGAAGTGAAAGATGACATGGGAAAAATGGACCATAAGAGGTGAAGTGAAAAAAATCAGATTGTAAAACAGAATACACTATATGACCCCATTTAAAAACTCAACCTTGGCAGAGATAAGTGTCTGGAAGTATGTAAACCAAGATGTTTAAGATGTTCTTCTATGAGTCATCTATAACATCTATAAATGTAAGATGCCTGCATTATGGGCTTTATTTTTTTTTCCTTACCTTTTTACTTTGATTTCTTAATTTCCTAAGTGAGTGAATACCTATAATTTCTTTTTCTTTTCTTTTTTTTTTTTTTTTTTTTTTTGAGACAGAGTTTTGCTTTTGTTGCCCAGGCTGGAGTGCAGTGGCGTGAACTCGGCTCACTGTAACCTCTGCCTCCTGGGTTCAAGCAATTCTCCTGCCTCAGCCTCCCTAGTAGCTAAGATTACAGGCATGCACAACCACACCCAGCTAATTTTTTGTATCTTTAGTAGAGATGGGGTTTCACCACACTGGCCAGGCTGGTCTCAAACTCCTGACCTCAGGTGACCCACTCACCTTGGCCTCCCAAAGTGCTGGGATTATAGGTGTCAGCCACCATGCCCAGTCTATTTTTTTTTTTTGTAATTTCTAACTTGATGGGAGGCATACAGTCAGGAAGAGAGAAGGAAGGGACGAACATAAACATGACAGTGAATGAAAGCCTCTCTGAAGGAGTGATATTTAAGCGGAGAGCCGAAGGTTGAGAATAATCTAGACGTGAGAAAAATCTAGAGGAACACACTCTAGACAGTGGAAACAGGAAGAGCAAAGGTTCTGAAGCAGGAAAAGCCTTCATGTGTTCAAGATGATTGGCAGCACAGGATGAGTCTGGAGAGTGAAGGAAGGACTAAGTCAAGTATTGCCTCCGAAGCTAGGGTATGGACTCTGGATTGAATGATTTAAAGTCCAGCTCCAAGTGCCACCTCCTCCAAGAAGCCTGCCTGACTGCTGCTTCCTACGCTCACCTCTCATTTCTCTGAACTCCTCTACTTTTCCTGTTGGTAGCACTCCTTGCTTTCCTCCTATTCATTGTTAGCACTACACTAAATTATTAAATCATTAAAGGATTTTATATTTCTTCATAATTCTCTAGAACCTAATAACTGTACAGTCTCAATATTTGTTGAGTGAATGTGAAACTCTCACTCTACTTTTCCTGTTGGTAGCTCTCCTTGCTTTCCTCCTATTCATTGTTAGCACTGCACTAAATTATTAAATCATTAAAGGATTTTATATTTCTTCATAATTCTCTAGAACCTAATAACTGTACAGTCTCAATATTTGTTGAGTGAATGTGAAACTCCATAAGTAGGAAATTTGTAACGCTTTCCTCTGTAGGGAAAATACTTCTTAAGCTAATAAATAGCAAAAACATGATTGCACAAGGGATCATTTATTCTGAGTGAATAAACTGATTTCAAACACTTGAGGAGCACCCATTTTTGGGAAAGTGGAATCGAAATACATCCATAATTCTTACAGGGTCATTAAATCATGTTTCCTCAGAATCTTTACTCAGGAAAGCATTTGTTATAGAGCAAATTATTGCACAAAGTTAAAATAACAAACTTTTTTCTTTAAAGTATTATAAAAGACTAATGTTCTCACAGATCTAGACAGGTTTCCACTCTTGGTGAACTGTTGCCATAAATTTGCCTGAATTATTATCGATAAGAAATGCCAACTTTGTATCTCTCCCCCTTTTTCTCAGGGGTCCTCACTCAGAATGCCCTCCCTCTAACAAGGAGATAATTGGAGACACAGCCGGCTCTGGGCCTGCTCTGAGTTGAAAGAGGCACCAAGGAACCTTCAACTTCATCCTCACCCTCAGGAAATGGGAATTGTTCTTCCCCAGTTCTCAAAGAGGAGAAGCAGCCCTTCCTAGCTGGGACATGATATTATGTTCATCACTAGGACCTGGGCCCTGTGTCCAGCTCTGCCATTGGACCTTAACCTCTGTGCTCCACATATGTCCAATGAGCATGAGATTATCCACCCCGTTATGCATAGGATGTGCAGTAGGCAGAATTCTAAGATCGCCCCATGACCTCTGCCCCCTGGTGTTACTGCTATGATTATGTTATGTTCAATTGCAAAAGGGATTTTGCTTTTGCCCATGTAATTACGTTTATTAATCAGTTGAACTTAAGACAGGAACATTATCTGGGCGTACCTAATCTATGACATGAGTCTTTTAAAAGAAGAATTTTCTCCATCTGGAGGAAGAAGAGGAAGACAGAGAGATTTGAAGTGGGAGGGATTTAATTTGAGGGAGGGTCCTATCACTGAGTTGGAGGGGCCATGGGCAAGTATCTGAGATGGCCTCAAGAAACTGAGAGTGGTCCCCAGTGGCAGCCAGCAAGAAAATGGGGATTTCAGTCTTATATCTACAAGAAACTGAATTTTGCTAATAAAAGAAAGGAGTTTGGAAGAGAACCCCCAAGCTCCAGAGGAGAGCTCAGCAGGCTGACATCTTGATTCCAGTCTTATGAGAACCTGAGCAGAGAATCAAGTCACAGCCTACTGGACTTCTGACCTATAGAACCATGAGGTAATATATGGGTGTTGTCGAAGCTACTAAGTTTGTGGTTATTCATTACACAGCAATGGAAAACTAATGTATGGTGACTGACAATCATTATACAATACTCCCTTAAGCCATTTTTTTGTGTCTGCCATTTGACGATGTCTGCAATAAATTCCTAATCTATCATTTTAGCCTCGGTCTCCACTTTTCTCCTCTCTATTTTCTGGGTGAAGAGGCAGTTAAGAATAAAGGCTCACTTTCAGGCTGCTTGGGATCAAAAGCCATTCTGCCAAGAACTGGGTGGTGTCCTTGGACAAGTTACCTAAGCACACTAAGCTTCAATTTCCTCACCCACAAAGTAAGGTGTGATAGGCAGAAAATTTGCCCCCCAAAAACATCTATGCTCTAATCCCTAGAACTTGAGAATATGTGACATTACAAGGCAAAGAGACCATTCAGACAGAATTAAGGTTAGGGATCTTAAAATAGGAAGATTTTCCAGGTGGACTCAATGCAATCATGTTGGACCTTAAGATTGAAAGAGGAAGGCAGAAGAGTTGCTCAAGGAGTAAGACAGAAGAAGACATAGGAAAGATATAAAGCATGAGAGAAGGTTGATCTTCCATTGCTGGCTTGGAGAAGAGCAAAAGGGGGCCACAAGTCGAAGACTAAGGGTATCCTCTAGGAGCAGGAAAGAGCCCTTAGCTGAGAACCATGAAAGAAACCAAGATCTTAGTCTCACAAACACAGGAAGTGGATTTTGCCAACAACCTGAATGAGCAAAACACCATATTCTCCCCAGAGGTCCCAGAAACAAATATCACCCTGCTCACACCTTTATTTTAGCCCTGCAAAGCCCATACTGGACTTTTGAGCTACAGAACTGTAAGATAATATATTTGTTTTGTTTTAAGCCGCTGTAAGATTTAAGTTCTGTTATGGCAGTGATGGAAAATGAATAAGAATAAGTACAGGTAAGTCACACAGGACAGCGACTGACAGAGTGAGTGGTAACCTATGCTACTTCTCGTGACTATTGTTAGTCATCCACCGCCCTGTCCATTCTGAGTACTTTCCTTCCTGCACACTCCTACCTTCTTCTTATCTTGCTTCCCCATATGTGCCTTTAGACATTCTTCCTCACTTCAAAATCCATCTCCAATGACAACTTCTTCAAGAAGTTTTTCTGGACCCCCTCAGCCAGGTGCAATCTCTTCTAAAGCAACATATTTTTTTTCGTATCTTTCCTAGCTATTATATTTACTTAAACTTTAGGTTGTATAAAGGGGTTTCTCTGTTAAATTCTGTATGCTGTGATATGCTATGCAGTGATAACAAACAGCCTGCAAATCCCCAGATCTTGGCTTAACACACTAGGCATATTTCCTCTTTTTCTTTTTTTTTTTTTTTTAAAAAAAGCTTTAGTTTTATACGTTAAGAATGCTTAACATGAGATTTATCCTCTTACAAAATGTTTTCAGTGCACAGTATTGTTGACTATAGGTACAATGCTATGCATCAGCTCTCTAGAGCTTACTCATCTTGCTTAACTGAAATTTTATGCCTGCTGATTAGTAACTCCTCATTTCCCCCTGCCTCAGTCCCTGGCAACCACCATTCCACTCTTTAATTCTATGCATTTGACTATTGTAGATATCTCATATAAGTGGAACCATGCGGTATTTGTCCTTCTGTGACTGGCTTATTTCACTTAGCATAATGTCCTCAAGGTTCATCCATGTTGTTGTATATTAGAGAATTTCCTTTTTTAAGCCTGAAAAATATTCCACTGTATGTGTACACCACATTTTCTTTATCTATTCATCTGTCAATGTACATTTAGGTTATTTCCATATTTTGGCAACTGTGAATAGGGCTGTAATAAATATGAGAGTGCTAATATATATTCAAAATGCTGATTTCAATTATATTGTATAAGTACCCCTAGAAGTGGGATTGCTGGATAATATGGTAGTTTTATTTTTAATTTTCTAAGGAACCTCCATATTGTTTTCCATAGTGGCTGAACCATTTTTCATTCTCACTCACAGTGTATAAGAATTCTAATTTCTGGCCGGGAGCGGTGGCTCACGCCTGTAATCCCAGCACTTTGGGAGGCCGAGGTGGGCGGATCACTAGGTCAGGAGATCGAGTCCATCCTGGCTAACACGGTGAAACCATCTCTACTAAAAATACAAAAAATTAGCCAGGAGTGGTGGCAGGTGCCTGTAGTCCCAGCTACTCGGGAGGCTGAGGCAGGAGAATGGCGTGAACCTAGGAGGCAGAGCTTGCAGTGAGAAGAGATTGTGCCACTGCACTCCAGCCTGGGCGACAGAGTGAGACTCCATCATCTCAAAAAAAAAAAAAAAAAAAAAAAAAGCCAATTTCTTCACATCCCTGCCAAGACTTGTTGTCTTTTCAGATGTATTTCTTGCTCAGGTTACGTATCTATGGCAGGCTGGTTGGAGGTTCTTGTCCTACCACACTTTCCTGGGGCTAAGAATGACAGAGAAACTGCCATCTGGAACATCCCCAGTGACATACATACTGGCTCTTAAAGCTTCTTCTCAGTAGTGACACACATCACTTCTGTTCATAGTTCACTGGCCAGATGAAATACAATGTCTGCAACTAGCATCAGTATGGAAATGGACCAGCAATTTTGCCTTGTGCATAAAAGGAAGAGAGCTGGATATATCTGGTGGACAACTTTCATGACAACCACAAGTTCCTCTCCCACAGCAACTCCCTAGGAAGAAGTATTTTCCCCCAGTTGCCATTTTACAGATGAAGAGCTTGAGTCAGAAAAGATAGTGGTTGGCCACATTCCTCTAAGTGACAGGATTAGAACTTGGACTCAACTGTCCTTCTATCCTTCCTTCGTCCCTGCTGTGACTATGAAAGGCTACTATGTGCCTGACACTGTGCTGAGAGTGCAGCAGAGGACAGGCTCAGCTCAGTTCTGACCTCATGCATGCAGTCTGCTGCTGTGCCCAGTTCTCCATCTAGCCCTCCACACCTGTCTCCCTTATCTCACTCTGCCTACCTGGTTTATATGTGCTACCTGTTGTTGAAGCTGTTCTCCTCTCCGCCTGTACTAGATTGTAAGCAGCTGGAGGGTAGGGGTGAGATCTTCAACTTTGAATCCTTTGCAATCCCTAATACATTAGTCAGTCAACAAATGTTCCTTGGGCGGAACACAAAATTGAAAACAAAATTCACTTTAGATGCCAAACATTTGTTCTTTGCTTATATCCACCCATGTGTTCCCAAAACTAGTGTATCAATAGGGATTTGCATGTGCTTTGCCAGTTTATTATAGAGAACATTAGCAATCAGCATATATTTTAAAAAGATATTAATAAGATCATCAACAACACGTCTCATAAATCATAATGGAAATGGCTAGAGTACTTTCTTACTTTCTTTTTGTTTTCCAAGAGATTGCACTTTTTTCAGTGACTTATACTGACAGTTCTAATTAGCAGCCATGAAAACTCAAGTTTTTAAAGCTATGGCAGATTAAAAAAGAATTTTCCAGAGATATCATAAATCTTCTTCCCATGAGAGATGTCATGTGTCTTACTGATTGGGTTTAAGTGAGAAAGGAAAGCCTGTGGGAAGGAGGATGAAGTTGAGAAAAGATTAAAGGGGAAGGACATGTCTCAGGTATTTGCCTGGTCTTCAGGGGCTGAGTGGACCACTTGTAATTTACTGTGAGTATGCTCTTGACCCAGTGGGAATGTTATGAAAAAGCCTGTATTATTTTATATCTCACAGCTCTGAATCCTGTCTATAACCTAAAAGCTGAACCCTGGCGCAGATGGGAGCCTAGCCTGTCCTCAGTCAACATTGAGTCAGCTTTGATGCTGTCATTGACATTTATTCAACAGATATTTATCAGGAGGCTTCTATGTGCCAGGCCTTGTGCTAGTGACACTTTCCAGGCTTACCAGATGAGGGACTTTCTAAGCTGAGACCTGAAGAATGAGTTCGCCACAGAAAGTTTGGATGCTGGCAAAGGTTGTTACAGGCAGAGAAAATAACAAAAACCAAAGACCTTAGGAGTGAGAGTGAAAGAGATAAATGGTTCCCCCAGTGGAAGAATGGCAGAGGTGATACAATGAGATCCTTGGTGGAAAGGTGCAGGGCAGTGAGGAATGAAGCCAAGCAGGGCCCTGGGTGCTAGAAGGAGTTTGCAGCAGCAAGGTGGTAAGGGATGGAGAATAGAGCCCATTCACATTTTTTTTTTTTTTTGGAGAAATCCCTGCCTTGCAGAATGGAGAATGAATTAGGGTAAGGTGGAAACAAGAATGAAGGTATGGGCCAGGTGTGGTGGCTCACACCTGTAATCCCAGCACTTTGGGAGGCCGAGGTGGGTGGATCACCTGAGGTCGGGAGTTCGAGACCATCCTGGCTAACACGGTAAAACCCCGTCTCTACTAAAAATACAAAATTAGCCGGACGTGGTGGTGCATGCCTGTAATCCCAGCTACTTGGTAGGCTGAGGCAGGAAAATCACTTGAACCTGGGAGGCGGAGGTTGCGGTGAGCCGAGATCGCACCATTGCATTTCAGCCTGGGCAACAAGAGCGAAATGCCTTCTCCAAAAAAAAAAAAAAAAAAGAAGGTATGGAGATGAACACGCAACATTATAGGAGCCCAGATCAGAGATGATTACCTGGATTACATCATGGCAGCAAGGGTGGAGGAAAAATGAACAAACCCAAATGGAATCAGGAGGTAGAATTTCTATTTGAAGATTGATTGGATGCAGGGGGTGAGGAATAGAGCTCACTAGTTTTTTGAGGGCTCCATATTTAAGTGACTATTTTGTTCCAGGAATTCTACAAGATGTTTATATTTATTCCTCATCTCACACTATGAGGGAAGTCATATTTAGCGCTATTTTATGAATGGGGAAACTGAAGCTTGGCAAGGTTAGGTGTATTTCCATTAACACACAGTCTGTGTCCAGAGTTCACCTTTTAACCCCGAGGATACCCTTTCCCTACTCTTGTCTCCCAGGTTTCTGGTTGGGGTGTCTCAGAAGAGAGTGGTGACATTTTCTGAGGAGGGAAGCACTAGAAGAGAAAACATTTTAGTAGGAGTTTTCCCAGAATAACTGATGGAGAACCAGCTACCAGACTTCCCTGGACAATGACATCCACAACCTTGCACTTCCCAACCTATAGGAATGTCCTACAGAAAGTTTCCTTTCTCTGCATCCTGTCTGGATGGGTTCTTGGTCTGTGTCTCTGTTTCTTAGTCGCTGTTCCTGGGGAGCTGGGTCTGGCCTGCTCCTGTCCCTCAGCCCCAGTTTAGCACCCTGGTGGGGATAGGGGCCCCTATGTATACCCTTCCTTTAGCCTCTTAGCAGTTAACTTTTAAATTAGCAACGGAAATCTTCCTGGGAATAAGAAATGGGGTAGGCCCTGGGAGAGTGAAAAATGCCTGAGATAAAGGAGGAGGCGAGGTACCTGGTATATTAGAGCAGTTGACTGGGGAGCAGCTGCATTAACCATGGACAAGGTACCTACTTCATTTCAAGCCTGTTTCCCCATCTGTATGTAAAACACAAGAAGGAATAATGCTTGCTTGCCTCATAGTTGTTGTAAGAATCAAATACAATAATAGATGACTGTATTCTGAAAATACGGACACTTTTTGCAAATGAAAGGGCTTAAAATTCTGATATAACAAGTTAGAATCAGACACAAGTACTGGAAGTTCGTCCTGATTATTTTACAGGTGAGGAAAACCAGGCTGAGGCTGAGAGATTAAATGACTTTTTCCAAAGTCACCCTCAAAATTAATGTTCTAGCCAGTTTTAGATGGCAAATCCTGACTGGCAAATCAAGCTGAGGGTTGTTTCCATCGTATTGCTTTGGAAGGATCACACAGTAATTGGCAATCACATTGACTGGGGTTTGACTCCAGTTGTGCCATTTACTAATTATGTGGTCTTGGCCAATTTATGTAATCTTTCCGAGCTCCAAATTGTTTCATATGTGGAAAAATGGAGTATCCCTTTTTTTTTTTTTTTTTTTTTTTTTACCGGGGTTGCCAGACACGTCCCCAGAAAAATGGAGTATCCTTAATTGTTAACTCAAAAGGTTGTTATGAAGATGAGATGAGATTAATGCTTTCAGGTACTGGATAAACAAGGTAGTGATTATTACTATGATAAGATAATACATTATGCATTTACTTCATATCACCACATTCCCCATCCACCCCAATTGAAGATTGACCTGAACTTCGAGGCTTACAGCCTAACCCAATACATCCCTGATCTTAATTTGTTCTTCCACATATTTTACTGATAGAACCAGGGTTTAGGCCAAAGAGAGCACCATTCTCTAATGATCCCAATATTTGTTCAAGTTCACCCTGAAAGTCCATTGCAGGATCTATCTTAGTTTGAAGCATGGTCAAGAGGTTGTGTGTGTACCGTGTTCCAACCAAATTGAGTATTTTATGCAAATAACTGAGGAGGGGTGGAAGGAGAGATGGAGTTTGATTGATGTAGGATTAGAGCGTCCACTATATTTTTTTCAGGGCAATCCTCATTCAGAGGTGTAAAAGTCTTGGAAAATTAAGAGAACCCAAAGGTACGATCTGATTTCACTCTAGGGAATTGTACTTTGAGCCATCAAAGATAACATTCAGGATCAGATCATCTCTCAAAGTTAAAGCATTAGAGAAGAATAAAAACATTTTTGAATCCAGGGAGATGTCATTAAAATGAGTTCTGGGTTCAGCTACCCCCAAACATCCAGCGATCATACATAAGGCTAGAGGCTGAGCCTGTCTCCTTGATAAACAGGAACTATGAATCACTATCACAGTGGGTTTAATCACATCTTGCTTATAAGCAAAAGGCTCTTGCCTCTGCCCAGGTTCCCTTCCCAACTTCATTCTATGTGAATTTTAATTAAAGTTTTCAGTTGGTTAATGCTTCTTCTCTTGTCTTATGGAAATGATAACAGAGGGCATAAATACCAGCATATACATATGCATTTTGATAAAAAGGCATTGGAATTTGAGTTCAGTCTCTTTATAGAAAGAATTACGTAACTCCTTTAATGGTGATAGGTATTTATGGCATCGTTTTTGATACACTCCTTTAACTTGGTTTCTAAAACTCCAGACTTTCCTGTGTTTTTGTAACCTCACTGGCTGCTCCTTCTCAGTCCCTTCTGATGGCTCTTTATGACTTCTAAGTGTTCAAGGGCTCAGGGCTTGGCTCCCTCCTCTGCACTAGAGTCCCATGTAATCTTATTCAGTCCCATGGATTTAAATACTGTATGCTGATGATTCCTAAAATACTGAAGTCCAGTCTGGATCTTCTCCCTCACCTCCAGACTCATGAGCCTGTTCCATATTGCCTTTTGTATGTCTAATGGACATCTCAAACCTAACATGTTGGAAATTGAATTTTTGATTTCTCTCCATTCCATACACCTGTCACTCCACAAATGTTCCCCATCTCAGTAAAATACATCACCATTCTTTGCATTACTGAGACCTAAAACATTAACTGTTCTCTATCCCTCATGCTCCATTTCCCAATTGACCAGAAATCCTATTGGTTTTATTTTTTAAATATGTATTCTGGATTAGATTATTTCTCACCACCTCCACAGCAGTCACCCCATCCAAATTCATAATTATTTGTCTGGACTAATGTAATATTAAGGGAGGAGACCACCCCTCATATTGTCTTATGCCCAATTTCTGCCTCCAAAGAAAGAAGAAGTAAAAACTAAAAGGCAGAAATGAAATCCACAAGCAGACAGCCCAATGCTACACCCTGGCCCTGGTAGTTAAAGATCGACCCCTGACCTAATTGGTTATTTGCATAAAAAAGCACTGTGAAGATCCCTGTCCTATTCTGTTCCGTTCTAATTACTGGTGTATGCGACCCCCAGTCAGGTACCCCCTGCTTGCTCAGTTGATCATGACTCTCTCACGTGGACCCCCTTAGAGTTGTGAGCCCTTAAAAGGGACAGGAATTGCTCACTTGGGGAGCTTGGCTCTTGAGACAGGAGTCTTGCTGACGCTCACGGCCGAATAAACCCCTTTCTTCTTTAACTCAGTATCTGAGGGGTTTTGTCTGCGGCTCTTCCTGCTACAATATCCTCCCAACTGGTCACCCTTCTTTAAATCTGTAATGGTCTATTTTACATATATCAGCTTACAGGATTTCTCAACCTAAGAACTATTGACATTTGAGGCCAGATAATTCTTTGTGGTGGGGACCTGTCATGTATATTGCAGGGTGTTTAACAATATCACTAGCCTGTACCCATTAGACACCAGTAGCTCCCATCCCCAAGTTGTGGCATCCAAAAATGTCTCCTGGGGAGAAAAATCATGCCCAGTTGAGAACCACTAAGTTAGAGAGAGATCCTTTAAAAATGTAAATCAGATCAAATTGCTCTCTGGCTGGAAACTTTTAAATGGTTTCCCATCATCTTTAAGATAAGATCCAAGTTCCTGACAATGGCTCACAAACATGTTCCTTCTGCCTGAAATGCCTTTCCCCTGCCTTTTCACTTGGCTAATACCCATTCATCCTTCTAGTCCTAGGTTAAATGCAACTTCCTCCAGAAAGCCTTCCCTGGCCTATCCCCTGATCTGGGTTAAGGTCTCTGCTCCATGTTTCCATAAATTCTGGCTCTTCTCTTGACATAGTGCAAATCACAATACATTGTAATTGTCTGATAGTAACTGAAATCCTTGAGAGTAAGGAATGTGTCTTATTTATCACCATATCCTTCCCTTGTGCATAGCATGGCTTGGAAGAGAGCATTTACATAACTATATGGTGAACTGATATAAGTTATGGACAGAGCCTCTCCTGCACTACAGACAGGCATGTGATACTCCCACCTCCATTTGAGACTCTTGTAGTAGATAGAACTATAAAGCTAGATACTAACATGGCTAAGCAATTTTCCTTTTTTATTCAGTAGTTCCAAAATTACTCTGGTGAAATATCAAGGGCAATCTCTGCTCTTAGGGGGGTCCTTAAGAGCAACCCCTAATTCAACAAATACTTATTGAGCACCTGCTATGAGCTGGTCACTGAACTGGGTGCCAGAACTGTGGTGGATGGGAATTTACACATGCAGGAATTGGGGAGCTTACATGAAAGCAAGGGTTGGTGAATAACAACATAAGTAACTTAACTGCTATTGTGAACATCAGGGAAAATGGGGCAGAGAAGGGAAATGCATAGGCATCATATCCTAGAGAAAGTTTTGTGTGTGCTTGAGAAGAATGTGCATTCTGCCACTTTTGGATGGAATGTTCTGCATATAGTCTGTTAGGTCCTTTTGGTATAAAGTGTAGTTCAAGTCCAATGTTTCCTTATGGATTTTTCTGTGGATAAGTTATCCATTGTTGAAAGTGGGGTCTTGAAGTTCTCTGCTATTGTTATATTGCTATTTCTTCCTTTAGACCTATTAATATTTGCTTTGTATATTTAGGTACTCTGATGTTGACTTCACATATATTTATAGTTATTATATCCTCTTGATCAATGTACCCTTTCATCATTATATAATGATGCCCTTTGTCTGTTGTTACAATTTATGACTTAAAGTGTATTTTTTCTGATATAAATACAGTGACCTCTGCTCTCTTTTGGTTTCCAATTGTATGAAATATCTTTTTCTATACAATTGCTTTCAGCCTATGTGTGTACTTAAAGCTGAAGCAAGTCTCTTATAGGCAGCATGTAGTTGGGTCTTGCTTTTTTATTCATTCAGCCACTCTATATCTTTTTATTGGATAATTTAATCCAATTACATTTAAAGTAATTATTGAAAGATAAAGACTTACTATTGACATTTTGTTCATTGTTTCTGGCTGTTTTGTAGTCCCTTTCTTTCTTCTTCTCTTTGTGATTTGATGATTTTCTGTAGTGGTATGCCTTGATTCCTTTCTCTTTATCTTTTTTGTACCTACTGTAGGTTTTTGCATACATAAAACATCTTACGTAAGGAGGCTTATGTAAAGCATCTTAGCATTGTAACAATCTATTTGAGTTATAACAATCTATTTGAACCTATTTGAAATTTAGAGTTTAAATTATATGCAATTAACAAATTCTACATTTTTACTTGCCTCTTCATTTTGTTTTTGATGTCACAATTCCTATGTTTTTATATTATGTATCTATTGATAAATGGATCTACAACATATATATAACAAACCAATAACAAATTATTTAAATATAATTATTTTTGGTACTTTTATCTTTTAGCCTTTATACTAAAGCAAGAAGTGATTTATATACCACCATTACAGTATTAAAGAGATATCAAGAATACACAGTGGAAAAGGATAGTCTTTTCAATAAATGGTCTTGGAAAAACTAGATGTCCACATGCAAAGAAAAAAAAAAAAAAGAAATTTAACTCTTATTTTGTACTACGCACAAAAAATCAGCTGAAGACAGATTTAAGACTTAAAGTAAGACCAGAAACTGTAAAACTCCTAGAAGAAAACATAGAGCAAAAGCTTTTTGACATTGGTCTTGGCAATAACTTTTTGAATATGGCATCAAAACACAAATAGAAAAAGCACAAATTAACAAGCAAGTCTACATCAAACTAAAAAGTTTCCATACATCAAAGGAAGCAATCAAAATGAAAAGGCAATTATGGAATTGGAGAAAACATTTGCAAACCATATACCCAATAAGGGGTTAATATTCAAACTATATATGACACTCTTACAACTCAATGGCAAAAAATCCCCAAATAACCTAGTTAAAAATGGACAAGAAACTGAATAGCTATTTTTCCAAAAAAGACAGAAAGGTGGCCAATGTGTATATGAAAAGGTGCTCAACATTACTAGTCAACAGGGAAAAGCTAATCAAAATCAGAATGAGAGATCCCCTTACAATTCTTAGAATGGTTATTATCAAAAAGCCAAAGATGACAAATGTTGGTGAGGATGTGAAGAAAACAGAATTTTTATATATTGTTGGTGTGAATGTAAATTGGTATAGCCATTACAGCAAATAATGTGAAGGGCCCTCAAAAAAGTAAAAATAAAACTAAATACACTCCAGCAATCCCACTTCTGGGTACATATCCAAAGGAAATAAAATCAGCATCTCACAAAGATATATGCACTGTCATGTTCATTGTAGCACTATTCACAATAGCCAAGATATAGAAACAACTTAAGTATTCATGGATGGATGAATGAAAAAGAAAATGTGGTATATATATTCAGCCTTAAAAAAGAAGTACATCCTACAATTTGTGACAGAATGGTTGAACCTGGAGGGCATTATAAGTGAAATAAGCCAGACACAGAAAGACAAATGACACCTGATCCCACTTATATGTGGAATCTCAAAAAGTCAAACTTACAGGAAGAGAGTAGAAGGGTGGATATCAGGGGTCATGGAATGGGGGAAATAAGATGTTGGTCAAAGAGTATTAACTTGAAGTTATAAAACGAATAATAAGTTCCGGATACCTAAGGTGCAGCTTAGAAACTATAGTGAATAATAATGCATTGCATACTTGAAATTTGCTCATATAATAGATATTAAATGTTATCACCCTGTTCCCCACTACAGGATAACTATGTAAAATGACGGAAATGTTAATTAGCTTGATTATGGATGATAATCATTTCACAACATACACACATATCAAAACATCATGTTGTATACCTTAAATATATATAATTTTTATTTGTCAATTGTACCTCAATAAAGCTAGGAAAAAAATGGGTTCTGCCTTAGGGAGCTCACATTCTAGTTTGGAAAAGGAGAAAAATTGTAGAATTACAGACAATGTGCTAGAATTAGTAAAAATGCATGAAAAACACAGGAGTCCTGAAGGCAGGAGCTACAGGCTGTCCTAGCAGGTGGAGCTGAGATCAGGAAAGGGTCCCCTGAGAAAGTGAAATTGGAGCTGAATTGTGAAGAAGGAGTATATTAGAGAGACAGCATGGAATAGACTCTCCAGGCAAAAGGACAGAGAGGTGAAAACTCAAAAAGGGCCCAGGAGTTTGGAATGGAACAGATCACAAGAGGCCAGAATATAGGAGAAAGAGATGAAGATGGAGAGAGAGAGAGAGAGAAAGAGAGACAGAGAGAAAGAGAGAGAGAGAAAGAAGAGAGAGAAGCAGATGAGGCTAAATTTCACAGGGTTCGAATGATACATTAATAGGTTTAGACTTTATCCTTCAGAGTTGGGGAAGAAGTGATAGAGTCTGATCAAGGTGGTTAAAGGGCTTAGATTTGAGGCATACAGTGAAGGTTTCAGGAAGAGGGCCTAGAAGCAGGGAGGATTCTCACTTGAACCTGGTCTGAACATAAGTCTAACCTCATGACTGACAAAGTCCTATGTGCTAGTTACCTTGGAATCTGAGATCTAAACCCTCAAATGATTAAAGCTAGGTTACAGGGTTTGGCTCACTTGGCTTAATCAGAGCAGTTGCATTCTGACATAAGAGGAGAAAATGAATTATGCCATTGAAATACAGGTGGGTTTCATCAGTTCCTTCCTTCTCCTAACTGCCTAGAAACTAGTCCGGGACGTTATGAAGTCCATTTTGGATTAATGCAACAATGTGTTATCTACCGCTTTACTTTCAAGGCTGCTCAATGACACCAGATTAAACAGTCCAAAAGGAAATTTTCAGTCCACCATTCTTTTATTGAGCACTTACTAATTTATTCTTTATTTTCTGTGTAACATTCAGTCCTTTGCCTAGTTTTCAAAACCCTTTATAATTTAACCCCACTTTCCTACTTATTTTATTGTTATTCTCTCCATCAGGCCTTGTTTACTTCATCAGACCATCATTATTCTTATTTCTCCATTTTTGCACGTACTGTTAAACTTTTCTCATGTCTACCTATGTAAAAATGTACTGTTACATGCTAATAAAATACTATTTATTAGGATATTTATTCATTTACTTATTCACTAGCTCAACATACATTCATCAAGGCTCTTTGGGAGGTGCTGGAGTTATAGGGGTGGGCAAGGCAGAAAGGTCCTTACCTTCATGGAGCTTGGAGTCAGCCTTGAGCTTTGTTATTTGTTATTTGAAATGCAGTCCTCAGACCAGCAGCATCACCTGAGAGCTTGTTAGAAATAAAAATTCTTAGGCCTCACCCCAGAACTATGGAACTAGAATCTGCATTTTAACAAGATCCCTAGGTAATTTAAATACACAATAAATTTTCAGAAGCAATGTGTGGGAGACAGGTGTTGAACAAGCAACTGTAATAGTATATAAAGGCTGCTATGATGCTGCAAGAATAGGGATAAGAGAGCTAGCCCCACATTGTTAAATGTTCGATTATTTAATGGGCATTTTTTTACTCAATTAAGTAAACAATAATTGCATACATGTGTATGTTCACACATGACATTTTTCTTGAGAATCCACCACTCACCTAGTTCAGTTCTTAGTCCACTGTAGGTGCCTAACACATATTTTTGCTAACATTGATTGATTAAGTTGTTTACAGAAGCCCTCAAACAAATTTGAGGGTTTTAGAGGTTTCAGCAAATGATGGAATTGTTCAATTTTTGCTGGTACAGTTTTGATTTATTGAGTGTGGGGGTTTTTGTCTTGATGCAACAGAAAGGGAATGTTGTTTATTCTTTTCAAAGCCCTATCATTTCAGTATAAACAGGGGTGGAAAATTCACAAGATGAAATGTAACCCAATTTTGCACAGAAAAATGTTTGCTCTGTGGTTCAAGGCTATGGATGAGTTTGCTCTTTCTGTGAATTTGCAGAGAGCTGGATGATTTGTGATTTAGCCAATACCTCCAATCTAACTGCCCCAACACACTCTTTACTGTGTAATACCTTAGACTCAACTGGTTAAAAAATGCACTACTTAACACCAACTTTTCTACTTTTTCTCTTTTTTCAATTAATTAATTAATTTTATTTTATTATTATTATACTTTAAGTTTTAGGGTACATGTGCACAATGTGCAGGTTAGTTACATATGTATACATGTGCCATGCTGGTGTGCTGCACCCATTAACTCGTCATTTAGCATTAGGTATATCTCCTAATGCTATCGCTCCCCCCTCTCCCTACCCCACAACAGTCCCCAGACTGTGATGTTCCCCTTCCTATGTCCATGTGTTCTCATTGTTCAATTCCCACCTATGAGTGAGAATATGCGGTGTTTGGTTTTTTGTTCTTGTGATAGTTTACTGAGAATGATGATTTCCAATTTCATCCACGTCCCTACAAAGGACACGAACTCATCATTTTTTATGGCTGCATAGTATTCCACGGTGTATATGTGCCACCTTTTCTTAATCCAGTCTATCACTGTTGGACATTTGGGTTGGTTCCAAGTCTTTGCTATTGTGAATAGTGCTGCAATAAACATACGTGTGCATGTGTCTTTATAGCAGCATGATTTATAGTCCTTTGGGTATATACCCAGTAATGGGATGGCTGGGTCAAATGGTATTTCTAGTTCTAGATCCCTGAGGAATCGCCACACTGACTTCCACAATGGTTGAACTAGTTTACAGTCCAACCAACAGTGTAAACCTGTTCCTATTTCTCCACATCCTCTCCAGCACCTGTTGTTTCCTGACTTTTTAATGACTGCCATTCTAACTGGTGTGAGATGGTATCTCATTGTGGTTTTGATTTGCATTTCTCTGATGGCCAGTGATGGTGAGCATTTTTTCATGTGTCTTTTGGCTGCATAAATGTCTTCTTTTGAGAAGTGTCTGTTCATGTCCTTCGCCCACTTTTTGATGGGGTTGTTTGTTTTTTTCTTGTAAATTTGTTTGAGTTCATTGTAGATTCTGGATATTAGCCCTTTGTCAGATGAGTAGGTTGCAAAAATTTTCTCCCATTTTGTAGGTTGCCTGTTCACTCTGATGGTAGTTTCTTTTGCTGTGCAGAAGCTCATTAGTTTAATTAGATCCCATTTGTCAATTTTGGCTTTTGTTGCCATTGCTTTTGGTGTTTTAGACATGAAGTCCTTGCCTATGCCTATGTCCTGAATGGTAATGCCTAGGTTTTCTTCTAGGGTTTTTATGGTTTTAGGTCTAACGTTTAAGTCTTTAATCCATCTTGAATTAATTTTTGTATAAGGTGTAAGGGAGGGATCTAATTTCAGCTTTCTACATATGGCTAGCCACTTTTCCCAGCACCATTTATTAAATAGGGAATCCTTTCCCCATTGCTTATTTTTCTCAGGTTTATCAAAGATAAGATAGTTGTAGATATGCGGCATTATTTCTGAGGGCTCTGTTCTGTTCCATTGGTCTATATCTCTGTTTTGGTACCAGTACCATGCTGTTTTGGTTACTGTAGCCTTGTAGTATAGTTTGAAGTCAGGTAGCGTGATGCCTCCAGCTTTGTTCTTTTGGCTTAGGATTGACTTGGCGATGCGGGCTCTTTTTTGGTTCCATATGAACTTTAAAGTAGTTTTTCCAATTCTGTGAAGAAAGTCATTGGTAGCTTGATGGGGATGGCATTGAATCTATAAATTACCTTGGGCAGTATGGCCATTTTCACGATATTGATTCTTCCTACCCATGAGCATGGAATGTTCTTCCATTTCTTTGTAACCTCTTTTATTTCCTTGAGTAGTGGTTTGTAGTTCTTGAAGAGGTCCTTCACGTCCCTTGTAAGTTGGATTCCTAGGTATTTTATTCTCTTTGAAGCAATTGTGAATGGGAGTTCACTCATGATTTGGCTCTCTGTTTGCCTGTTATTGGTGTATAAGAATTCTTGTGATTTTTGTACATTGATTTTGTATCCTGAGACTTTGCTGAAGTTGCTTATCATCTTAAGGAGATTTTGGGCTGAGACAATGGGGTTTTCTAGATATACAATCATGTCATCTGCACACAGGGACAATTTGACTTCCTCTTTTCCTAATTGAATACTCTTTATTTCCTTCTCCTGCCTAATTGCCCTGGCCAGAACTTCCAACACTATGTTGAATAGGAGTGGTGAGAGAGGGCATCCCTGTCTTGTGCCAGTTCTCAAAGGGAATGCTTCCAGTTTTTGCCCATTCAGTATGATATTGGCTGTGGGTTTGTCATAGATAGCTCTTATTATTTTGAGATACGTCCCATCAATACCTAATTTATTGATAGTTTTTAGCATGAAGGTTGTTGAATTTTGTCAAAGGCCTTTTCTGCATCTATTGAGATAATCATGTGGTTTTTGTCTTTGGTTCTGTTTATATGCTGGATTACATTTAGTGATTTGCATATATTGAACCAGCCTTGCATCCCAGGGATGAAGCCCACTTGATCATGGTGGATAAGCTTTTTGATGTGCTGCTGGATTCAGTTTGCCAATATTTTATTGAGGATTTTTGCATCAATGTTCATCAAGGATGTTGGTCTAAAATTCTCTTTTTTGGTTGTGTCTCTGCCCGGCTTTGATATCAGGATGATGCTTGCCTCATAAAATGAGTTAGGGAGGTTTCCCTCTTTTTCTATTGATTGGAATAGTTTCAGAAGGAATGGTACCAATTCCTCCTTGTACCTCTGGTAGAATTCGGCTGTGAATCCATCTGGTCCTGGACTTTTTGTTGGTAAGCTATTAATTATTGCCACAATTTCAGAGCCTGTTATTGGTCTACTCAGATATTCAACTTCTTGCTGGTTTAGTCTTGGGAGGGTGTATGTGTCGAGGAATTTATCCATTTCTTCTAGATTTTCTAGTTTATTTGCGTAGAGGTGTTTGTAGTATTCTGATGGTAGTTTGTATTTCTGTGGGATTGGTGGTGATATCCCCTTTATTATTTTTTATTGCATCTATTTGATTCTTCTCTCTTTTCTTCTTTATTAGTCTTGCTAGTGGTCTATCAATTTTGTTGATCCTTTCAAAAAACCAGCTCCTGGATTCATTAATTTTTTGAAGGGTTTTTTGTGTCTCTATTTCCTTCAGTTCTGCTCTGATTTTAGTTATTTCTTGCCTTCTGCTAGCTTTTCAATGTGTTTGCTCTTGCTTTTCTAGTTCTTTTAATTGTGATGTTAGGGTGTGAAGTTTGGATCTTTCCTGCATTCTCTTGTGGGCATTTAGTGCTATAAATTTCCCTCTACACACTGCTTTGAATGCGTCCCAGAGATTCTGGTATGTTGTGTCTTTGTTCTCGTTGGTTTCAAAGAACATCTTTATTTCTGCCTTCATTTTGTTATGTACCCAGTGGTCATTCATAAGCAGGTTGTTCAGTTTCCATGTAGTTGAGTGGTTTTGAGTGAGTTTCTTAATCCTGAGTTCTAGTTTGATTGCACTGTGGTCTGAGAGACAGTTTGTTATAATTTCTGTTCTTTTACATTTGCTGAGGAGAGCTTTACTTCCAACTATGTGGTCAATTTTGGAATAGGTGTGGTGCGGTGCTGAAAAAAATGTATATTCTGTTGATATGGGGTGGAGGGTTCTGTAGATGTCTATTAGGTCCGCTTGGTGCAGAGCTGAGTTCAATTCCTGGGTATCCTTGTTAATTTTCTGTCTCGTTGATCTGTCTAACATTGACAGTGGGGTGTTAAAGTCTCCCATTATTATTGTGTGGGAGTCTAAGTCTCTTCATAGGTCACTCAGGACTTGCTTTATGAAACTGGGTGCTCCTGTATTGGGTGCATATATATTTAGGATAGTTAGCTCTTCTTGTTGAATTGATCCCTTTACCATTATGTAATGGCCTTGTCTCTTTTGATCTTTGTTGGTTTAAAGTCTGTTTTATCAGAGACTAGGATTGCAACCCCTGCCTTTTTTTGTTTTCCATTTGCTTGGTAGATCTTCCTCCATCCTTTTATTTTGAGCCTATGTGTGTCTCTGCACGTGAGATGGGTTTCCTGAATACAGCACACTGATGGGTCTTGACTATCCAATTTGCCGCTCTGTGTCTTTTAATTGGAGCATTTAGTCCATTTACATTTAAAGTTAATATTCTTATGTGTGAATTTGATCCTGTCATGATGATGTTAGCTGGTTATTTTGCTTGTTAGTTGATGCAGTTTCTTCCTAGCCTTGATGGTCTTTACAATTTGGCATGATTTTGCAGTGGCTGGTACTGGTTGTTCCTTTCCATGTTTAGTGCTTCCTTCAGGAGCTCTTTTAGGGCAGGCCTGGTGGTGACAAAATCTCTCAGCATTTGCTTGTCTGTAAAGTATTTTATTTCTCCTTCATTTATGAAGCTTAGTTTGGCTGGATATGAAATTCTGGGTTGAAAATTCTTTTCTGTAAGAATGTTGAATATTGGCCCCCAGTCGCTTCTGGCTTGTAGAGTTTCTGCCGAGAGATCCGCTGTTAGTCTGATGGGCTTCCCTTTGTGGGTAAGCCGACCTTTCTCTCTGGCTGCCCTTAACATTTTTTCCTTCATTTCAACTTTGGTGTATCTGACAATTACGTGTCTTGGAGTTGCTCTTCTCGAGGAGTATCTTTGTGACATTCTCTGTATTTCCTGAATCTGAATGTTGGCCTGCCTTGCTAGATTGGGGAAGTTCTCCTGGATAATATCCTGCAGAGTGTTTTCCAACTTGGTTCCATTCTCCCCATCACTTTCAGGTACACCAATCAGACATAGATTTGGTCTTTTCACATAGTCCCATATTTCTTGGAGGCTTTGTTCATTTCTTTTTATTCTTTTTTCTCTAAACTTCCCTTCTCGCTTCATTTCATTCATTTCATCTTCCATCACTGATACCCTTTCTTCCAGTTGATCGCATCGGCTCCTGAGGCTTCTGCATTCTTCACGTAGTTCTCAAGCCTTGGCTTTCAGCTCCATCAGCTCCTTTGAGCACTTCTCTGTATTGGTTATTCTAGTTATACATTCATCTAAATTTTTTTCAAAGTTTTCAACTTCTTTGCCTTTGGTTTGAATTTCCTCTTGTAGCTCGGAGTAGTTTGATCGTCTGAAGCCTTCCTCTCTCAACTCGTCAAAGTCATTCTCTGTCCAGCTTTGTTCCGTTGCTGGTGAGGAACTGCGTTCCTTTGGAGGAGGAGAGGTGCTCTGCTTTTTAGAGTTTCCAGTTTTTCTGCTCTGTTTTTTTCCCCATCTTTGTGGTTTTATCTACTTTTGGTCTTTGATGATGGTGATGTACAGATGGGTTTTTGGTGTGGATGTCCTTTCTGTTTGTTAGTTTTCCTTCTAAGAGACAGGACCCTCAGCTGCAGGTCTGTTGGAGTTTGCTAGAGGACCACTCCAGACCCTGTTTGCCTGGGTAACAGCAGCGGTGGCTGCAGAACCGCGGATTTTCGTGAACCGCAAATGCTGCTGTCTGATCGTTCCTCTGGAAGTTTTGTCTCAGAGGAGTACCCGGCCGTGTGAGGTATCAGCCTGCCCCTACTGGGGGGCGCCTCCCAGTTAGGCTGCTTGGGGGTCAGGGGTTAGGGACTCACTTGAGGAGGCAGTCTGCCCGTTCTCAGATCTCCAGCTGCATGATGGGAGAACCACTGCTCTCTTCAAAGCTGTCAGACAGGGACATTTAAGTCTGCAGAGGTTACTGCTGTCTTTTTGTTTGTCTGTGCCCTGCCCCCAGAGGTGGAGCCTACAGAGGCAGGCAGGCCTCCTTGAGCTGTGGTGGGCTCCACCCAGTTCGAGCTTCCTGGCTGCTTTGTTTACCTAAGCAAGCCTGGGCAATGGCGGGGGCCCCTCCCCCAGCCTTGCTGCCGCCTTGCAGTTTGATCTCAGACTGCTGTGCTAGCAATCAGCGAGACTCCGTGGGGGTAGGACCCTCCGAGCCAGGTGGGGGATATAATCTCCTGGTGCGCCGTTTTTTAAGTCCATTGGAAAAGCGCAGTATTAGGGCGGGAGTGACCTGATTTTCCAGGTGCCATCTGTCACCCCTTTCTTTGACTAGGAAAGGGAACTCCCTGATCCCTTGCGTTTCCCGAGTGAGGCAATGCCTCGCCCTGCTTCAGCTCGTGCATGGTGCGCTGCACCCACTGTCCTGCGCCCACTGTCTGGCACTCCCTAGTGAGATGAACCTGGTACCTCAGATGGAAATGCAGAAATCACCCGTCTTCTCTGTCACTCACGCTGGGAGCTGTAGACCGGAGCTGTTCCTATTCAGCCATCTTGGCTGTTTCCCCTACTTTTTCATCTCTAACGATATGATGATGCAACCCACAGCTTTCCTTACACATTGAGTTGAGACTATGGGTCAATAAAAGCAACCATGTTTTGAATGCAAGGCAAATTCCTTTTTGTCCCCCCAGTACCTTCTATCTCATTTGAAATGCAATTTCTTCTTTTAGGTTAATTTAAATGAAAGATAATTAATCCTTCTTTGCCTTTCCTCTGGCACTCCCTAGAGTTTTGCATGCTCCAAGTTTGGATGCTAAAGGATGTCTTTTCTACCCACAATTATCCTGATCCTGAGCTTTACCCATCACTTTTAGGTGTGAAACTGTTCAGAAAAATCACTAACATAGAGTCTGTTATTGATTTCTTCCAGACCCTTGAGAAAAGCCACAATCATTGCTAATCCAACAGAATCATAGTATCTCACAGTTAGAAAACACTGCAGACATTTTCTCGTAGGAGTCTCTATGTGAAGAGAATCCCTTCTACACCCCGTACCCCATGGGATCATCCAGCTTCCATCTCAGAACCAGTTATCAAGACTTACTATAAAGCTTAAGTAGTTAAGATAAGGTAATACCCTGGCAAAGACAGACAACTATATCAACAGAACAGAATCAAGAATCCAGACACAGACCTGCATGTATTTGGTAACTGATTTATGTGAAAGTGGTATACAGTAAGAAGAAAGGATGACATTAAAATAAATCATGCAAGTTCAATAGGATATCTATGTACCAACAAACAAACAAAAAATCTTGACCCTCTCTCTCACACATACCTATAGAACACCTAGATCTAAAAGTAAAAGGTAAAGCTGAAACTTTCAGAAGAAACTATAAAAGAATATCTTTATGACTTTGAGGTAGGTAAAGTCTTCTTAAGCAAGACACAAAAAGTACTAGGCATAAAGAAAAAATCTTGTGAAACTGGACTACATTAAAGTTATGTATTTCTGTTCAACATGACACACTGCCAAGACAGTGAAAAGATAAGCCACAGAATGAGAGACAATATTAACAATATATACAACTAAAAAAGGACTTATGTCAAGGCTATATGAAGAATACTTGTACAACAATAAGAAAAGAACAGATGACCTAACAGAAAAGTGACCAAGAGACTTACAAAAGTACTTTATAAAAGAGGATAGCTACTCAAATGGCTAACAAATATGAAAGAAGTACTAGTTGCCAGGGAAATGCAAATTAAAACCATAATGTGATCCTACAACTCATCTACTTGCTAAAAGGAAAAGGGCAAATGTGGAGCAACTGGAACTCATATACATTGCTGATGAGTCTAAATCTGTATGCTACTTCTGAAAACAGTTTGGTAGCATCTACAATAGAAAATATATATAAGTTGACCCAGGAATTCCACTCCTAGTTATGCATCCAACAGAAATACACATACCAAAAGACTTTTACAAGAATCTTCACAGCAGCCCTATTTATAATGGCCTTACACTGGGAACAACCCAAATGTTCATCCAGAAAGAATGAATAAATAAATTGTGGTATATCCACAAAATGGAATACTATAAAATAATGAGAATGAATGAACTACAACTATATGTGATACATGGATGAAGGTCACAATATAATATTGGGCAAAAAGAGCCAGACACAAAAAATAGATACTATATAATTCTATTCAGTAGATTCAAAAACAGTTCAATTCATAAAACTACTCTATGCATCAGAAATCAGGGGAGCGGCTACTCCTGTCATGGGAGAAGTGTGAAGGAGACAAAAAGAGTTACCTGAGATTCTTGATATCATCTATTTCTTAATTTGAGTGCTGATTACACAGGCACTGAAAATTAGTTTTCTGAAAATTAGTTGGGCTGTATATTTATAATTCGTGTCTTATTTATTTGTGTGTTATATCTTAATAAAATTTATAAAAAGAAAATAAATTGTGTGTCAAAGGGGGAAGATGTGGGGAAACTTCACTCCTATCTATACCTTTGTTTGCTCAATGTGTTATCTTAAATTTAAGAGGAAAGAGTCCATTAAGTAAAAAAAGAGGTTGAAGTTAAATAAAAACAAGCATCACCATGAATATGAATCTGCTGTGTGTAAGTAAGAAAATTCCCTTTTCCCTGTCTGAGTTTTGTTGTAACATATATGGTAAAATGTAAGAAGCCTTAGCTTACTAGGGAAGGCTGATATATTTGCTTCTGGTTTAATCATGTGTCTCCCCTTTTTCCCATCCGAGTCAGATGGAGATGAGGACTGACCTTCTACCAATGTCTATCTCTCCTATCTGCATCACCCGTGGATGGCACTTGGGGCCCAGGATACACCTGAACTTTGTAAGTTCACTGTTTCATGTGTGTTAGTCTTATCTTCCTAATGAGACTATACACATCATAAAAGGAAAGACTTGGTGTTCCTTATTTCTATGTATTCTTTATGGTACTAAGGAGAATACAGAACTGGCCATGAGGGCTCAGGAAACACCTTCCTTTGTAGAATGTCAGATCATTCGAAGTGTGAAACCTGAGGCCTGAGAAGAAAAGTGACTTACCCATGGGCACATAGCCACAGTTGTATCTTCTGACTCCTGTCCTTGTCTAGCCAGGCTCTCTACACAGCCTTGATAAAGAAATACACACCATGACCCATTCATTCTGTTCCTCTTGGCCTTACTTCTCAGGTGGATATGCAAAGGCACAGCAACTCAATGTTGCTAGCTTTAACTGTTCTGTCCTACTGACTACATTGAGCAAACATTGCCTAAACATGGAGACTCTGGGCGTGGGATGGAGGAGCAGTTTACATAGTCTCAAAAAGACAGAGGCAGTGACTGGGCTTATTTTAGTGTTCAGATCTCTTGAAGGGTTTCCTGTGGCAAAATAAGAATGCACCAAGAACTAATGCTCCTCCTGTCTCTTTTCATTTGCCTCCAAGGCTTATGATGATGTTCAAGGTCCTACATAACCTGAAAGGTGTTGAAGTCTAAACATTAGTCCTTTAAAAAATTGCTTATTGTTTGTTAAGGGTCACTTGAGCTATTTTCAATAAAAATGCTTCATCCAAGCCTAGATTATAAAATGCTCGATGCTAACTTTACCGGCTATGTGAACTTCTTCAACCTTAGTTTCCCAAAGTATAATATGAGATGATGAGATAAGAAACTATATGTATTTTAAGACCCCATTCTATAGACTCATTAAGGAACTAATGTTTTGATTAATTAGCTTAAAAGTAATCACTGGTGTCTATTGTGGACACAAAAAATTAATAAACACTGACTACATGGAATACTAATAATCACTGACTATAAATGCCATATAGTCCTCTACTTGGAGAGAGAGAGCACATGCCTTTTATTGAGCACTTATTACATGTCAGCACCATGCTAAGCCCTTTAAATACCTTATTCCATTCGATCTTCATAATGATTCCACAATATATAATCCTTATTTTATATATAAAGTATGGCAGATTGTATTTTCCAAAGATGGTCACAATACCCCTACCCCCTCCATTCCACACCTTACAATGCGATGCTGACCCTTCTCTTACTGAAAGGTGGAATCTATGTTCCTTCTCTTTTAATCTGGTTGGGGTTGTGACAATGGCAGAAGTCACACTATGTCATTTTTGAGGGTAGGTTATGAAAGGTGATACAGCTTCTGCCTGCTTCTTTTTGGGACACTTGTTCTTGGAACCCAGCCATCGTGCTGTGAGGAAGCCCACAGAGGAGCCAGGAGAGGGCACGTGTAGGTATTCAGGCCAAAAGCCTCGGCTGCCAGACACGTAAAGGAGGGAGTAAGCCCTCAGATAATTCCTCCCCCCAGCTGTCAAGTTATCCACAGTCTTCTAGATTTTCCATCGAAGGCTCCAGATACAAGCAGAGACAAGTCATCCATGGTGCCCCTTTCCAAATTTCCTGACCCATGAAATCCATGATCTTAATAAAATAACTGTTATTTTTTGTCATGAGTTTGGAGTGGTTTGTTATACAGCAATAGTGGTAGAGGCTCTGACACGAAAACCTAGTTGCCCAGAATCACAAAGAAAATTAGTGTAAGAGGCAGAACTAAGCCCAGGCCTAACTCCAGAGCCCACGCTCTTAGCTGCTCTGTTGAGAAAGCCCTGCATATTTACAATTCCTGCAAAGCCAATATCCATCACTCTTGAGATGTAAAGAAAAATGAACCTAATGCTGACCTCAAAGAAACAAAACCAGGTGCTCAGGAGAGCAGGAACGGACTTGTGGACAGTCTGGTTTGGCAGGGAAGGGTCACTGCCAGAGAAATGAGTAACACTAGCAAAGTGGGCAGGTGTGTGGATTCAGTTCCTATCCAATAACTGAGCTGAGAAATAACACTGGGATGGGATGAGTGATGCTGCCAATATCCTCCAGTCATAACACTGCATCTGGCAGCCTTCCTCCTCCTGCTGGAAATAGCCTCTGGACTTTCCTCTGGCCAGAGGTGGGCCAGCAGCACAGCCAGATAAGGAGATGCCTGTCAGTGAGTCTCAGAAAGCTCTTAGCAGGGAATAAATGATTGGTGGGGGACCAGGGATAGGGTGGGAAGGAAGTGAGGTGATTAACATAATGGAAGGGAAAGAAAATCAAGATTTTTGAGGCTCTGGTATGTGCTAGGTACTAGGTCTCTGTTTGCTCATGTATTCTCATAATGATTCTGTGATATTGGTATGAATGGACCTTTTTTCAAATTTGAGGAAACTGAGACTCAATGGTTAACCTACTGGTTCAAGTCTGAAAGCTTAGTAGCTGCTGGAGCTAGGATCCAAACCCAGGTTTGTCTGAATAATGGGATCCTTGGCCTCAAAACACAGTCATCTCCCCTTCTTTGCTTGACTCGCCCCGCCGACCCCTTTGTCTTACCTGTAATTCCTCCTATAAGTCTTGCTTAATCCCTTGGGACCAGCCCAAGTTTCTCCTTTTCCATAAGCCAGCCCAGATCATTTTAGTCCTCAGTGATCTTTCTCTCTTCTTTACCTATTGACTATTAACCCCACTTTTGGGAATTATTCAAAAGCATGTTCTGCTTTATTATCTATTTTTCTCCTTGAATACCTTGGTTCTTCTACTGTGTCGCAAACTTAGAGGTCTGAACTCACTTCTTGCTTCTTTAAATCTGCCATAATGCTTAGTTAGCCTTGTGCCTAATGCAAGGTTTAGATCCCAGGTGGTGCTCAATTTAAAACATCGGAGTGATGACTCCTTTCTTGTATCTGTAGAAATACATGTCTGCAATAGCCAGAACCAAAATAAAGCAAACTCCCTCTCTATTGATTTTTTTTCCATTCCCAAAATGAGACGTGAAAGAGAAAATGAATCTCAGGGGGGTCCCCAGCCAGGAAGACATTTTTCTAACAGCCTCTTCTACCTGCTGCTCAGGAGATAAAGATAAATAATAACCTGGCAGCAGCGGTGGCCAGTGGGTTCCCCCAAGTGCCCAGCCAGGACCCTTTGAATCCCAGAAGTTAGAATGTGGCTGGCAAAGTTCCATGCATGGTGGACTAAGTCTTAACACCAATCAACAAAGGTGCTCCACAGGAAGTTGAGAGCTACTTCCTAGAGCTCTTCCTGATGGCAGCTGAAGAAGTGGTCCAACATTACCTATTTTACACTCTGTGTGTTTCTAAGGTGACACTTTAATAGCCTCATAGCAGGGTACAGGGCCCCAAAAGTCATGGTATTGGGTTTATCATTAAACTTGGTGAACTCTGAGCCCTTGCCAATGAATACCTAGGAAGGATCTTGATTGACAGGTAGCATGGCTCAACCCACCTTGCTGAGCTATGGTACCTGTCAATCAAGATTCTTTCTAGGTATTCATTGGTATTGGCTCCCTCCCTTACGTGTCTCCCTATCCACCTTAGTGCGCTTGCTCACGATCATCCTCCAGCAGGGATTCCCTCCTCATTTCTCTTTGCTTCTGTGGAAAAATCTTATTTCATCTTTCAAGGCACCATTCATTGCTTCCCAGAAGTCTCTGTTCACCTTAGCCCACACGAATTTTTCCTTTCGTAGAAGAACTCTAGCACTGATTCTATGAAGTACGTGTAACAAAGGGTTTTGTGCAACCCTTGGTTATACATTTCCCTAGTTCCTGTGTTCCAGGGAGGCAGCATGTGGCAGTGAAAAGAGCCTGTAATTTGGATCAGCAAGACCATAACCCACGACTTCCCAGTTCTGTGACCCTGAAGATCTCTAGGTCGTAGCACAACCATTATTGTTCATCCTCCTCAACAGCCGCTTCCTGTTCCTTTGGCATGATGGGCTGGCATTTCTTTCACCAGCTTTCTACTGATGGACACTAAGCCATCTCCTGCTTTTTAAAACAGTGAAACGAATGTCCTTACGCACACATCTTATCACATTTGCACGATCATTTCTATAGGACAAATGGAATTTACCCATAGGATAAATAGATTCCAGATCTCTCTCACAGTCACAATTTTAAGGTCACTTCTGACTCTATTTCCTCATTTTCTCCCCATTTATCCTTCCTACTTAAAGTGCTACAGTTAACAACATGCCCTCTCCAGCTTTGGCTGTGACTATGGAATGTCCCACAGTCCCTTCCCAGCTGAAGCTGACTTTCCAAAGTGGCACCAGTTACATTTTTGCTCATATTTCTGTCTCACCATCTCCCTCACTCCAGCTGAGCAGGCTGCACCTGATCTTGGTGGGGGCAAAATGTTCTCCTGGGTGCTCGCCTCTGCTCCCTCAGGAGATGGCTCTTAAAGACAAAGATACTCTTAGGAATAATAAAAATTGAATAAAAATTCAAAGCAAGGCCCATTAAAAAAACCAGAGTTAGGGAATCCTATAAAGGAAAAAGGATGTCTCCCACTTTTTAAAAAATTATAACAATCCCTGGGGAGCCCTAAGGGACCTTCAGAAGATTGTTGGTCTTGGAAGACAGCTGTGTGTCAAGGATAAATCATGGGTATTAGAATCAGACTGACACAGGTTATAATCTCAGCCCTGCTGGGTACCCACATGCAAGTGAATTAATTTCTCTGAGCCCCAGTTTTCTCATCACAAAATGGTGTTGATATACCAGGCAGAGTTTTCAAGAAGATTAGCAGTAACATGATCTAACACTTGTCAGAGTGCCTGACACATAGTAGGTACAACACATGAAAGAAAGAAATTTTTGCTACTATTTTTCCAGCAAAGAGATCAGAGCTTTCCTGAATAGTGGGGTAGCTGGCAACATTAGGATGACAAGGTAACTTTATTTTCTGGTTCCTTTTATTTCTTTATCTCCAATTCTTCCCACTTCTTCTCCAAATCCATTCAGGGACCAGGACTGAGTTGCCCTGTGTTACACAGGTAGTTAGTGACAGCTGGAAATTCTCCCTATTAGCCGATTTTCTCTTGATTAAATGAAAAACAGGACAGAGTCCTTAGCTATTGTGAAGATGGACATTCAACAAACATATGTTGAGTATTTAGAACATACAACCCCTCATGTCAGGTTTTGAATAAGTTGTAGAAATGAGTCTACCAGTCTCAATAAGAAACAGACATGGTAACTATAGTGCAGGGTTGAAGATTTAAGATGCCCTCAGAGAGGTGTAGGTGACAGCAACAATGGCAACAGCAGCAATAACAACAGCATTTACAGTGTGTCACCCCCGTGCAAGGCAAATGTTTTCCATGAATCTCATCATTTAATCCTCAAAATATCTCATTTGAGGTAGGTCTTATTATTTTTCCTGTTTTCCAGAAGTGGAAACTGGATGTAGGAAAGTTATTTTCTAAAGCTCACACAGCTAGTAGGTAGTAGAGTCAGAATTCAATCCCAGCCGGCCCTGCTGCAGAGTTCAAGCTTATAACTATGACTATAAATCACAGATTCAGAGGAGTAATTGGAGTTGGTTGGGGGAGAGTGAGAAGGCAACATTTGCAAATGGGGAAGGAGTTGAGCAGGAAAGGTGGGAAAAGTCACTCCAAGCAGAGGGAACAATAAAGGCATAATGGGAGCATGGAGCTGGGAGACAGAATGAAGCACAACTTGGCTTGGTTGGAGCCTTGGCTAAGCTGGGAATCATAAGGAGGTGAGCCTTAGGTGGGGAGCTAGGGACATACTAGAGACCATCTTACTTCCATTTTGCAGAGGAAAAAGTGAGACACACAGAGAGAAAGTGACTCATCCAGTGGGTTAGTAGTAGCTGAGATTGAGCTTCTTTTTAAATTCCTTTACCACCTCCTCCATCCCTTGTGACAACAGCTGGTCCTACTTCTGCCTTTGGGTGGGACTCCACTCTGCTTTAGCAGGCAATATGCCTCCTTATTTTGAGGCCGTTTCTCCTTCAGCCACTAGATGCAAACAGTGACTGTCATCAGCTAGGTTTGTGGTTTCTATTAGTGTTCTTGACACCATTTATTTTCTGCTGGGTGTCTTGGACTTAATTCACCTATTATCTCCGTTGGACATAGCTAGAGGTAAAAGCATATGTAAGTGGTGTAGCAAAAATGATTCATTCACCACGGTTGGATGGTGGTACCTAACTCATATTCAAAACCATCAGGCTCCCCATAGGGGTTTCAGCATACTTTCCTCGTCAATTCAATTAGTTATGCTTTCATTTTTTTCTGTCTAGAGCTCAATACTTCTTTGCAGGTGAACAACTGGGTTTCTTGGTCACAGATGCCATATATCCAGTGAGGGTTTAAAAGAAAAACAAGAGGTCGTCTCTGGGAAAATGCAGAACCTACGAAGATGTAGCTAGCCATAAATAGGTTTCTCTGGATACAGGAATTTAGGGACCATCTTTCTTTTAGTGCAGCCACCATTTATGGTCTGGATTTTCCAAAGTGTATGAAAGGAAAGAAAAATACAGCAATCAGATTTCATGCTTGGAATCAAAAATGGAGGGGAAAAGGAGAAAAATTCCCTTAAAAATGTATATATAAATACGATATTCCAAGTGTGTCTAAATGCAGTAAGTACATACGGTGGCTGTTTTATTCCTCACCATTCTTTTAGGGCTCTCAAACTGGTGGCGTACAAGCTGAATCTAGGCATGCTTTTGTTTGGTCTGCATGGAGTTCCCATGGCAATGACTATCCAGAGCCGAGGGGGAGCTATCCTCTCTAGCTGACACATGCATGTGCCGTTCACCACAGCCCCCGGCTGACTTCCACTCCTATGCTATTGAACCTACACTAATTATCTGTGTGATTTTGGCTATGTCCCTTCCTCTCCCTGTCACCCAGAATCCTCGCCTATCGAATTGGGATGGCCATGTTAATCACATTTTTATTTTATTTATTGCCTGCCTCTTCTCTCTGGAATGCAAGCTCCAGGAGAGTAGGAGCTTTTGTCTGCTATGTTCTGTGATGTCTCTCACAGTACCTTGAACAATGTTTGTTAAATAACAGTTGCTAAAGAAACACTTAATGAATAAATAAATGAATAATTGGTCCTCAATATCCCTTTCAGCTCTGTGAAAAACTTTCTGAAAATTTTCCTATTGTAATTTTGGAGAAAACAAATCTCTCCGTCAATTAAAATGTTCAAAGTATAAACTTCCAGAACAATCTAGAGACAGCAATTATGCTTCCCCCTTGCTGATGGCCAGAACTGCAGGCTGAGACACAGAAAATGATGGTTTCATTTGCATATCCAGTGAAGGCTTTTATTCTCCTGTCACTGCACTCATTTTAACATTTCCATGCTGCCTTTGGAGCTTGTGAAACTTCTACTCTTCTTCTCAAAGGTCTGTAAAACTGCTCAGTAGCAGAACCTGGTTCTGGGTCTCACCATCAGGTAGCAGAAGATTAAAATGGAAAAAGTAGGAGCCACTGATCTGGAGTTCCACACCCTATCTCCCATGATGGGGGCCACCCCCACACAGTCCATGCACACTTCACACCTGCCATGACTGCAGAATCACCTCACCTGGGCCAGTCCCTTTGTGTTGGTGTTGCTTGCTAATGGAGAGGAAAAAACTGTCAAGGTGAAATATGCTGGTGAAACCCTTGGTAAGTTCCTCTTGCTGGCTTGGCCTGCAGAAGGCAGGGTCATCAGGACAGCCAGGCCCCTGCTTTGAAGGCCACAGTCAACACTCCTGTGCCAAGGGCCTCGCTCACCCAGCATGTAACATACTATAGGGTAGTGAGCTGGCGGACCCTGGGCTCCATGTTTACGGCTTTTGACTCAATATCAAACTCAATGTTGACTCAGCATCATTTCTAGCTGCCATATGGGCCTTGCTTTCTGTACTTTTAAGCTGACTTCTCTGGGCAGCACCCTAGTTCAATGACTTCCAAACTTTAATCCCATCAGCCCTGGGGCAGAAGTGGGTGGGGAGGCTTGTGAAACATGTAGAACTTTCTCTCCAACTGCAGAGTTTCAAATTCTAGAGAGCTGAAATGAAGTCTGAGAACCTGCATTTGGACAAACATCCCAGGTAATTCTGACGCAGAGGGTCCCAGCAGAAACCCCCATGCCTAGTCCCAAGACCCAGATTAGCTATCGCACATTTCCTGCTCATCATTTTTGACACATCCTTGTGACACTGTTCCTTGTAGAAATGAACCTGTGGCCTAAATGACGTTTGCATTTTCAAAATGAGAAATGTTTGACAATTTCAGGCTGCCTTCATCAACTTGCCTCAATATTTACTCTCAGGCTCTTTCTCTTCCCCACAATACTACAGTGACATCAAGAAGAGCAAGAGAAATGGGTTTGCACAGCTCTTGCTGGGATGGGAGGACAGAGAGCAGGAGGGGGAAAGAGGGGAAAGAGGAAGGTTTCTCATAGACTCTCAGTGCCAAAGGCATACTGGTTACTATGAAACTTGTATGTGAATGCAAAGGTCAGGCTATCGTTGGTTATTGGCTTGGGCTGTCCTCATTGGCCACCATCTTCCTACCGTGAGTCAGTTAAAAGGCCCTCAACAAGGCTGGGCACAGTGGCTCATGCCTGTAATCCCAGCACTTTGGGAGTCTGAGGTGGGCAGATCGCAAGGTCAGGAGTTCAAGACCAGCCTGGCCAACATGGTGAAACCCCATCTCTACTAAAAATACAACAATTAGCTGGGCATGGTGGCACACGCCTGTAATGCCAGCTACTGGGGAGGCTGAGGCATGAGAATTGCTTGAACCCGGGAGGTGGAGGTTACAGTGAACCGAGATCATGCCATTGCACTCCAGCTCTGGGCAACAGAGCAAGACTCGGTCTTGGAAAAAATAAATAAATAAATAAATTAGTGGAGGGAGGAGGTTATGATATCAGGCTCCAGGAGACCTCCAAAGCACCATCACTCCCCCCGCCTTAGACTTCTTCTCCTGAGAGTAATTATCTCCACTAGGTGGAGACAATTATTACACATTCCAATTCAGTCTATGATCAAGAATAAAAGAGAGAATTCTGAAAGCTAAAGTCATAATTTCCCATTTTCCTCCATTCTCCTAGCACCCTCTAACCTCCTCTCATTCTCTTACTAAGGTCACCTGAACCCAGGAAAATATTGATGCCATGGAGAAGCCATTGGGAAAGTGGGGCCATGGGTGTAATAAGCTGAAGAAGCTCACTCTCAGTTCATTTGAAGGCAATGGAGCCTTGGGCTGAGACTACACAGTAGGGTAGCATTGGACTGGGCACCAATCAGCCATAGGTATCGCCTGGGTGATCTTAGATAAAATGTCTTTCCCTCCCTCTCTGGCCTCAGTTTCCTCATGTGTAACATGGGGTGGGTAGACTAGAGCATCCTATTGATCCTGCCCAGAGCTAATAGTCCCTGGAACTGTGGTTCCCTGTTTTCCAAATGCTTCCTCCCTCTTGGACTCACCCTTGATTCCTCCCCCTCCTCATCCTCATAGATCCAATCCATCAGCAAGTCCTGTCAATTCTAGTCTCAGAGTGAACCATAAATCCATGTCGATGACCATCATTCTAATTTCCATCACTGTAATTTCCTCAGGATGGCTATGAGAGACTCTTGTTTGGTCCCTCTGCTTCCACTCTGGACTCTTCTCTGCCGCAATTCATTTTCCTCATAGCTCCCCAGAGTGGTATTTTAGCATGCAAATCAATCCTTCCCTTGCTTAAAACCCTCCAATGGTCTTCCATTGCATTTAAAATAAAACATCAAATTTAAAATGTGACCACAGGGCCCTGCGCAGGCCTCTGCTTCTTCCTCCAATCTTATCTCAAACCTCCGTTCTCTTGATTCACTGTAAGCCAGACATACTTGTCACTCCTCCAGTCCTTGAGAGCAGTAAACTCCTTTTCACCTGAGAACCTTTGCATATGGCTATTTATGTCTCTTAGCTTTATACAAGTCTAGCTCATTCTTACCCATCAGCTCCTCAGAGAAACCTTCTCAGAACACTCTAAGTAAGGCTTGTTTAATTCCACTTCTTGTATTATCTATTGCAACAGCAGGTTCATTTTATTCATAGCACATCCCAACTTACACATTCACGATAATTTGTTTAATGTCTCTCATATCTCTATACTGCCAGCTCCTTGAAGCAAAGGCTCCTGCCCTCCACACTCCATCACCAATATATCTTCATATCCTCAGCACTTAGAACCATACCCTGCATGTCGTAGGCAGTTAGCAATATCTGTTGAATAAATGAATGATCTTGACCACACACATGGGGAAATGGATCAGAAATGAAAGTTGAAGGTACTAAAGATAAGTTTTGTCTGTGATGATTTTTATTCCTTCTTTAACATACTCCTCAAAATCTAAAATATCTATTAAAAATAGGTCTTTGGGCTGGGCACAGTGGCTCATGTCTGCAATCCCAGCACTTCAGGAGGCCAAGGTAGGCAGATCACTTGGGTTCAGGGGTTCAAGACCAGCTTGGGCAGCATAGGGAAACCTCAACTATACAAAAAATACAAAAATTAGCTGGGTGTGGAGGCTTGTGCCTGTAGTCCCAGCTACTCAGGAGGCTGAGGTAGGAGGATGGCTTGAGCCCAGAAGGTCAAGGCTGCAGTGAGCTGAGATTGCACCACTACACTCCAGCTGGGGTGACTGAGTTAAAAAAAAAAGTTGTTTTTTTTTTTTTGAACAAGAAGCAGGCTTAAAAGTAAATTCATGGGTCCCTTTTTAATCTCACCATCAACCTAATTAAAAAAATAAATTGTAATCTGTGATCATAGCTGAAGTGATTTTTAACTTTCACTGTTAAAATGGGTTATACAAAACCAATTTATTGAATATACATTTCAAAGGGTGGGTGGAGGAGTCTTTAAAGCATTTCAGTAGCATTCGCTGGCATACACCATTGACTGTGCTAATTCTGGATTATTTCTATCTATTCCTGGTGCCAGTGCAGAAAACATTGATTTTAGGCACAGTGGCCAATACTGCCAGTTGATTCCCCCAATATCGATTCCTACCCTGCCTACTCTAGAGGTTGGAAAACCTAAATTCTTGCCTTCTCAGCCTCTCTTGCCACTAGAAATAATCATGGCCACTGTCCTGACCAATGAGAAAGAAGCAGACATCTGTGTGGGGTGGAGAGTATTTTGTTAAGCTTTTGTTCTTCTGATCCAAAAAGACAGAAATAGAAGGCAACACTTTTTTTCCTTCATGCTGTTTGAACATGGACACAATATTTGGGAACCGCCATCTTATGAACAAGAAGAAAAGGCCAAGATAATTTACAGAATGGCCAATCTGGATTTCACCACAAGCCACTACCTGCTACCACTTTTCTTATATGTGAGAAAGATAACCCTCTTTACTGGGTTATCTTTGTCTTTACCATATTACTATGGTCAGGTTTTGATGTTATTTGCAGACAATTACACTTAGCCACATTTTGTTGGTTTTGGTTACTAGACATTAACATCAACTTTGAAGAGATTAGAAAGAGTTAAAGCTACTTGTGGATAAGTGCAGATATATGCAATTCAGATGAAATTGATTTCCCCAAATACTAAATTAGGAAGGGTTTATGACATTTTCTTTAAATAAGCAGCAAGATCAGTTAATTGAAGCTCATTTGGAAGGATGTTTGATGAATGTCAGCTTTAAAAGCCCCTTCTACTGCAGCACCCAGAGTGTCTAACATAGTGCTGTGCATATCAGAAGGTCATGAAACTTACTGACTTCATCAGGAAATATATAAACAACAATGACAACAAAAGTTTCTACTGATGTTTTTCATTGTCTTCTTAGTCTCTAACTTTGATCATTGTCTTAGCATCCTTGTGTTTTTGTCTGGTTCAAGGTAAGATGAAGTATATGTCTCTTCTCTTCTACATATATTTCCAAGAAACATTTTAATACATTCTCACTCTCTCAAGGGAGATTTTACAGGCTCCTAAACTCTGGGGTTAACCAAGGTTGGCTTGATTAAAAAAAGTCCATCTCAAGTGGATCAAAGTTCTAACTTCCTTTGGCAGTTCACTCTTGTGTCTGTCAGACCTTTCAGCCAAAGTCACCAACCCTTCCTCCCAGTTCCTATGAGGAGGAGTCTTAGGAATCCAGATGTGGCTGGTCTCTGGCATAAACCACTGGCTATTTCTGCTTTGTTAATGGACTTCTCTAGAAGAAGGTATTAGGCTTTCAAATCAGTGTGAACAGTGGCATCGTTTCTTCCAGTGAAGTTTAGACAAAATCCAAGTTAAAAAAAATCAATTAACATAATAAAAAAAGCATCCAGTTATAGCGCTTCCTGTGTGAAGGCTGGGTACTGTGTTATAGGATCTATACATACTTCTAAACTTTCCAACAAGATTTGAGGTAGAAACTATTATTTCCATTTTATTAATGAAAAAGAGGCATAGAGTAGAGTTGTTTTATGAAAATCAGGGAGGAGGGAGGCTGGATATGTTGTTCAGTCTCCTCTTCACCTCAATGTCAACTCCTATGATACCCTAGTGGAACCCTCAGAAGTCCGGAAAGCATAGTTTGAAAATCCTCTTGCAGCCAGAGGTCACAAACTCAAACACCCTCTGGGGCCAGCTGAGTAACACAGGAACAAAGAAGGTCAGGTTGGGGCTGGGGTGAACCGTGAATGCGCGGACCTGTTCAAGAGGGAAGCTACCACTCAGTTTTGGGTAACCATTGCCAAATTCTGTACAGATTAAACAAAAACCTGTCTGACAGAAGATTCAGTTTATGGACCACAAGATTGAAACCCCTGGAGGAATAGTGGGGAGAAAGAAAACACACCCTGAGATCACAGCATAAAGGTTCTGTGAAAAGATGAGATGCTCACTGATGAAGGAAATAAAGGAGAAAAAACAAGTTCATGGGTCTTCTCTGACACCTGCATGTTGTGATGGCCCTACATTATGCTGACTAGTTAGGAATTGTTTCTTCCCACTGTTTATCCACGGGCCTGATTTATTTTTAAGCAAGCCCTTCCCCTGCTTGGTTCTCTCTACTCTTCACCATGTGTTTGCCAGTATTGGCCAAGCAGCCAGTCTCACACCTCCTCTCCCACGCGCCCCCCACCCCCCACTGTCTTCTTATTTAAAGAAAAACAAGATTATAATGAACGATGAGACTTTCTAAGTTATACAGCAGGCCAAATAAGTCCTGAGGGAAGCTTGTTAGAAAGAATTTACTCCATTGCCGCTTAGGAATATTGGTCCTCCTTGACAATGAAATGCAAAACGTAGATAGGTGGTAAAGATGCCTCCAGCACATGTCTATGAGACCTTGATATTATGCACTTATGCCTCCAGATCTGTCCATGGAGGCCAAATTCTGAGCCATGACTCCCTGTAGGCTTTTGAAATTTGGTAATCTAAGAGAGTGCCTACTGGAAAAAGAGTTCATAGACATTAAGCAACTGTAAAAGGAAATAGAGTCAGTGCTTATTTATCAGGCAAATTGGTGGGGAATTGTGGCATGCACATCCAGAATGTAGTCAGAAGAACAGGAGGTCAGTAAATGTGGACTTGGTCTAGATTGGCAGGTTTCCTACCTTCCTCACCCCCATCTCCTGTCCACCCTTTCTCTTTTCTTAGCTTCAGTCACTTTTTTTTCCCAAAATAAATTGTGTTCACAAGTCCAATATATAAAACAGACAAAAATGGAGCCATTCTGATTCCATGTGGGGGGCTAAAATCCCACTGATTTGGTTACCCGAGTGTGCTTTCAATGTGATATCTGAGGCACCTCTGAGAAATTCCATTTTTTTCTTCTTTTTTTTTAAAGACAGAGTCTCACTCTGTCACCCAGGCTGGAGTGCAGTGGCATGATCTTGCCTCACTGCAACCTCTGCCTCCCGGGTTCAAGTGACCCTCCTACCTCAACCTCCTGAAATAGCTGGAATTACGGGCACCTGCCACCACATCCAGCTAATTTATTATTATTATTGTTTTATTATTTTTTATTTTTAGTAGAGACAGGGTTTCACCATGTTGGCCAGGCTGGTCTCGAACTCCTGATCTCAAGTAATCCACCTGCCTTGGCCTCCCAAAGTGCTAGGATTACAGGCGTGAGCCACCACGCCTGGCCTGAAATTCCACTTTTTAATTACAAGAAACAAATTTCCATCATCACTGGAACTAGATTATTTCCAGAGTCTTTCTCAGAACCAAAGAAAAGGAGAAGTTTTTTCTCTTTAAGATGAAGACGCCAACATCTACTAGGGTGAGGTGACTTTCTGAGAGCCGCATAAAGGGCCCATGTGCTAGAACCAGTGCTAGAACTTACTCATAATCCAGTGCTCTTCCCACCATGCAGAAATAGGAAAGGACAGCATTCTGAATCTCAACTCACTTGCCTACTAGCTGTGTAACATTGGCAAGATATTCAACATTTCTGTGGTTCCTCATTTGTAAAAAGAGACATGATGGGAGTACCACCTTATGTTCCTGTAAGGACTCAATGAGATAAGGCATGTACAGGACTCAGAACCTTGCTTGGCATTTGGTAGGTGCTCCATAAGTGTTAGTTGTACCACACAATGCTCCCTTCTTTCCTCTGTACCTTTCAGCTACAACGCATCAGTCATAATTATGCCTATTAACCTTGACAGAGCACATCAACCCAGAGAGCAGACAGAGATGGCCCAGCTACAGGATGATCCAGATAATCCACAGCGTGCAATGGACAGTTGATTGTAAAGAATAGTTGAAAAACTGAATACAGTGGTCTGAAATAATTCATCTCTTTACTTTTCAGTATTTAAAAAACAAACAAACAAACAAACAAACAAAACCATAGCATTAGGCAAAGGGATTGAGAAGAGCTGACTGACCTGGGAGAAATGTCACATCCTTGCTGCATGAAGGCTCCCAGGGAGAACCACAAACTGTTGAATATCCCAAACTCATTGGACTGGTCACTGGTTGTCTGGTCCCGTCCTTCCTCAAACTCTTCACTGTGCCATTCATAGGGACTGAAGCGGCTGACCAGGAAGAGGACAACACTCACTCCAATGTAGGCAAAAACAATGCACATCCAAATCTCATAAGCCAAAGGATCAAGGAAGGAGAAGACACCCGGCTTGGATTTCTGTGGTTTTTTAATCATGATGGAGATCCCCAAACTCATAAATGGTTTGGAGAAATCTATAACTTCTTCCCGGACCAAAGTGATAGTTAAGGGAGCCACAGCCACATCTGCTCTCTGAAAAAAAAAAAAAAAAAAAAAAAAAAAAAAATGCAGGTGAGCTCAGCAGCCCTTTTCATTCTCTTGTTTTTCTTCTCATTGTGACTATTCTTTTGTGTCTTAAAGGATATGAGAGTGGGAAAGAACCTTTGAAGTCCAACCCCTCCTACTCTATAAAATATTTTTGATGAATGGATGGTCAGCTCAATATCTTACAAGAGATTTTCTAGTTATTTGACTGTTCTAAATGTTAGAGGCATCTTCCTCATACTACAAGAAGGAAGCTGTTGTGGTATCTGTTGTTTTTGCCTGCTCAGCAGCCCCACTCCCTTCCTCTGGCAGGAGAACCATTCTTGCCCCACTCTCAATCCTGCAGGTTGGAATGGGTCTGATCACTCTGGCTACATGGGGAAGCAGGTGACCCAGGTCCCGGTCAATCCATGTACCCCACTACCCTGGCCAGAATCATCCATTCAGGGATGACATAGGACTCAAATGGGTTTAGTGAGAATTAGTCCTGAGAGATGCAGAGGATGACCCCTTATGTCATAATTCAGGCAACTGTAAATTCAGGGCTTACCCTGGATTCCCTCAGAATCTGTGTCAATACATCCCTCTGTATTGACACAGAGGAATCCAAGAACATGAGACAATGTGTCAGTTTGCCTAAGTCAGTTTGAATTGGGTTTCTTTTTCCTGCAACCAAGATAGTCCTGAGTAAAGGTCAATTTAACTCAATAGATATTTATTGAACACTTACTATGTGCAATCTGCAGGCTGAAAGTTGTAGGTAGACTATGGTCCCCACCCTCAGGAAATTACAAATTAGGAGACATTGAAACACACAAACAATTTTCCAATCTACAAGGTGGAAGGGGTATGTGTTATCCAAGATATACAGAGTTCTGCCAGAGACCAGGGAGGGATTCATTCTGGCTGCGGAGATAGGGGACTGCATCTTGGAAGAGGTGGCATATAAAGTTGGCATTGAAAGAGGGGTAGGACTTTGACAGGTTGCTCTGGCATGGAACAGCATTCCAGGAGGAGGGAACCATGGGAATAATAGCCTGTGATGAAAAGGTAAAGTAGTATTGCAGTCATTTTCTTCTTCAGGAAGAAGTCTAAGAAATACATATATAATACAGTTTTTAAATTTCAAATCCAGCATGCAGATAAACATAAAAAGGTTGCAAGAAATATTCATCCTTAGGCACCCAGCACATGGAATCACCAACCATGCCTTGTTCTCCTGTCTTTCCTACCTCTCTCCAATGGCAGAAGCACTGGCATCTACTCAACAGAAATCCACTGCTCCTGTTGGCCTGAGATCAAGAGATCCTGGAAACCTAAGAGGATTTCCATGGAGAGATGCCATAGCATTCATTTCTGAGATGAGAGACATGCCTATGCAGGTCTGTTCAAGGCAAATGGCTTTCTCTTATGCTGTACAACAGCCCAGAAGTGAAGCTGGTGACAGATGCTATGCAGGTCAGGGTGCTGACCACCCACCAGTTGGCTGTTGCTTAGAGATTTCCTCTGGTTACTTTCATTGTCTGGGATTATTGAGAAGGTGCTTTAAGTGGAATAGAAAGCCTGGCTTCAGGATGAATTAAGTTTTCACTTGTAGAAAGAAACTTTCCATTAATTAATGTGAAGTCAGGTGTAAATTTCATAGCAATTCTGTTTTTTCCCCTAATACCCACTGCATAAATCTTGGTAATTTTTACAAATACAAGACAGTACAGGGGAGAAGGTATTTACTTTTTTGTTTGTAAACCAACAGAAAAAGAATGGGGGAGACAAGTAATGGAAATGACTTGGAGGGATTGACCACAAGTTATCCGGAAGGGAGGTGGATGAAGACCAGCTCTGAAAGGGGTAAATGATATTGCATGGATTTGTTGGATGCTTCCTAATGTGATTTAATAAGAGATCATAGACTGGAAATCATTGATCCATATTGCCTTTTCTTTTTTTGAGACAGGGTCTTGCCCTGTTCCCCAGGTTGGAGTGCAGTGGTGTGATCTTGGCTCTGCAACCTCTGTCTCCTGGGTTCAAGCAATGCTCATGCCTCAGCCTCCTAAGTAGCTGGGATTACAGGGATGTGCCACAATGCCCAGCTAATTTTTGTATTTTTAGTAGAGGTTTCGCCATGTTGGCCAAGCTGGTCTCAAACTCCTGGCCTCAAGTGATCTGCCTGCCTTAGCCTCCCAAAGTGCTGGGATTACAGGTGTGAGCCACCATACCCAGCCTGTTCCGTATTGTCCTAAAGCTTAGTTCATTTTGTAGTTCAAAAATTTGTTCAATAGAACATTATTTCTGGAAGGATGGTTAATAACATGAAAATAACATAAAAATAAACATGCTTGGGGCAGAACTTCCCAGAACCTTTAGATGACCACAATGCACTGAGAATTTCCAAGAGGAGTAAGTAGAATGTGGCATTTCCAAAACTATTTGGCCATGGGTCATTCATCTTCCTAAGCATCAAGAGGTACCCATGTATGTAAGATACACACATACTGGGAGATGCTAAGTTCAACTACTTCATTTTACAGATAAGAAACTCATATCTAGAGAGGGAAGGTGGTTTGTGAAAAGCAGTAGTATTTTAGCTTGGTTAATATTGACTGAGAGGCCTCAGAAGTTGATTTCCACCACCAATAACTGAGGTTCTCACTGGAGCTTCACTGGGTAGTGGAGGGCACAGCGGATCTCAGACCGGGCTGCTCTTCTCTGCAACTGGCTGATTGTGTAGCCTCAAAAGAAACAGTTGTCTTTTTGGATGTCAATTTCCTCATTTTAAAAGCAGGCATAATAATTCTTGTTTCACCAATTTCACAGGCTTGTTTTGTGAGGGTCAAGATAATTCAAAATACATGAGAGTACTGTGAAATGTGAGCAGTCAAAATTATTTTCTTAAACTGACATCTTAGGACAATGGCTCTCAAACTTGAGTGTGCAGCAGAATCACCAGGAGGGCTTTTAAAGACACACACGCCAGAGTTTCTAGATTCAGTGGGCCTGGGGTGAGATGTGAACATCTGCATTTCTAATAGGTTCCCAGGTGGTGCTAATGCTATTGGTCCAAAGACCACACCTCTAGAATCACTGACCTAGCAGATCCCAAAACAAAATACGTGATGTCTAGAAACTATCCTGGGAAAACAGCATATAGTTTTCATGTGGTAGAAAAAAGCATAAAGTGAATAAAACTATCAGAAATGGAGATCTGCTCTGAGCCAGGCCCTGCATAAATGAATATTCCCCATCACAGCCTGTGGTAAAGAATTCACGTTCCTTGTTTCACAGGGGTGGCCCCGGAAAAGTCGGGGCCAGCAAGTTGGCAGAGTTGGAACTCAAATCCAGGTGTCTGTCTGCAAAGCTCACTCTCTTTCTGCTTTACCAAGACAAAGGACAGACAGTAAAGACAGCTGTGAAGGAGGCACCAAGATATACCATGTGAGGAGCAGAAACTTCATTTGCAGCATATGGCATCTGCAAATGCAGACATTTGCTGTTCTCTCAGTTAATATTGGTTTTACCGCCTAGCATTTGGATGGTGGGATTTCTACAGAGGCAGTATGTCCCAGTGTGGAGTACAAAAGCCAGAGCTGCATGTTCTGACTCTGCTTTCACTAGCTGTGTTTCCTTTGCCAAATTATCTAACCTAGAGGGCCTCAGTGTCCTCATCTATAAAATGTAAACAGTAATCTTACCCACCTCATGAAGTCGATATGCAGAGTAAATGAAAGAATGTGAGTAAAGTATTCAACATAGCACCTGGCACACGCTACACGATGAAATGTGACTACTATCATTATTGACGGAAAAAGAGGGAGCAAAAGGAAGATAAGAGAGAGCCTGATCGACTTAGTTATTTAGAAAGCCACAGAAAGAATAAATTTGGAAGCCTCCAAATGAATTTTTCTTGATCTCTGGTGGTTGGTGGTTGAGAGATGCTTCTCCAAATCACTTGGTTCTTCCCCAAGGGAACAGAAAAGGAAAGCCAAACTAAAAAGAAAGGCTGAGCATCCGACTGGGGCCATCACAGAGTCTTCAGAACATAGTATTTTTTTTTTTTTTTTTTTTTTTGAGACGGGTCTCGCTTTGTCGCCCAGGCTGGAGTACAGCGGCACCATCTTGGCTCATTGCAAGCTCCGCCTCCCAGGTTCACGCCATTCTCCTGCCTTAACTACTCAGCTCCCGAATTCCTAGGACTACAGGCGCCCACTACCATGCCCGGCTAATTTTTTGTATTCTTAGTAGAGATGGGGTTTCACTGTGTTAGCCAGGATGGTCTAGATCTCCTGACCTCGTGATCCACCCGCCTCAGCCTCCCAAAGTGCTGGGATTACAGGCATGAGCCACCGCACCTGGTCAGAACAGTTTTTACTGGGCAGAGGAACAGGCCTGATAAGGAGGAGGCTACTGAGGCAGGCCTGGCTGCTGAGGCACCCATAGGTAACTCCAGCTGGCCTGAGCCCTGCTGTGCCAGTGACTCACCACCAGCTGTGTTGGCTACTGGGGATGATCCTGGCATTGTTCTGCCCACACTGCAGACTTTTAACCAAGCAAACCACATTACATGAGGTGAAGGTGAAGATAAATGCTAGAGAAGGTGAAAAGTGCACAGCAGTTGCCATGGGGATGACCTTAAGAGCTTGATGGGAGTTCCCATGGAAACCAGCCTCCAGCTGCAGCATGTACTATCCAGGTCTCTACCTTTTGTCCATGGAGCTTCCCAAAGTGAGAGGTGGTAAAGGGAATAAGAAAGGAGAGAAGCACATCCCATTCCCCAACTCAATAACCACCTTCACATGTCATCTCAAAAGCTACCTCCCTGAGGAAGATTTCCTTTATTCCATCTTTTTCTTCTTTGAATTCCCTTTGTATGTCTCTCAGGGCCATCATGGCTCCTCTTGCCCTGATATGAAACAAGATTTATCATCTTCCTCAGTGGCTGCTTGTCCTTATGAGCACTTAACATTGACCTGGGGCTTGGCATGTGTTTTAGTTTCTATGAGTGAAGCCGTGGTGGTCCCTTCCCTGCACAAGGCAGCTGGAGGCTTCTTCCATTGCCTTTTGTTGTCTTTCTACTCAAATACCTTCGTGATCTCCCAATGCCCACTGAATCATCCACACTCTTCCTCTTGCTATTTTTTACTCATATGTATCCCTGACTACTCTTCAACCCAAGTCCTCAACAAAAACCATGCGTTTTCTCATTCTCCTCTCACACCTTACTTATTTCCACCACCATCCTATTGTTTATACTTTAAAAATTCCTGGGCTGCTTTTCTCTCATATGTTTTTTATTATCATTTTTGAGACAGAGTTTCGCTCTTGTCTCCCAGGCTGGAGTGCGATGGCATGGTCTTGGCTCACTGCAACCTCTATCTCCTTGGTTCAAGTGATTCTCCTGCCTCAGCCTCCCAAGGAGCTGGGATTACAGGTGCCCGCCACCATGTGCAGCTAATTTTTGTATTTTTGGTAGAGATGGGGTTTCACCATGTTGGCCAGGCTAGTCTCAAATTCCTGACCTCAGGTGATCCACCTGCCTCGGCCTCCCAAGGTGCTGGGATTATAGGCGTGAGCCACTGTGCCCGGCCTCTCGGTCTGTTTAAATATGGTCATTTTTCAAGTTTCACATCCCCACTGAGGGCTAGACAAACTCTAGTTAGCCCTTAGCTGAGCCATACAATATAGACTCCTTATTCTATACTACCTTTTACTATTTTCTCACATTGTCTTTTCTACCCCATAAAATGTTAAAAGATGGGGTCTTTTCTACCTCATAAAGTATTAAGCAAAAGATCAAATCTTTTGCTTCTCAATAATTCCCCAAATGCTTAAAACAATGTGGGACATTCAGCAGCTTTTCAAAACTGCTGTAATTTATTGAAGATTTTATAGCAATTGTGCATGGAGTTATTTCAAGTGTGGTGAGCACTATAAAGATAGAATAGTCCTACCCCTGTTACACAGGTAACCGTTATATAAGGCAGGGTAAACCATTAAAAAAAACCAGCAACTAAATTCTATAGGGGAAGGCGAGAACAATTAAAAGGCACATTCATACCTATTATGAGAAGAAAGAAAGAAACACACCCTGAAAAAAGTATTATTTGATATAGGTTTTGAAGGAGTAGTATCTTAGGGGTGGAGAGTGGAAGGGAGCACTCTAGGGAACAGAGTAATTAAGGGGCATTTGACTGAATTGGAAATTTCATGAGAGAGCATGAAACTAGAGAGGCAAGTAACTAGAAAGTTAGGTTGGCTCCAGATGCATTTAATATCAGAGAAGAAACTGATACTGAGAGAGCCACAAGTGACTTTGTATAGACAACTCAGCAGTCTGCCTCAAGAAAATTGATCTTGGAGCTATGCTGTCACCTGTGTTGGACGACAATCAACTGACGTCACAAGACTCTGAGTGGGATTGAGGGACCTGGGACCAGTAACCTGAACAAAGAGTGTCTGAAGAAATTGGATTTTGGATGACTCATCTGTTCAGCAGCAACAACACTCAATTACAGGGTTTCATAGACATCTGTGGGCAGGGCCACCCAACCACCAAATGATTTCCTGTCAAACCCTCTGCCTCCGCCCTCTAATTTCCCACCCTGCAGTGAACTTACTCCATAGACCAGCTCTCCCACCATGCCATTCCAGGCCTTCGTGTCAGGGTCTCGGGCTCCGTATTTTCCATCACTGACAATCTCCAGACGGTAGGAGTAGCCCACGTGCTTGGCAATCTCTGCCGCCAGCTCTACACAGTAGCCCTCGTAACGGTCATTGCCCTCAAACTGATTGGCGTTCTTCTTGAGCATCACATAAGGATCTTCCTGGAAGAGAAATGGGGAGATAGCAGAATGTGGGTTATGGGTTCACCCATGGGTAGGGAGGACTTTGGCATAGCATAATATCATGTTTGGTTAACACTGGGGAAGGCTCTCTAGCCCCTCAATTCACTTCCTAAATGTCTTCACTCCCTACCCCATTACAAGCTTCTTGTGTTAAGGAAGCAAACTTTGTTAAAATAAGAATGTTTTATCACTGAGATATGGCATACAGCTTTTCAAATTATGTTCCAGGATATTTTGTATTTTTTTTGGAAATACCTCTGGGGTCATCTTGAAGGAGAAATAGACCCTAAACAGGCTCCAGGTTTCTCATGATCAGTCACTGAAAATTACAGCATCTTCACTTACAGCTACTTTATGTATTGGACTTTCTTTGAAAATAGCTTCTACTGAGGGAGGACAGATGAAAACCAGCACAATTTAGTGTCATTCTTATGTTTTAAATATGGGAAAGCTGGCTCAAGAGAAAGTAAGTAAGTTACCCAAGGGTACAAAGGATGAGACAGTGAAACTAAGAGATACAGAGTGAAAACTCAGAGCCTCTCATTTTCAGGGCATTCCCTTTTCGACTTGCTGCTTTTATCTATTACACAGTTTTGGCAAGAAGAAAGGCCAGCTTTCAGTCCTGGTGGAAAACCCTTGTGCTGGCCTAGCTTGAATCCCAAGTAACCTTGATGAAGGACTGAGTACTCACTAGGATTGTTGTGACGATGTATGTTCTGTTCTGAACACTTGAATTATCGCCCCCAGCTTGGGCATCGGTGGCTGCAGGGACAAACTTATCATCTTCATTCCAGTAACCAATCTGTTAATGAGAAGAGAGTGGAGGTGTCAGGTGGGCCAGCCTCCTCTGAACTGGCCTGCTCTGGGTCACCCAGTCAATACCAGAGACAGGCAAGTAAGGAGCTCATGAAGAATTGGACACACCGAGCTCTAAAATATTGGTAAACAGAAATAATAAGAAGCACAGTGCTTTTCAGGTGCCCCCAATTTTGCTCCCAGGGAAAATCCCCACAATAATTGGTTCAGTTTGGAAATTGCCACCTCTGAGGGATAAGGGCTTAACTGTTTACACAGCCAGTCTGTTTTGTACAATGCAAGCCAGGACCATGGGATTTAATTCCCTGCAGTTGTTCACAGGGTCAAACCCCTCTTTCCCCCATGTCTACTAACCCTGCACTTCAGTGAACTCATTCTGAACTATAGTTGGAATCATATGATTTAAACATTACATTCTTTTACTTTATTTTTAGGTTAACTGTATTTTTCCATCTAGATTTAACTTCCTATGATGGTTGTTTATCCTTTATTTTTAAAAATTTCTTCTGTCTCCAAGTATAAACTATTACAATATTGAATATATAGGAGTGTCTAAAAATTATGGTTGACAATATTAATTTTTCAAATTTGAGTAGGTTATTTATACTAATTCATTTTCCAAGGTCTTTCAAGAAATATTAATTGAACTGCTATTGTGCACAAGGCTCTGAGCTAAAACATTAGTGTTGCTTGTTGTCAGGCAGGGTTGACGAGATGCAAAGAAGTCTGAGAGATAGGGCTTGCTCTGAGAACGCCTCTGGTCTACCATGGGAAGACATGACATGGCCGCAGAAGTGACAAGTGAGTGGGCCTAAGGAGTTCAGAGAAGCAAAAGCCAAGTGTGGGATCTTACACAGGGAAAAATGCAACAGGAGGAATCAGGGCTTATGATCATGAGAGATGAATGGTCTGGACCAAAACCTTTCAGGTTAGGGAGAATATGAGCCAAGATATGAAGACAGGAATCTGCCCAGATGTTTAAGTTCTGTGGGTCCTGGGTGGAAGATAGAGTTAGCCCAAAAGGGCAGTAGGTATCTGGGTATAGGTAGCAGATGGCTTTGAAGGCCAGGCTAAGCAGTGTAGACTACACCTCAAGGCAACAGGGGATCATTGAAAGTTTGGAAACAGTAGAATGACTTGACTAATACACACACACACACACACACATACACACCCTAAAGCTATACCTCCTATACTTATCTCTCTTTATCTCTGTCTCTAATCTCTATTTGCTTTAGACAATTGTGTTTTGTTTTGTGATCATTCTGCTGGCTCTAGATACAAAGGAAAAAGGAAAGAGAACTAGAAGTGCATATGCATTGGGATGAACAGGTCTATCAACAGCCAGAACTCAGCATAGGCTCACAAAAACTGAGGCATTTGCCAAATGGTCAGCTGAAATGTCACCTTCACCTTCATGTCTTTCCCAGTTCCTTCAGTTGGAAATAGTTTTTCCTGTAATCTCGCAGCCATTAACAACAATAATTGCCAGCACTAATGATGCTCTTGCTATGTCAGAGGCTAAGTGTTCAACAGTTTTCATGCCATTTCGTCTGGCCTGTGGGAGTGTGTTAACTTGCCCGAGGTGAAGTAGCTGCAAAGTGGTTGAGCTTGTCCTGGAACCCTGACAATCTCTCTCCAGAGGCTGCATTTAGCCACTATGCTGTTCTTCCTAAGAAGGGATTGGGCTCTGGACTTGAAATCATATTAGTTATCATTTACTGAATGCTTGCATTTCAGGGACTTTTTAAAGTGCTTTTTATGTTTTAACTCCTTTCATCCTCACAAAACCTGCGAAGTGGGTAGTTAATTATCCTTTCAATTTTAAGTATGCAGAAAGCGAGACGTGGAAAGTGAAGTAACTTTCCCAAGGCCACAGGGTAGCCGTGGAGCCAGGATATGAGCCAGGGAGACCAACTCCAGGGACGTGCCCCCTGCATGCCAGACACAACCCTGAGTACCTTGTGTACGTTCCCATTAGAACACTGGGTCTAGCTGTTTGTGTGTCTGTCCCCATCTCTCCATGGTGCTATGAGTTTCTCATGGACAAGACTGAAATAAACATACTTGTTCCAGAGTTCCTGTCTTAGTCTAGAACATCTTTTCCCAGAGAAGCAGCTCAGGAAATGTTTGTGGACAGAATGAATGCATCCAGGCAGCAGTGACCCAGCATGGACATGGTGCACCCTATCGATGCTGAGACAGCTCGGAGGTCTGACGGGGAGCATGTCTCTCAGGATACTGCATGGAGGCTTACCCTCAGTGCAGGCATGTGTACCATGTTCCCTGTGAGGGATGCTGTTAGTCAAGGTGGAAGGAGACATTGCTTTCTAATGACAGAAGAACCAGAAACTCACGTTTCTAGAATGTCAGAACTGGAAGGGGACTGAAGAATCATTTTGTCCAACTTTTTCCTTTTTCACAGGGAGAAGCAGAGGCGCAGAGACCACAGAATTTGCTCAAGACAGTGTGGTCTCAGTTCCCTTGCTTTTGCAAGGACTGTGTTCTAGGGAACCCTAAGAGACTTGTGGGGCCTTTCACCGCTCATGGAAGGTGGTGAGGGGCAGTGAAGAGGAGAGAGCTCTGGCTTCCTCATCCTTGCTCTAATGCTCAGCTCTGCTTTTTATCTATTTCACCTATTGGGATTCCCCGCAAGAGTTGCCTTTCTCAAGGAGCCTTCTAGCTGAAAAATAGATGTTTAAAAGCACTCTGGTAGTATATTATGATGTAAAGTTTTCTCCTTTGGTATTGTTTTGTTTTTTAAATCTCCACAGTACTTTTATAACATCTTTACACTATGCAGATAGTGCAGGCAGGCTTAGGATTATTTTCTCTGCTTTACAGATAGGAAAACTTAGGCTTAGGGAGATTAAATGATCTAACAAAACAATAGGTTATATAGTAGATTAGTGGCAGAACATAGAACCCAGGTCTTGTGGACCTCAAAGGTAAGATTATTTAATAAAATCAATACAAACCTGGGAAAATATCTGTCAAATATGATTTATCCCCTCATAGATGGTCCTAAGGTTTTTTTTTTCTTTTCCCTTTCTCCTCCTTCTTGTTCATTTTCTTCCCTGTCATCCATCCTTTCTCCCTTCCTTCCTCCTATTCTTCCTCCTTTCCTTCCTGTCTTTCTTCTTCCTTCTTCACAATTAGTCCACAGGTTTAAATATTCCTACTCAAACTGCACAACCATCAGTAGAAAGGAAGTTGCTTCCTTTGACATGCAACCAATTCCTCTAAAAGCCACTGAGTATTAAGATGTATTATTTTAAAAAAGAGGGAGCCCAGTGGTCAAGATCTTGGTCTCTGGCCTCAGGCCAGACCTGGTTTAAAAGCTAGGCTTTCCTAATTACCAACTATCAGCTTGAGCAAGTTACCTGACCTCTGTGGTCCTCAGTCCCTGATCTGTAGAGTGGATGTAACAATGGTACCTGCCTCATGGGCTGCTATGAGAACTACATTAGTTAATGCATGTAAAACAATTAGCACAGTGTATGGTTCATATTGTCAGTAAGCTAAAAAATGATATTCATTAGGGTAGTGCCTAGTTGAAGGTTAACAGGTTTCTATACTACAAGACATTTCTGTTTTCAATTTGCTGTTGAACATTATCTGCAAAAGAAGCATGCATTATAGAGCATTTTGAAATTCACTTGACAATATAACCCTTCTTTATGTATAGAATGTTCAGGGTATGTGGTTTAAAAATTATAAAACTGCCGTAAAATCCCAAGGTTTTCATACAAGATAGGAAAAAAAAGCAAGATGAATCTGTGTAAGCCAGATGTATATGGCTTAGAAAGATACCTTAATTTTTAAGGATAGTTGTCCTTCAAAGCTAGCACTACTTATTAATTTTAGCACTATTGTTAAATTGGGATCTCTAAAAAAATGTGGTATAGCTTGGCTTATATGCTAGGTACTTTCATATCAAAAGCTAGTAGAATAGTTAGAAATTGTAAACAAACCTATTTTATTTCTAACTCTTTTGTAGGGAGATAAAACAAAATATTGCCAGGGTCAGTGGGCTGAGTGATACTCAGCCTCATGCCTATGCCTCATGTAAACTAGTAGACTGAGAAATCTGGTTCCACAGTTTGATGAAAAGAAAGCTGGCAAAGATTTTTGAACAGACATTGCACTTTGGAGATTAGAGCAAATTTTCCTTTCTTTGGGAAATGGTTGGATTATAATACAGCACTTTGATTCTCTACTGAGGATATGCAGGAATTTTGATTCTTTCTAAAAGTAAATCAGAGTTAGTAGTTGGTAAAGATTGGGGCCTACCAGTCAGGAGAGGATTTAAACAATTCTGACAGTGAGAGGTCTTCTCCTGGGGCCAGTTATAATTTTTGATCTCCGTGTTTTCCATCTACCTCTAAAGATTCTTTGAATGTAGAAAATGAATCTAGATGACAGATCAGATTTTTTAAGTGGAGAAAGTCTTAAAAGGAGATGATCATAGAACTGAAAATTCAATTGATCTATATTGCACAGTCATCAAATCAAATTCAGAAATTGGTATCTCCAGGCTGCCTCTGAGACCACAGCCCCTTACCTCAAAAAATAAGATCCTTTAGTATCAATTTTTAAAGACTAAGTTGTCTATTGTGGCCAAGATAATTAGCTGACTCCCAAGCATTCTTATTTTCCTTCCATGGTGTAGAGATGTTGGTGGAGAGTGGCTACCTGGCCAGCAATGACATTTCCCAGCTTGTTTTACCTCTGATTGAGCCAAGTAACTGGGTTCTGGCCAACGGAATACAACAGAAGTGATGTGCATCTCTTCTAGGCTGATGCCCCAAAAATCTCCAGCAGAGTTGCCATTTTCTTTCATTCCTATCTGTTAGCTGGATGTTGAAATCCAGAAAGACCCAAGTAGACAGTGGAGGGTCCATGAGCCTGAGTCTTAGCCAGAACCCTCAGCCAAAAAAGTGGTCACTGAGTGAACAAAAAAAAGCTTCTTTTGCATTAAACAGCTGAGATTTCAGAGTTTATCTGTTACAGCACCTAGGATTATCTAAATTAACACACTTAAAAGATTTGAAGTTAATAAGTTTATGTGTAACTTTATCTGAGTTCTGCTTGAGGTGTTATTTTATTAAATTTGCAGGCATTTTTTTCCCTTACTTATTGGCAGATCTTTTGAAATATGGGCTAGCATAGTGTGCTCTCTGATTGCCCAGAAACATTTGATAAACTTCCCAGTGATGTAATAAACAACCTTTTATTTGTATGTGCTTACTCTGTTTCAGTATATTCTAGGCACTGTGAATATAATAAAAATACAAATATGGTCCTTGCTTTTAAAGAGTTGGCGTTTTAGAACATTTAGGAGGTAGAGAAGTATGAAGAAAATACATATCCAGACCAGGGGTTGACAAGCTTTATCCTAAAGGGCCAGACGGTAGATATCTTTGGCTTTGTGGATCATATAGTCTGTGTTGCCACTACTTATCTCTGTTGTTGTCATGCAGAGGCAGATATAGATAATATATAAACAAATGAGCATAGCTATGTTCCAGAAAAACTTTATGGGCACTGAAATTTTAATCTCTCATAATTTTCACATGTCACAAAATGGTCTTCTTTTGATTTATTACAACCATTTAAAAATGTACATGTAACCATTAGCTCATGGGCTGTACAAAAATAGGTGGTGGGATGAATTTGGCCAGTAGGCAGAAGTTTGCCAACCTCAATCTAGATCAATCAACCAATAAAAATATATCAGAAGGAATAAGCACCATGAAAAGTACAAATAAAAAGGAAATTGTGACTGTGAGCTGGGTGAGTGGGAGTGACTTTAAAAGTGCTTGGTCAAGGATGTCGTTTCCAAGGTGGCTTCACTTGGACTGAGACCTGAATGACAAGGAGGCACACAGCACATGAAACTCTAGTGATAGAAAATGCCAGGTAAAGGAATAGCATATGCAAGTGACTTGAGGAAAGTGCGAGGCTGTGCTCAAGGAATGCAAAGATGCCAGTGTAACTGCAGAGAAATGAGCTAGAGAAAGAGGAGTGAGAGCTGATGCCACAGGGAAGCAGCATTGAGGGCTCTGAGGGCCATGTTGTATATTTACTGGCAACAGGAAAGTGGTAAAAGTTTTAAGGAAAGGAGCCATATAACCTGATATATATTTGAAAATTATTGTCCTCGTCTTGTGGTGGAAAAGTAGCCTTGTAGAGGGGCAAGAACATAGCAGGACTCGTGACTGGTAAGGAGGCTACTGTGTGGTGTGTGGAAGATGGCCTGGGCTCTGGGCTCAGCAGTAGAAATGGAGAGAGGTGGTGAGGTTTAGGCTATATCTGAGATGCTATGTCTATATCTGATGCTATAACATGATTCAGTATGGTCAAAATTGGGTAACAAGGATTTAAAGCAAAACTTCCAAAAAGCATATGGAATGGCAAGCTATAAATTCTTTGGGACTTTAGAAGATTACTTTTGATATCAGCAGGACTTTGTGTCCCTTTAGTCTTGTTTCCTGCCCAGTCTTTTCATTCTAGTTATACACAGGGTCAGAAGTGGGGATAATAAACTTGGGGCAGGGCAGGGCCACTCAAATCGAATTGAAATGAGAAGTAGATTCCTCCACCCAGTCTAAAAATTGCTATAGGAACAATGGTGATGGGAAAAGACGGTTAAATCAACAATACCAGTTCTTCGATGAAAAATGTAAGATAATTTTCCCTAAACTTCTCCACTGGGCAGCCATTTATCAGAATTTGTGATTCTACCAGATTTTGACAAGATATTTTATTCAGAGAGAGACCCTAAATCAGTACCCCATAGTGAAGTGGTATCCTTGAACGGGATTTCCTAAGGATCCCATTTTAGTAGAGCAAGTACCCATCCTGGTATCTGAAGCCCCTAAACTTTATGATGAATGGATGCTTAGAACACCCACATTTCAGTGGGATGTCAAATTGTATCCAGGTACCTAGAGGGTATATTGGCACATGAGTGAACAGGAAATAGGCCTGAAGATCAGGAGAGTTTCTCTGAGGCTCCAAATCTGGAAGAAACAGCTCCTTTTTACTATACACAATCAGGTAAGGCCATGTAATGCTCACTGAAACCAGTACAACTAGGTCACCCTTGAAAATCAGAAAAATTACTTTGTTAGGAGGCTGATTGAGTAAAAAGCCTGAAGCCACAGATGTGAGGAATTGATTTTCTGAAAGGCAGATCCCCCATAAACAAAGGACGTTTAAGCCCACATTCTAAGAAAGGATTTGGCCATTGGAAGGTAAGTTTAAAAACAGCCCTGGGATCTGAAAACTAAAGCACAACCATTTGCTCATGGATTTTAAGGTACTCTGTTATTTCTCTTTGCTGATTTATCCATTCCACAGGCTTACACAGCCTGACTCCCCCAAATGCAATGCTGATATAAAATCCCTGTGGCCTATAGAAGGGAGTTTAAAAGTACAAACAAGTAAACAAATGTGGGCTGAATGTCCGCTACGTGCCAGGAGCTACTTTTCCGAATCCCTTACTACAAGCAGTGGTGTAACAGGCATTGTCTTATTCAATCCTGACAGTGATCCTGGGAGGCAAAGAGTATTACCACCCTTTTAGAGATGATGTAATGACTTGCAGGGAGGCTAAATAATGTGTTCAAGGTCATGTGCCTAGTAAAGACTAAAGCAGACTTAAAATCCTGGTCTGTCTGCCTCTAAAGCCCAAGCTCTTAGCCACCCTGTCAGTGTTTCTTTTTTTGTAAATTATATTATAAATTATATTATATTATATTATATTATTTGTATTCCTTTTACTTCCATCTTCTTTCCTTAGTAGTTGCCAGTGATTCTTATCAAACTCTTTACGCACCAACCAGAAAATCTGTGGGTTGGAGAGGAGGATTCAAGAAGGTGCAGATTCCTAGGCTTCATCTCTGTTCTCCAGAAGCAGAGTACCCAGGGGCTGGGACCCAGGAATCTGCGTTTTAAATAAGGCCTCCCAGTAATTCTTCTATTTGCTGAGGCTTGAGAACCATTAATCTTGCTACAGTGCCTCCACTTCTGAGAAGTTCTTGATGAAGAGCAAGTCTTGAAGAGATAAAAAGCCTCCCAACAGTCTCTGGGCAATAGTTAGGGTCAACTCAAAGGGCTGGGGCCTCTGGTTCTGGGAGTAACAACTGGGGAATTTCATACCAAAGGACAGTTTGTCAATTGATGAAGGCCCCAGTGGAAATTCTACTTTCACAGAGGAAGCCGAAGTCCAGCCAGGAGAGGAACAATGTGAGTAGGGAGAGGATGGTAAAAATGCAGCAGATGGCACTGACATCCAAGGTGTCAGAGCTGAGAGGAATTAAGGTTTGCACAGCCCAATGTCTCTCACTTATTTTAGAGACCCAGAGAGACTATGAGACATGCTGAAGGCCACACAGCTGGATGATGGCAGAAATGGCATAGAAGTCTCTGGCTTCTATTCTTACTTGTTGCACCTTCAGTATAACCCCAATATACCCAGTGACCACTAACGTGTAGAAAATAATCTGGCTATATTTTAAGCTAATCCACTACTCCAGAGTTGGGGAAAACAGTTCGACATCCATATTTTAATAATGGCAAACACATAACTACTCATATACAATGTAGAAATGCCAATTTGTTCTATCCAGGAAATAGCAATATTCTTTTTTCCCTGAGAGCAAAAGGCCATTCTGAGGATTCTGAGGAAAAGCCCAGGTCTATGGTCAACAATTTTCTATCTAGGAGCAATAGGCTTGCCTGCTTGGGCCTTACACAAAAATGCTGCATCTATGTTTTCATTGTCAAGGCAGGAGGTGATACCAGCAGTTCTCAGAATCTGAAAGAAAGGGGCTGGGGACAGTGGCTCATGCTTGTAATCCCAGCACTTTGGGAGGCCGAGGTGGGTGGATCACTTGAGCCCAGGAGTTTGAGGTTATAGTGAGCTATGATAGTACCACTGCACTCCAGCCTGGGCAAGAGAGCGAGACCCTGCCTCAAAAAAGAAAGAAAGAAAGAAAAAAAAGCCTGGGGGCGGTGGCTCATACCTGTAATCTCAGCACTTTGGGAGGCGGAGGTGAATGGATCACACGGTCAGGAGTTTGAGACCAGTCTGGCCAACGTCGTGAGAAACCCCGTGTCTACCCAAAATACAAAAATTAGCCAGGTGTGGTGATGGGCACCTATAATCCCAACCACTCGGGAGGCTGAGGCAGGAGAATCACTTGAATCCGGGAGGTGGAGGTTGCAGTGAGCCGAGACCATGCCATTGCACTCCAGTCTGAGCGACAGAGCAAGGCTCTGTCTCCAAAAAAACAAAAAAAGAATCTGAAAGGAAGATGGCCTTGGGGAGATGGTCACATATTTGGTGTCCCTTCCAGAGGCAGTACTCTTAACAGTAGCTGCTAAATGCTTTGAAAGAAATAAACAAGCCACCTCAGTGTTTTCCAGATTTCAGCCGTGTGCTAACTCTTCAACATTTACTATAGCTATTAATAACCACTAACACAGGTAACATTCACTGAACAGTGATCAGGCGCTAATGCAGACATGATCTGTGCCCGTTTTACAGATGTGGAAATTGAAAGTTATAAGAGCTAAGTGACCTAGCAAATGTCTTCTCCAGCAGCAAAAATCAGAAGACCATGGGACAACAAAAATGAACTCAGACTTGGACTATTTCTGGATAAATGTCATTCTCAAGGGTTTTTGAGCCCAGAAAGAGTGTCTGTGTACAATCAACATGCCAAAAGTTTGCTGAAGAAGTGGATACGTTCCCAGTGGCTACATTCATAGCCAAATAGGGTGCCCTTATTTGGTACCTGCTGTAAGTCAAGGCAGGTTACTGTAGCTGATTCCTGAAGGAGGAGATCTTCCAGTCAGAGATGGGAGATGGGCTCTGGAAGGCTGTGGTTAGCGAGAAGATGTGATGATAGAAGAAGGGTCAGAGAGAGGTAACATTGCTGGTTTTGAATATGGAGAAAGCTTGGTAACATGGGAGCCAAGGAATATAGGTGGCCTTTAAGAAACTGGAAAAGGCAAAGAAACAAACTTAACTCTGGAGCCTCCAGGAAGAAACATGACCTTGCCAACACTTTGATTTTAGTCCAGTGAAACTCAAGTCAGACTTCTGACCTACAGAATTGTGAGATGATAAATCTGTGTTGTTTTAAGTCACTGTTTGTGGTAATTTGTACAGCAGCAATAGACAACTGACATAGCCTTAATGAATGAGATAAGATTGGCTGTGAGGTAGAAGATGCGGTTCTAGACATAAGAGCAGAGAAGACAGGTTTAAGGGAGGTGAGGACGGAGAGTGGACAAAGAGAACTTTAAAGTAGAACTTTCTGCAGTGATGTAAATGTTCTACATCTGTGCTGCCTGATGTGGTAGCCACTAGCCACATGTGGCTACTGAGCACTTGACATGTAGATAGTGCAACTGAAGAACTGATTTTTAAATTGGAATTTATTTAAAATTCAACCTAAACAGCCACATACGGCTAGTGGCAAGGTTATCTGACAGCACAGGCATAGAGAGCATTAAGTCTGAGAGATTAAGACCCAACTTTCAATGGGCCAGTTCCAGTACTTAGAACTTCTGCACACTCTTAGATCATTTAATCCTCTCAATGACCCTATGAGGTTGGCATGGTTAAGGTGATCCCCACTTACTAGATAAGAGAATTAAGGAACAAAGAGCTCAAATAAATTATCCGGAACCCCAGACTAGTAAGTGGTGAAGCCAGGATTCAGTGTTGAGGATTCCAGAGCCAGCATTCTGATCCATGGCACCCTACCAGCTCTACGCCATGCTGTACAATGCCTCCCAGTCATTATGCTACGCCACCAAATGGAATTAGCAATGTGATGAAGGCCATGAGCAGAGAAGTAGAGGCTTCCATGAAGCATAATAAGAAAGGCCAGAGAAGGCTTCGTTGGGGAATGACATTTACTTTGAGTGTGGAAGGCTGAGGAGGGATTGGCAGGCAAGAGGAGGGAGATGGGGGGAGGAAGTCCCAGGCAGAGGAAACATGTATGAAGGCTCAATGATGAGAAAGAACATGGTGTATTCAGGGAGGTGAAAGACAAACAGAATGACTGGAGTGGAGAGATGAAGGAAGTATCAAGGGTTAAGGGTGAAGAAATCGGCAGAGGCCCGGGCACATAGGTTCTGGTAGAATTCGAAATGTTATTCCAAGGATTTGAATGCTATTCTAAGAATTTTCATATGCAAACATATTATACATTATACATATATGTAAACATATATATTTTCACCCTTACTTTTGTATAAATAATAGAGTGGATATGACCAACTATCGATTAGGAAGAGATAGTTAACCTCATCAATAATCATCATTCTCAAGTTCTTAGTTTAGAAACCCTCAGGAATGGGAGTGGCATTTTATACACATCAATTACTTTATGTTTTAGAAGTGCTTTCCTCTACCTTGGATTTTCACAAGCATCCTGGGACAAATGTAGAGATTTTTTTAAACTTAATTTTGCAAATGAATGAATGGATTCTCAGAGGAAGAACGAGACTTGCCCAATGTCCCAGCTGGTTAGTGGCAGAGCCAAGTCTAGAATCTGTGTTGTCTGAGTTTCTTCAAAGATCCAGTCCAGAAAAGGTGGACTCACAGGCCCTCAGCTCTGGCCAGAGTCCCTGCTCAGCCTCTTCTCTCTGCAGAACAGAAGTAAAGGGGGACCTTACCTTTCGGATGCCGTCATGTTTCATTTCAATCACGTGGAGCGTGTAGTTGGTCCGGCGTCCTTTCTCATTAAACTGCACGTTTCCTGTTAAACCTTCAAATCGCACCTGGAAAACAAAACCAAGTGGTGGGCAGTGAACTCAGATGTACTTTATGTGTGTTTGCTTTTTCCACTGAAGTAGAAATTCAGAACCCAAGAGTGTTCCATGGAATGATGTCTTGGAGTATCCTGAATGCTAAAACTCTTCACTCCCTTGCCACAGGCAAGGGATGCATTACAGATCTCTTTTCCCTAAATTGGGATTCATCCTGACAATTGTTTTTACCTATTTCTTTAGGCAAATACTAACAATGGGTCAGAGTGCATACTAATGTGAAATGTCTGCACCATCCCTAACCAAACACCTCCCATCACACAACCACTATGACCACTGCCCTTCTCAGATACACATCTGAAGATGAAGAAAGTATGGGGGGCCTGCAAAGGAAAGAAAATGGTGCACCATCACTAATGAGTCAGAAGACCCAGGACAAGAAGCCAGCTTTATGAATGAAGCCTTAAGCTATGCTTGGAGATGGCTTCTTAATTCCTTTAAGAATTTCTTCTTTATTCCTGAGTCCAGGGAATAAAATACTTGGCAATTGAAAGACTTGGATTTAACCCCAGCTTAATCCTTAATAGCCAAGTGCCCTCAGGCAATTTAGCTCTCTAAGCCTTCAGTTTCCAAAAATCTCTGCCCTTTTTTTATCTTAAATGATAACTGCTAATGTGAAAGTGGTGTGAAAACTTCAAAGCACCTAGGGAGAACCCATTGTGTTCAGATAAGAGAATGCAAGGTGTTAAAGAAATCTCAGTTGGCTAAAATAAAATTGTATTGGAACCCTCAAATATGCCGCATGAGACTTCTCCACAAATGGGCAAAATCAAACTTTCATGGCCTTCTATCTTCAAATTCATATCAAAAGTCAAATGGTGACCATGGAGATCCAAGATATTTAAGGTTGAGCTTGCTGCTCTGTAGGTGACTGATAAATGTCATCCAAGACCACTCTCAAACTGAGTCTGAGTCTAGCTGTGTATCATCAGCTCAGGTACAAGCAACCACATTCCCTAATAGTGATCCACCATGTGTCCTCAGATCCCTCTTGCCTAAGGCCAGTGAGGTGAGGTGTCTACTTGTTACAAATACAAATCCAACCCTGTGACCCAGCACTGTTTATTTCCCTCCTTCAAATGGCTTAAAAGGAAGCTTTGCAGAGTTTTATATTTTTTTCTGACAGTGGCTAGCTCCTCTGTTGTTAGAACGTATAAGAAGAGTTGGGGGTTGTGTGTGTTTGAGAGTGAGAGAGAGAATGCGTGTGTGTGTGCATGTGTGTGTGTTCCTGTTTCGAGGTTGACCCTCTTGTCACCTTCTGGTTTGAAGTCTCAGTGAGGAGGTCACAACAGGCCCAGAGCACTGAGCAAATTTTACAACATGCTCTTTACTTTCTTAGATGAAATCAGGAGAAATCCCCAGCTCCATAAATGTCTGGGCTATCTTTGCTTTTCAGAGAGAAAACAAAGTACAGATTCTACTACAAAGAATAAAAGAAAGGAGCAATTCCAGTCCATCAGCAACTTCACCTTCTTATCACCTCAGTAATCTCTTGCCAATCTTTAGTGTTCCCTTATTTCCAGTTCAAGATAGTGTTAGTTTGGTGGGTACCATGTAAGTGACTCATTCCAAAGAAACAGACTTGGATAGATGTGCAGATGGTAGACTGGTAGACTGATTTGCCCAAACTGAAAGTGTCATTAATTATCCAAACAGGCATCTACTTTTCAGCCCCAGTCTCAATTTTCATACTAATAATCAGCATGGCATATTAGTATGGCAGAGTACATAATCTCTCTATGACTAAGTTTCTCATTTGTTTAATGGAACCAATTAGAGTTAACTATGTCTTAAGGTTGTTCTAAGGATTAAAAGAGATATTTTTTGATCAATGCTTGGTGCATGATGAGTATTCAAAAAATGCCAGCTGTTATTATTATTGTTGTTAATGGTGATACTTAATACTAATATTACTTTCTAAAAACTTCATGTTTATGACACACTTGCACACATATTATTTCATCTCTAGTCACAGGAACCCCCTGAAGTATGCCATTTAGAGATTATGATCTTTATTTACATGGGAGATGCCAAATTCTGGGAAGTAAAGTGATCTGCTCAAGTCTTATGACTAACCAGTGGCAGAGGCAGGTCTAAAATCTGGAGCTTCTGGTAACTTCTGGTATCTTCACTTAAGGTACCAAGTGTTCGCCGAAACACAGGCCAGTGCTATTGTGCTAGGCTTCAGGAGGACAACACAAAAATGTGCAATGTAGTGTTTTCTACCTGCTTTCTGCTATTGCTGCTGGGCATTTCCCAGGTTGTGCTCTGCTCATTCTAACTGTATGACCATAGGTTCCTTGCTCAAACTATCTGCTTCTTAGTTTCCTCCTCCAAGAAGTACTTAGCACATTGTCTGGGACATAAGTTTTCAATGCATAGTTTATATTATTTAGATGATAATAATGATGATAATGACGACTACTACTACTGTGCTGTGTAGAGTGGGTAAAAGTTATGAAAAATAAAATCTAAAATTGAGGCCTTGGGGCTGGTAGGTTGTCTAAGACAAGGGGACTCTTTCAGAAGAAAGAAGGATCATGTCACTGACACTTTTACTGCCTTCCTCAGTTTCCAATAAGGTCAAGGGTCCTACCTGCACAGTTCTAGTGACCCAAGGACCCCTTGCACTGTCACGGTGATCTCACAAGAAGCTGCTTATTTCATGTTCACAGAAACCCAGTGAGTAGCCAGAGCAGACGTTATTTTGCCTGTTTCACAGATGAGATTATTGAGACTCAGAGCTGATGGCGCTTGACTCCAGGATTCACAGTAAGTCATTGAGAGGTCAAGGGTAACTGAAGGCTCTTAGTATCTAGTTGGGGAAGCCAAGTCTTACTTGCACTGAGATAAAACAAAGTATCAGAGAATGCGAAAGAGACATCCCAGAAACACCATTCCATGATGGCAGAGCAAGGAGAGTTCAAGAGAATGGCTCAGCCCCAAACCATTTATCAAGGAGAGTCAGGACTCAGAGACAGAGGAAGAAGCTTCTCAGAAATGTGTATCTTGAAACCACTGTCCCCATCCATCAGGTCTGAGCTCTGGGATCTGGGCACTTATCCCTCTCTCCCCCCATCCCAGGGTGTCTGAGGTCAGATTGATGGAGCCCAGGCACTTCTTCTTGGTTCCTGCTCCCGGAACTTCTGTCGCCATCCTGGCGCCCTCAACTCCCTCCATGAAAGATGGAGAATTAACCTTGGGCTTCCTGTAAAGGGTACTGGGTGCCAGCTCAGAGTCTGCTGCTGATGGGAGGCTGAAGCATATATTTCCTTTCCTGCTTGGTGCTGAGAGAATGCGGGTTAATGTCTCTATTACTTCAGCTGTGTTAAAGAAAAAATTAATCAGCACACTTGTTAAAGCACAGTGAAGAAGACTTTATTCAGAATCGTAGCAATAGGTATAGAGACCCCTGCAATGGGTCTTGCAGAGGTGGAGAGAGATTGGGCTCAACTCTGAATAGAGCATGGGCCCGTGGGAATATATAGCCAAGGAGCAGGGTGGGGGTCAGTGGATAGGAAATTGCTAACAGCAAGCATCGGGGTTAAGAGGAATTCTGGCTAAAATGGCCTAAGAGGATTCTTGCTGAAGATGGACGAGGATGATCCGACATAATCTGGGGGATGGTGGGGGCTGAAGAAGATGATCATGGCAAAGAGGGTGGACGTGGTGGACAGGGTTCTTGCTAAACCGACTTAGCAAGTTCTTTGCCAAAACTGGATTTCACAAGAATTGCACAGATGGGCCTAGGAGAAGGTTCAGAAGCCTGACTAAAGTTTGGTCAAGCAAAGAATCTTTGTCAGGTGTCAACAGTGACTGCTCTCCCCTGCCCTCATTGGATCCTGAAAGGCAGTCCTGAAGGAGACAGCCGAGCAGTCAAACTGGACGCAGGGCTCCTGTATCCCCTTTGCAGTTGCCCTCAGGTGGATCCTTCCTCCTGGATGCTCACTGGCTGTGAGGCCTGTAGACTAGGTCCTTGCTGGGTCACATTCTAGGTACTCTGGCCAGAGCAAATCTCAGAACCCTCCTAAGCTTCACTTTCCTACCTGAGTCATGGGAAGAATAATCTTGGCTCTGACTGTCTCATGCAGCTTCCCTGAAGTTCAAAGAAACACATGCATGATGCTTTTTTTTTTTTTTGACATAGTCTCACACTGTCACCCAGGCTGGTGTGGTATGCAGTGGCACAACCTCGGCTCACTGTAACCTCTGCCTCCTGCGTTCAAGTGATTCTCCTGTCTCAGCCTCCCAGGTAGCTGGAATTACAGGTGCCTGCTACACATCCCGCTAACTTTTTGTATTTTTAGTAGAGACAGGGTTTCACTATGTTGGCCAGGTTGGTCTCAAACTCCTTACCTCGTGATCTGCCCACCTCAGCCTCCCAAAGTGCTGGGATTACAGGTATGAACCACGATGCTTGGCCCACAAGCACGATGCTTTCTTAAAATTCTGAGCCCTGTGACAAGCCAGTCAGGGAGGCAGCACTAGGAGGATTATGTCTGTTTAGCAGACAGGAAAAATCCAGATCTGGAAAAGGCAAGCAATTAGTCCAAGATCCCCCAGATAGTTCTGCGTGGAGCCACGGTTGGAACCCAGCTCTTCTATCCCTAATTCCTTAACAGGCCAATGTGACATGTGCAAGTCCTTTCTTGTACCCTCACCCTACCTCGTCTCTTGCTGGGTATCATTGACATCCCCATCCAGAACCTCCAAAACCCAATTTACTCCATGTTCAAATTTACCATACATTTAACGGTTCCATTACCACCCATCTCAGTTTGCCTGGGACGTGATATAGTTTGGATATTTGTCCCTTCCAAGTCTCATGTTAAAATATGACCCTGGACGTTGGAGGTGGTGCCTGGTGGGAGGTTTTTGCATCATGGCGGCGGAACTTTCCTGAATGGCTTGGCGCCCTCCCCATGGTAATGAATAAGTTCTTACTCAGTTCTCATGAGAGCTGGTTGTGTAAAAGAGCCTGTCACTTCCTCCCTTATCTATCACGCTCCTTCTCTTACTACGTGACATACTGTCTCTTCCTTTACACTCTGCCATGATTGGAAGCTTCCTGAGGCCCTCACCAAAAATAGATGCTGGCAGTGTACTTCGTGTGCAGCCTACAAAACTATTAGCTAAAATGAAACCTTTTTCTTTATACATTATCCAGTTTCAGGTATTTCTTTATAACAATGCACATGGACTAACGCAGGAGAGTTCTGGTACTCTTGTTCTGGAATAATTGATAGTAGTTTTTCCTTTCACTCCTAAGTGTTCCCGTTTGGATGATAGATTTTGGATAATAAAGTGGTCATCCTATTGAAAGGCCAGTCACATTCCTACAGAAAGCCTTGCTGATGTCTGCATTCCTCAGTGATGGCATTCTGCTCTGATCATCCACAGCACCATAAGCCCACCTGTGTTAGCCCTTAAAGGCAGGACTGCGTCTTAAACTCCATTGCCCACCCAACCCCAGACCCCATCTAGCAAAGTTCTGAGCATACCTTCACTTCCATATGCTTGATTGTTGGCTGGCAGGTTGCAAAAACAAAGACCAAGAGGGATGATTACTATTTAGGGGAGGTATTCTAAATTTGAGGCCCTGGGATGGATTCTAGGAGTATGTATGTTCTCTCTACTCCTGGTCATGCAGAAATTATGTATGTACACATATGCATTTTTCTAAGCAAAAGAATCTACAGATTTCTTTTAAAAAATCATATTCTCAAATGCCTATTACCTCCCCTATGTTAAGAACCCGACTTGGGGAGTTGAGTCTTCTCCACCGTCCAGAAGGCGACATATGAGCATCCTTCCTGGAGTGCTGAGGGCCTCCAGGATGTGGGTTCATTAATATTCTGAATGACTCCCTAGATGGCAAGCAGGGGGCAGGCAGGCAGCTGATTATCTTCATTCTGCTGCTAGGGAAATTACAGCGGAGTGAAGGGGGAGGGGGTGCACAGATATTACCCAAGGCCATGTGCTGCTGGGGGCTGGGCCATAGCTCTTGTGTCTTCCCTGTTTGGCCGTGCCCTTGAGGTTTCAGAGCAGTGAAGCATACAGAGGGAGGCATCATCTAAATGTGGTTTGGAGTCCCAACTTTACCACTAGCTAGCTGTATAACTTTGGGAAGTTTTATAACCTGTCTGAAGCTCGGCTTCTCCATTTACAAACCACGGTTAATAAAACTACCTACCTCAAGGTGTTATATCAAAGATCCAATGATATAATATGTGTAAATGTTTAGAGCTTTGTGTATACTAAGCCTTTAACACACCATACATATTATTTTCAGAATTTAACTCCCTAGCATGCTTGCCCTCCAGGTAGGCTGTGCTGGACCTCTTGGCCTAACTTATAGACAACCCAGGTCTAACACAAGCTAAACCACAGGTTCTCTCCCACTATGTGACCTGAAGGCCAGAGGTGAAGGCAGTAGAGACCTGAGCCTCCAAGCCTCAGGTTTCTAAGACTGGATACCATCAGGATTTACCCAGCTCCCTGGTGGCATGGCTATTTCAAGAGATGGGTCTAGAAAAAGCCATTGCTGAAGAGTAGTCCTGACTATGGATGGAAGGCTCCAGAGGTCAATGCTTATAAGCAAGGGCCCCTGGGCCCATAGCACAGACCTAACTGGGGGAAGAGGAGCCCTGGACTGGGATCTGGTCCAGCCTCCGCCACTAAGCTGCTGTGTGACCCTGGGTGAGTCACTGCCCACTCTGGATTTGCTGTTTCATTATAAAGTGAGGGAAAAGAAGAGTCAGTAATCTCTAAGGTGTCTTTCAACAAAATCTTTTTCATTCTAGGTGCTTAACAAAGATTGGAAAATGAATCGATTTGAACCTCTGATCTTAAGGTCAGAATGTTCTGGTTTATTTGTTTGTTTGTTTATTTATTTATTTATTTGGGATAGTTGTTCCTCTCTTTTTCTCCATAGACACTGCCAGGAGTTCCTTGAGCGCAGGCCTTGCTTTCTTTTATTGTCCTCAGTGCTTGGCTCCAAGCCAGGGCACACCATAGATCCTCAAAGAACAGCTGATGAAGGGCAGGCACACACATATCTTGGCTCCAAGACAAAATAAAAGAGGTCATTGTTCTTTTGACTATGGAAACTGCTTCCTTTCAAACCCTACTGAGGGCAGAAGCAGTGTGCTAAGTATACACTACAACCAGAAGGACATGGGTTAGACCATAAGAAAAAAAATTAGACTGTTTGAATTTTCAGAGCCAGTTGAGACTTGAGGTCCTCTCTCCACCCCCTTCATTTTCATGGGGAAGGAAAGGGAAGGCAGCAGGAGAGCTAAGTGAATGTTTCAAGGTCATCCAGAGAGCCAGGGGCCCAGCTGGACGTGGAGTCCAGCTCTCCTGCCTCCCAGTACAGAGTCCTTCCTGCCACCCTGAACTGCCTCCCAGGCTTCATCACTGTCATGGTGGCATCAGACTATCCTTTCAGGACGTCATTAAGATGGGAGAGGCAAGGGAGTTGGAAGGGTTGTGAAGCTGAGGACAAATCTCTGGGACCTTTTGAAACCAGCCTCACATTGCAAACAGAATCTGTCTCGACTGTGGAGTCTGGAAGAGCATTTTAAATAAGCTGAGGTGGGGGTAGAAAGGGAGGCGCAGGCACTGTCCATTTGGCAATTTTCCCCTGCAAGCTGCCTGGTGTCTGTTGTTGCTGCCTAGTGACTTGGGAGCCACCCTGCACAGGGACCAGGGGAGGGCAGAAATGGCAGCTGGAGGTCCTCCTTAGCATGTTCCTCATGTAGCTAGTAGAAATCCTGCTTAGCTTCATTTCAAAGGACAGACCTACATATTCTTCTCTACAGAAAGGCACTCATCAGGGCTGAGGAACAGCTGGTGAGGTTCCTTCAGCATCTCTTTCTCCTGGTTGTGAAAGTTGCTAGAGCTGTGCACGTGTGGTTGGCAAACAAGTGGGAATAGTTGTACATTTTGCTGTACATTTCTCTCTCATTCAGAAATGCTCCTCTTCTCCCCAAGGAGCCCAAATTCATCTTCTGCTGAATGTCGTCTTAAAAGTAAAGCTGGTCTTAGGCAGGCAACTCCATTTGTTGGGGAGGGTGGGTCCTGAGGGACATTTGTGCCAAATAATCTTGCTGTGCTGGTTTGTCATTGTGGCCAATGCTTTGTTATTCCTTTGCAGCAAGCACGGCCATCCTCTCCCTGTCCCTTCGGAAATACAGCTTCTCTAGCAGGAGGCATCAGAACAAAAATATAGTGCTATTCCTTGGCAGTTTGAGAATCATAGCCTGGGCTTGAGGTGCTTTAGAGATCTACAGGAGCCCCAAGAGCAATAAAGCTGAGGGCAAGTCCCCAAAATCTTCTAAACCAGGCATGTTAAATATACACCCACATGTACCACTGTCTCATGCTGCTTCCACAGCAGACATATCACTAATTGAATATTTATGCTTCTCTCTGTTGTATCTGGATTCAGCCTCAGAAGCTTTTGTATAGCCAATTGATTGGAGTTGGCGTGGCCATTTTCTATCCCTGCCCTTTAACTATTCTTAAGTGCAAACATAATTGATGAATGAAATGCTGAGAAGCAAGAAGGTAGTATCAGAAGTACTGAGAAACATTTTTAGGGTCCACATACCCCAGGCTCTCATACAATGTGTGCAGAGAGCAAAGGAAGAAATCCAGAAAATCAGGGCAAGAGGGGAGTGTTTCCAGGAGACCATTAACATGGTTCAGTTTCATCCTTGTGTATTTCAAGTCCCTTTCCCATACACAGAAAATCACCAGCTCTCCTTTTTCAGCAAAATTGCTAAGGAGAAAATACAGCTTTTACACTACAAGAAATGACTGTTCCATATCATTTTTTTTTTATATGAGCTTCAATGTATGCTAAGAACCACCAACACCAACAATGCAGTGGTTGTTCTGAACTTCAGGCATTTTCTTCCTTTTCTTTAGAATAGCTGTGTTTTATTGGAATTTGATGCTGAAATCCCCCAGTAGGCTCCTATGAGATGGGGCAAACATTGGTGGTCTTACCTGCTGCAGAGCTCTCTGGATGTCGATCCCTTGGCCCCAGGGAACAGCTGGGTTAGCCAGACAATCCCCAGCATTCCCCCGGCGAGATATATCAATTCTCTGCCTCCGCAGGCTCTGGAAAGCCTCAGCCATCACCTTCACCCCATCGTAGGTGAGCGCAGAGGTGTACTAGTGGGAGGAATGGAGACAGTTAGGTATCAAAGAGAGCTGACAGGAAGGCAGGTTTGGGTGCTGTATTTGGGAATGTGTTTTCTGGTGATGAGAAGGGTGTGCAGTGGGCCAGATGCATGGTATACGTGGGGCAGACAGTGGTGAATCAGGGATGGTGTCCCTGAGAAGCATAAATATTCAAGCAGATGGGTGCTGCTGCTCGACCATGCTAGTCAATGCTGACCTCCTTGAACTGTGAGTTCAGTACTGCCAGTTATAATTTTTGAAGAGAAGCCAGGATTCTAGGTTTCTGTGTGCAATCTTGCAATTTTTAAAATGTTGGTTCATTTGGGAAAAAATGCATAGATTACATATAACACATCTGCAGGCTGGATACAGTTCATGAAAAATCAGCTGGTTTATCCCGGCATTACAGTCATCAGCTGGAAACCAAGAGGAACGATTAACTCTTTCATCTCTTGTAAAAGTAAAAGCAAAAAGAAAATGAAAGAAGGGTGAGCTCTTAATTTTTTCCACATATGGCTTACCTAAGTGGTAAGTTTATATCCTGTAAACTTTCCCCTCATTCTTTCTCACAACAACTATCAATTATACCCTCTCCTGACAAAAAGGGGACTAGGATGTGGATGAAACAAAATCAGGAGAGCAGTCCAGGAAAATATATCCTGGCTTTGGAACCTATGTCTGTTTTCTTCACTAATTTGTTCCTAATACTTATTATGTTGCCTAGCACACTCCAAGTTCACAATAGAGAATTGAAGAACGAATGAATGGGTATTTTTCTAATTTTTTAAATTTAATTCTCTCACTTCTTTTTTAAAAAATTAAATTACATGCCGGGCGCAGTGGCTCACGCCTGTAATCCCAGCACTTTGGGAGGCTGAGATGGGTGGATCACAAGGTCAGGAGATCAAGACCATCCTGGCTAACACGGTGAAACCCCATCTCTACTAAAAAATACAAAAAATTAGCCAGGCGTGGTGGCGGGTGCCTGTAGTCCCAGCTACTTGGGAGGCTGAGGCAGGAGAATGGCGTGAACTCGGGAGGTGGAGCTTGCAGTGAGCCGAGATCATGCCACTGCACTCCAGCCTGGGCAACAGAGCCAGACTCCATCTCAAAAAAAAAAAAAAATTAAATTACATTTGGTTATTTTTGTCATCTGCTCAGTCTTTTGGAAATTGGAGTGCAATCATTACACATTACTTAATTAATTCCTATGTAGTTTTCTCATTGCTTGAAAGCATATTTGCGATTTTGTTTGCTTAAGATCATATTGAAATAAGTCTTCATTATTGAAGAGTTAAATCAGTTTGAATAGTGGGATAAGAAGTATCTCTGTTATACGGTTTGCCATTTATAAAAAGAAATGGATTGAGTGGCAAGAGAAAGTCTGTCAAAGATTCACTGTTTGTCCAGATAAACAAACTTGGCCTTAGTATCCTTCTCAACACAGGGTTCCATATGGCCACTGTCAATCTATCTGGTTTGACTTCAGAAAAAGAATCATTCGCTATCCTTATTCCCAAGCATTCTCAAATAACAAACAAAATAGATTTTGGTGGCAGTATTTAGAGCTGTGTTGCTGGGAAGTGAGAAGCAGAGAGTCTGCCTGATTACTGAGAGTGGACTCTCCCAGGTAGAGATCTGCTGGATATTCCTTAGTTAGGTTGCCCTGATTTTTAGCTGGGCACATGGCTGAGCAGAATAAGGGCCACCTCACTACACAAAGAAGCTCAATCTACAATGAAATGAGCATCCTCCTGAGCTGGGCAACATGGTGGCTCTGCCCAGAATAGAACCACCATTTTCCAGCTTCCCTTGCAGCCAACTGGGGGTAGTTTTCCAAGATACGATCAATAGCATATGAATGGAAGATCTGCTTGTGACTTCTGAAAACAGTTCTTCATGAAGAAGTTGTGCATTGCATGTTTTTTTTTCTTCCTACTGGGTAGAATGCTGAGGCAATGGCTGTAGTTTAAGCAGCCCTCTTGTACTATTAGGCAGCAGCCGTATGTGGATGACAGCAGAGCAAGAAGGTACAAGAAGCCTGGGTATTTGATAACTGTGGAGCCATTTTACAAGTCTGGGACTGCTGACTCCTAAGTTTTGTTCACAGGAGAGATAAATAAAATGTCTCCCTCCTTAAAACCATGTCATTTTGGGTTGTCTGACCCCTGCACCTTGTACCTAATAATCTTTACAAATATATTTCCCTGAATTTGTTCGCTTTAGAAAACTGATTCCTTTGTAAAGACTAATGCAGCTCAGAAATCTGGGGCAGGCAAAGGGACCAGGCTGGCCCTTTGCTGCTGGCTGCCCATCCACTCACCTTGGGTCTCTTCCAGTCCACCCGTGTGTGGTCTCGAGCATCACTATTCTTCCACTGCTGCATGATCTTGGCCGGAATAGTGTCTGTGTAGTTCACCAGCTGGAAACCTGTCACATTGGCGCCACTCTCCTTGAATTTGTTTAAGTCAATGTCCATGAAGCCCTGTGAGAGGGGGAGGAGGGAGAAGTTAGAACATGCTGCCTGGATAAATCAACTTAACCTGTTCCAAAACCACAGGATTTTCCATTCAGTTCCACCAGATGAAACCTACTCAATGGAGAGACAGTTAGGCCTCCTTTCCTTTGAACTTGATTATTACTTAGTTTGTGCACAAAATTAGCACAGCTCAGGAGCCAGTATGCCTAGTTTGGAGTGCTGGCGCTGCTATGCATAAGCCAGTAGTTATACCACTATTAACTAAGTTACTTGACAGTTTTCTTGTCTGAATAATGGAGGTCTGGTTGTTGGGGTAAACATACAATGCAACGACACATGTCAAGTGCATGGGGCAGACCAAGTGATCAATAAATAGTGGCTGTGATTATTATGATGATGCAGATATATAGTACAAGGTAGAAACCTCTAAGGAGGGAATAATCTCGTCTACCATCCCAATACCCAACCATTTTGAGAGAAGAGGAATCTGAATTTCACTGGGCAAGCTCCTATGAGTTACCCAAGGACACCAGCAAGTCTGTGGAAGAGGCCGAGTTCTGATCCCAGTCTCCATCCTCACCCTGTGCTCTTTTCCATACAACAGGGTAAATTTTCACCACTCCATGAGGCCTGATCAATTCCAGCAACCATGAAGGATTGTTTATTATAATGACACTTTCCACCCCATTTGGTGAAGTTTACTAAAACTCAAGAAGGCTTCGACTGTAAAAGGAAATCTTACATTTGTATAATATATTCAATAATGTGCAGTACTTTCATATCTATGGCCTCATTTCAGTTTATCCTTTTTTAAGGTAAACATTATATGTCTATTTGCCAGATAAAGAAACTGAGGCAGAGTAGAAGAATCAACTTGCAGAGGCGTCATTTAGGGAGTTAGTAACAGAGAGAGCACCAGAACTAAGGGCCTCTGTTAGGCATTGGTTCACTCAGTCACTCACTCACTTATTCACTGATTAATCATTTCAACAAACATTTTTGAAAAGTCATAGTGCACTATTCTAATAGTGAATAAAGCAAGTTTCTTCCCTTATGGAGCTTATATTCTAGTGGGGAAGACAGACAATAAATGAACAAGTAAATATGCAGCATAGTATAGTATAATCTGGGATAGTATACTCTGCGGTAGCAATGAGCCCCATGAAGGATAAAGTGAGGTAAGAGGATGGGGAGGGGCAGTGTCATGCTTTGGAAGGAGTGATGAGGATGAGCCTCCGCAAGGAGGTGGTCTTGGCTTAGGGACCTGAGTGAAGTGATGCCTGTGTCTGAGCTATGGGGATATTTGGAGAAGAGCATTCTGAGCAAAGGCCCAGAGGTGAGAGGATGATTGGCATATTCAAGAAACAGTAAGGAGGCTGGTGTGATTGTGGCACAGTGAGTTTGAAGAGAAAGGGTGGGAAAGGAGGTCAAATTGGCAGCCCAAAGCTGGTCACATAGAGCCTTGTGTTAACTTGGGTTTCTTTTAGGTATAATTGGGGGCCTGCCCAGCAGGAAGAAAAAAAATGGAATGCACAACTTCTTCATGAAGAACTTTTTTCAGAAGTCACATGCAGATCTTCCACTCATATGCCATTGATCGTATCTTGGAAAACTGCCCAAGGAATTTGAGTGGGATCATACAGGCAATTCCCTTTCAGCTCCATGGCTTGGGGGAAACCACCAAATTCCAATGAATGAAATGGGAAAATGAGCAGGGGATCCATGGTCGATGGAGAAGTTCTGAACTGGGAGCCAAGGAATTAGAGCAGCGGTCCCAGCTCCCTCTTGGGATCCTAGGATACCGTCTATGTTTCTGAATTTCTCATTGGCTTTCTCTGATTTTTCTATCTAAAAGAATAGACTTTATGATTCAAAAACAACCCTCCCCCACCCCTATGCCTCTAAAGTTCTGCGATTTTTTATTGTTTCTATTTTTATAAACAAAGCAAGCTTAGTCACACTCAGAGCTTTTGTCCTTGATATTCTCTCTGCCTGGAAATGTGATTTCCCTGTCTGGCTCCTTTCCATTTTTTGGATCTCAGCTAGACTGCCATCTCTCAGAGAGGTGTTTCCTGACTTCTTATCTAAAGAACTAGTTCTTGCCCTGTTGTAGACAATCTCAGCATCCTGTTCGCTTCCACTCCCCTTTCTACATGGGTATTCTACTTTACGTACCAACTGCAAACACCTGGCTACTCCGCCTACCTGCAGGCTAAGTTAGACATGTTAAGGAGTTAATATGCCCAGAAGCAGCTTTCAATCAATGACAGATGAAGAGTCAGTAGATAAGTGCCCCAGAATCCTCTCCCCTGCATGGCATGACCCTGAGGTGAGTTCTACACTGACATGTTGGGATCCCCTCAGGGACTGTTCTCCTTCAGTAGCCTGCAGTGTAGGCATCTTGTTTATGAAACTTTGTAGGCAGACTTCCCTTCTCTGCCTCCCTTCCCTGGTTTTTTAGGATTGGCACCCAAGAAGCCCCTTGTACTTGAATCCTTGTTTCAGGGAACTGCTTCTGGAAGAACATAGTAGAGTTACCCCCAGCACCCTATCCAGTCTGCTCTATCTCAGTGCCCTGTTAGAGCTTCTCCAGAGTTTTTATCACCATTTGAGATTATCTTGTTTACTCATGTGTTCCCATAGCCTCTTTCCTCCTATTGAAATGTCAGTTTCCTAAGAGCAGGAACCTTTTTTGTCTTGGTCACTGATGTGTCCTAGAACCTGCTCCTAGAGCAATGCTTGGCACAGAGTAGGTGCACAGTATATATTTGTTGAGTGAACAAATAAAAGCCAGAGACTTTCCTCAAGAAAGAAAGCCAATTATCCAGGAGAAATATGACCAGCAGGCAGCAAATACCAGTGGGTGATTGTAATTGGTTGAAAAGAGAAATTCAGGTTGAAAATACCTTTTGAGTTTAACGTGTTCCACAGCCACAGTTTACAGTTTCACAGATGTAGCTGATTTGCACAATGGTTCTAGCAAGCCATTAGTAAAGGTGAAATCAGAACTAGGTTCCTGTACCCAATATGCATTCCAAGACGTTATACCATCTAAGAGAGCACTTACCCCAGCACTGGTTAAAAGCTAGAGCACAGTTGAAAGATTTCTCATAGTTCTTAGAGACTTTAAAAAGAACATGTTCATAAAGTAACTACTGGGAGATTGAAATGGAAAGTATCTCCTGCAGTCAAATTCTGTCTCTTGAAAATCTGTAACAAGGTCCTGGGCATTTCATACTGACTGCTTCCATCTCAGACATAATGGAGGCCAAAGGAAATGGCCGAGTTTCCTCAACTGCTCAACATAAATGCCACTCAATCTTGTCACCAGAATGTCTGACAACAAGGTTAGTGCAGCCAAACCTTAATTACTTATGATCAAACTAATAAGACTCCCCAACTGAACCCCCATCCCCTCCTAAGAAAAAATGGACAGAGAATGATAAAACAAGCTCATAGCTATGATGTTAAGTAAAAGAAACAAAATTAGGAAATAACTTGTGGTCATGAACTATATTCTCATCTAATAGCTGACATCTTCCCTCCTATTTCAGATTTCATGCTGGGAATAATAATCTTGCATCTCTACAATGCTTTTAATCACTAAGAAATGACTCTATTATAGTTACTAGACTAAATTTCTCCATAATTCAAGAAAATGAACCTGCACAACTGTGTTCTTGACTAAGAAGGGGGAAATAAAGGTGTTAACTCTTTGCCCACTGGTTTATGGGAAAATTCAATTCACTCATTCTGTTCCCCGGGGAACTCTCATTAAATAAGGTTTAATTAAATAATTTTCTAATTTTCTTTGCCATTTTATTAAAAAAAACCTTAGAGGGTAATATTTGGTAATTAGAACATTTTTCTTTATCTGCTTTATTTGTGCTATTAATTATATAGTATTATATAAAAATACTACATTGCTAATTATATTCTATTAAAAATTTTAACTACGAAGTTTGATTACTACTCTCTTTGAGCCACTTTGCCTATTTACAACATGTTCCCAAATGCTGGGACCATTGCTCTATATACTGTTACTACTGACAAAAAAAAAAATGAAATTAATCTACAGAGTACTTGTTTTTCAGGTTAGTCAAGTGTTTTTCCAGCTATTCAGCACAAGAATGCAGGTCTAAACCCACTCTCCTTCCACTGACCTCCCAGCACTGGTACCAGATGCTTCTCTTTGAGTGACTGTTTCTCACCTAAAGTGAAGCTTGGTGATGAGTGAGTTCCTAGGGCTATTAGGTCACTGTGTTCTTGTCTGCTTCTTCTGCACCTATGTAGCATTTCACATTGCCCCATGTGTGACTAATAAATCGGTGAGAAAGAATGCTGTGTCTACTGTCATTATTAAATGCAAAGAAATTGACCAATAAACTGTAAGCTCTCAGAAAGTGGTTCTGAGGGACGTATCAGAATACCTTGAGGCACTTTTGCAAAATAACCATCCCCAAGGATTATCATTCAGTAGCCCTAAAGAGGAAACTGGATATCTGTATTTTGACAAAGCTCTAATGCTGGTGAATCAAAAATCAAGGTTCACTATGTAAAAAATACAAGGTAATCATCAGAAGAATTCCAAATAATAGCATATAGGCTAACAAACATTGAGAAGGGGATGTTGGGGGTGTAATATGAGCTGATTTGTCATCTTTCTAATGGGAAGTCAGATATGGAGTTAAAGTTGATAAAGCAAGAAAAAGAAACATAAATATATGATGTAGAAGTGTAAAGGAAACCATTAAATAACCAAATGCAGGAAAAGGGTTTAAAATAGTTACTTCTATGAAGTATAGAATTGGAAAGAATGGGCATTTATCTTTTACTTTATACCCTTCTGTAATATCTGTTTTATCATGTGAATATATTGTATTTTTAATACTATTAAAAAATAAAAATCGATCCTCAGATAGCTCTAATGTATCTTAGATATCATCCATTAGTCACTGGAAAGTGGGGGACAGAGTAGCAGTGGCAAGACAGGGGAGAGAAGTTGTTGCATTTGTTGAAGCTTTGTTATGGTCTTTTAAGAGAGCCCTGCTTAATTTTTTATCTCCTGGCCTGAAATTAAAGCACACTGGTGCTGTTAAGTGCTCCACTGAAAACGGCTTCAGAAGCATTGCTTATAAGAACAAAAATGACAATAATGGCTAAAAATGCCCCTTTGTATGCATTATATAACTTTATTCAAACAGCTTTTTAAGAGTTTTGAGGTTACTGTAATTTAAAAACAAAAGAATAATAATTGTTTGAGATGTATTTTAAACATTTTCCAAGCTCTATTCCTGAGTCAGGCATTCTGTTAAATGCTTTATATACATAATCCTTTAATTACTTAAACAATTCCAAGAGGTAAATGTGCACAGTAGACACCCAATACTTATTTGCATAAATGAGTGAGTGAGTATCCATCCTAATTTTCTGTTAAGGAGCTATGGTTAAGAGACCTTTGGAAATTTCCCTGAGATCACACAGCAAGCAAGAATTCAAACTGTGGTCCAACTATAAAATCTGTCTTCTTCACAAATGTGTTCTACTGCTCCACCAGTGGAGAAACATATGACTTTAGCTTTAGGATGGTGTGTCAAGATTGCTCCAGACAAAGAGGGACAATGAACCTCAGACTGTGGCTGGCACAGTTAATAGCCAGAATATGTCACCCTGCCAGAGCAGGGGCCTTCAAATGTAGCTGTCTTTCTTGAACGAATATTTGTGGGACTGCGCTAGGTTCCTCTCCTTGACACTAACCTCCTAAGGGTCTTTAGATGCTTCCAAAGTGTCTAGTTTATCTGAAGCCTATTAGTGTCCCCCTATTCCACATCTATGCAAGGGGTCAGCAAACTTTTTATGTAAAGGGCCAGATTATAAATATTTTAGGCTTTGCAAACCATATAGTTCTTGTCACAACTAGTCAGCTCTGCCATTGCAGCATGAAAGTAGCCATATATAGAAAATAGTAATTTACTATTACTATTTAGCATATAGTAATTGGAAGAGCATGGCTTTCCCAATATTTTTGGGCATGGTAATTTAATGTCATATAGTTCCACATATTATAAAATATCATTCTTTTGATTTTTTTCCCAACAATTAAAAAATGTAAAAAATCATTCTTAGCTCATGAGCCATATAAAATCAGGTGATGGCTGGATTTGACACAGGGACCATAGTTTGCTGACTTTTGACCTATACAGGAGCAAAGATTTTGGAGAGAAGACCAAACCCTTCATATTGTACAGATAGGGAAACTGAGGCCCAGAGATGGGAATAGTGGCTTAAGGTTATATGGCCAGTTAGAGGATTGGTTGAGAATAGAATCTGTCTCCTCTCTATATCCACTGTAGGAGGTAAAACAAACCCCTCATATTGTTCAGATAGGGAAACTGAGGCCCAAAGAGGGGAATAGTGGCTTAAGGTTATATGGCTGGTGAGAGGATTAGTTGAGAACAGAATCTGTCTCCTCTCTATATCCACTGTAGGAGGTAACACAATGTTGAAAAGGCATTTGAGTACAATGATGGGGAGTAAATGCGCTCAATTAAGTAAACTAGTTAATATAGTCACTCCATCTATCATATGCCAATTATAATTTTCAAAGGATTAGAATGAAAAGGCATTTCAAGTAATTATGATATCCTAAAGAGGTGTTTAACACTACAACTACATTGGACATGCTTTCATCTTGCTGTGAAGATTTGGAGAATGCTTTAAGAATCTTGAAGAGGCTCTGGGCCATCATTATGACTATTAATTATCACGTGCAATTGGAAAGAAAAGAACTGATTATATGTGTCTACTGGTTACTTAACCTCTCTGAGGCTCAGTTCTCTGGTCTTCAAAATGCAGATATAGCACCTACATCACAGGATTGGTGAACGGTTTAAAAGAATTAATAAAACTAAGCACTTAGTACCATGTCTGGCACATAGTAAGTGCTTAATGAATGTTAGCTATTATTATGATCATCACATTCACCATTATCATTATCATTGGGTCAAAAGAGGTTAGGTGTTAGAACTGCTTCAAATACAGGGACTGGGTCAGGCAAGAAGCCTGAGAGAACATGAAGCAGGTGTATAGGAACATAGCTATCGAAGGATGAAAGGCTTTATCTTCAAAGCTGGATTTCCTTTGCTCTGGGATTCTTTCAAGGGGTCACATACGAGCTGTTCAGCCCTCATCATCCTGCCTGTGCTGACACCACACCAGTCAGAAGGAAGAAGGAGCATCTAACATTGTTCAAGGAAACGGGCAAGTAAGGTTTATTAAACAAATCCTGGGACACTGGAAAGAGCACTTCCTCCATCCCATCCCCTTGAGATCCACAGGAGGTAAGTTGAGAGAAAAATCAAAGAACTTGTACTGTATACTCTGAATGGCACAGGTTGAACATGCCAAGTTTCCCCAAATTGTCAGATAAAATCTTAGATGACAGCTCCATTGAGAGAGTAGTTATAGGAAACTGTGGTTTGAAAAGTCTTATATTAGAAGTATTTTTTTAAAAGTGGGAATTATCAGCCTAAAAAAGTATAGAAGACCAAGAAAGTAAGTGAAGGATGTATTTGAGTCCCAGAAGGGTTGTCATGGGGAAGAGATGGATGATTTGTTCTCTGAGGCTCTGGAACGCAGGCCAGAGCCAATGAAAGGGCAAATGTCATAGAAGGCAGACTTTGGCTAAAACAATAATTACAAGTACCTAACACGTATCAAACCTGTACTGTGTAGTAGAAACTGTGCTAAGTACTTTATTTGTGTTATCTCATTTAATCCTCATAGCAATCCTGTAAAGTGGGTACTATTATCATTCCCATTAGCAAATTAGAAATTTAAAAAATTGAGGCTTAAGTTAATGGAGTAGCTCCTGCTCAGTACAGTATAGCTAGTGAGGGACAGAGACCAACAAGTAAAAAGACTCTAGGACTTGTTTTCTAACCACTGTACATCAAGCCTCCCAACCACTAGTGAGGCCAATCTATTCATTTATGTCCTGTCCTGCAATGAAGCACTCAGAGCAGCACACATTTTTATACCAAGAAGGAAGTATCAGGCTTCCATGAGATCAGGGCATTTCCCTTAGCTCCTTTAATGTGTGCTGGTACTTGAAATGTGAACCACACAGCACTTTATTCCTATCTCTCTAGGCCTCTCCTAGCTTTCTCTTTGAACGTGCAGGGGCCCTTCTCATCTTCCCTGTGAGACTGTGAGCTCCTGGAGGGCAGGGACGTTGGCCCCCACAGCGTCCACAAGCAGTACCTGGATCAGGGTGCATGCTCAATACATGTGGAGGAATGAAGGAACAGAAAGTTTCTTCTCACCCTCTCATGATTTTTTTATAAGCTTCAATCCTGTCACCACTCAGCCTCAGCTTTTGTCTTGTGGATCAAAGAGGTCTTCTTATTGACTTTTTTGTGTAGTCTATTGTGAACCAGGTCATAAATAAGAAGTGTCAGGAAAAGAGTTTTAGGGAGAACCACATAAATCCTGTCTTTGAATCTCATGAGTTGTTTGTCCTTGGGCAATTATCTCAACCTGTATAGCCATTAGTTGATTGATCTGCAAAATAAGAACTTTGGCTACATCAATGATCTTATAAGCTATGTTCCTGGTTGCAGGCATTTTAGAAGTTACCATATTAGGTTAGGGAAAAGGCAGAAAGATGTGGTCCTAAATCCCACCCTCTCTTTTCCACCATAGTAGCTCTGCTTTTTATCTGTTTTATATATGAGAGTTCTCCCCCAAGATTCCATTTGAAAATAGAGCCTCAAACTAAAAAGTTTGGAAACTTCTGAGCCACTTGATTTCTCTCTTAAGGGCTCTTCCAGCTTTGATCTACAATTCTATGATCACACAGGTATGTGCGCATGAATATGGATATGTGTGAATTTGTGGAATACTCCTGGGCTGAAGACTTAATTGTGTCCTCAAATACCCATGTCTCTGCATAAAAGTCTTCACATTTTCCTATTTTAGCCACTTTAACCAACCAAACCTTTAAGGTGTCCTCTCCCTATATAATCTCTGGTAACACAGAGGGTAGTCTGGTTCCCTCTAATTAAACAAGGTATTGTAGCTGTGCTTAAATCAGTGAAAACACCATAAATATTGAGAAGAAAAAAGCATTCGTGTTGACTTATCCAGTTACATTTGGAACCAGGGAGGCACACTTGGATATCTGCAAACACACCAACAGACATACCTCATACAAGTATCCAGTATTGACAAAGCATTGTAAATGTCAGTCAGGGTCTCACAAACTAATTTCTCTTAGCCCTGGGATTTAGGATAAAATGCTGGCACTTTCTGGCAGAAGGTTAGGGACTCCAGGTTGGGCTATTGAGTGCAAGGCTGCATGGGTGTACTACCTGGCCTGGGAATAGTTGGTCTTCCAGAGAGTCCCTTCATCTTTACTCTGCCCCAACTGTTGTGGTCAGGAATGACACCTGGCCAAGGCCATTTCAGAGCAAGAGCAAATTTCCTGGTATGAGGTGGGCCCTTATGGCTACAGTTCCCAGTGGACTTAAAACCAATTGCATCTACCCTTTACATGATCAAAACCTTCCTATCTAGAAAAGGCCAAGCAAATACTCATAGCATGCCCATCTTTTGATGAAAAGCCGGTTTACACCTTCACAGGCCTCCCATATAGTAGGTGCCCATTGAATGTTTGATAAAAAGAAGAATGAAAGTCCAAACATGATAAATATGAAAGCTACTGGGAACCAGGTAAGAAATATTGTAGTAAATCATTTATTTGTCCATTTACTCATTCACTCATGAGTGCTTAACACTGTCAGGCCCATGCTATACATAGAAATGTAGCAGAGAAGAAGACAGGTGTGGTCCTTGCTTTCAAGTTACCTAAGGTCTAGTGAGAAAGGCCAATATTACACAAGTAATTATAGAGCAAAATGAGTGGACCCAAACTTGATCTTGGAGCTCAGGGAAGGTCTTGCAGCAAAAGCATGAAGCCTGAAAAAAAAAAAGTGCCTTTGGTTGGGTGAAGAGGGCTGGGAACACCAAGCAGAAAATATGCATGTATTGAGGTTCAGAGTCAGAGCCACAGAGGGTTACTGCCCTCTGTCACAGAAACTGCCTGTGCATGTCAGCCTAGATTCAAATCTTAGCTCCACCACCTCCTAGCTGTGCAACCTCAGGAGGGCTACTCAACCTTTTAGTGCCTCAGTAACCTTTGCTGCAACATAAGGATTATTATGGTATTTCTCATAGCTGTTGTGAGGATTAACTATGTTACCTGTCAGATTCTTAGAGAACAGTGCTTGGCACATAGTAAGTATTTACCTAAAATCCTGTGTCTCCTGGAGCTCCATTTCCCTCCCATTGTATTCTCTATTTTTCTGTCTTAAAAAGAGGGATAGGTAAGGAAACAAGGACCAGACTCTTCTAGTTACATAGCTCACCAACCATCTGCCAAAATTAGTGCTAAGGGGCCCCTCTTGCTTGAAGGCTGCTGGTGACAGTGAGTTTCCATGCTCTGTCAGAGCAATCATAGTCACTGTCTTACATATCTGAAATGGTCCAAAGGATGCTGACCCAGCATGAAAAAGGCCATTCCAAATCAGCCTAGGTGTGCATGGTTTGCAAGATCGAAAGATACACACACCAAGTGCTTGAGATTAATAGAACAGCCTCTTCCTTAAGCTTAAGGGAGCCAGTGTGGCTATGAGAGATATTTTTTGATACCTCTGAACTGAAGACAATCAGGAAAACTAGAACCCTAAATCACACAGGCAGGAAGATTGTTTTGCTGATTTTTTTCCTTTTGAAAACATTATGCCAATTCTAGAACAAATTGAGATCTTACAGAAAAATATGATTTGCATAAATGGTCATGAGTAAGTGACAGAGTTAGGATGAGACCCTGGGCTTCTGTTGCACTCTGTGTTCTAAAACTTTACATACATTAACTCATTTTATCTTTATCTTATGAGATCCACATTAATATTCCCACTCATAGGTGAGACAGCTGAGGTACAAACAGGAGAAGTGACTTGCAATGGACAAACAGCTAGTAAGTAGCTGAGCCAGATTTCAAACCCAGGCAGTTTAAGGAAGAAAGGAGTTTATTTCTTGGCTTTGCTCAATTATAATACCAGTCCTAAGAATTGCAAAGGTTTCCCCAGTTTGGGCAGTGTGGCCCAATGGAGAACAAGCCTAATCCTTAGAATGGGAAAGGTTTTAAGTTTGAATTCCAGTTTTAGTCAAATGACTTTACAAAAGGTTTTTCAACAACTTGAACTTCATTTTTCTCCTTATAAAATGGGACCAGAATCTTACTTTTCTTGGAGGGAGGCAGAAAATCTCAGAGGTCTCTGGGGTGAATTCTCTCAGAGGATGGGGGTGAATACAAAGAGTAACCTAGACTGGGATGCTTGGATCACCTTGGAAGACAGCATCCTTTGGCATCTGGGGTTTGTCTTTCTATCCACCCACTCTCCTTTTCCTTCCAAAGGCTCTGGGCAGTGTCAGCTCTGGAGATCACACAGTGTCTGTTACCGAACAGTGAGGTGAGAGCAGAGCGGGAGAGGGAAGGCTGTGTGGGAGGAAGAAGAGGAAACTGGAATAAGCTTCATCAGCAAAGAGAGTCCTTGAGAGGGGCACAGTGGGGAGTAGGAAGCACTTCTGAGCTCCCTCTCTGTCTCTGTCTCTGTCTCTGCTCCTGCCCCACCCTCAACACAGAGGCATATGGGCACATTGTGAAAAGGCAGTTTGGAGAAAAGAAGCCACAAAGAAGGAGCAAGTGAATACTCCAAATCCTAGCCCAGCTTTGCTGTTTAACTTCTGGGTGAATTCAGACAGATCACCTCCTTTCTCTCATTCTTGAGTGTCTATTTTATAAAATGAGGCGCCGGGTGAGATGAGTTTCATAGGTACCCTTCAGCTCTCACTCCGCTGGATTCTTCAAACAAGGGGGAGGGCACACTCTACATGACTGCTGGCCTTGTAGATGCAGCCTCACGAGCCTTCCCAGACACCCCACAGCTGAGGCGGCCTCCCTGGCCTCTGATCACCACACTGTGACAGGGTAGGTGGCCATCTATGAGGCTTAGATATTTTCACAGGCTGTGATTTTTCTCTGGCATTCTTTTGAGAATGTTATTTTACATGTTCTAATCTAGCTGGAAGAAAAGGTCAGGTTGCTTCTGGGACAAAGTTCAGCCTCATGCTTCTTAGTCCTTCTTGCATGAGCCCAGTGCAGTATCAGGCATACGGACAGGCCTGGTCCATGTTTGGTGGTTGTCTGGACAGCTGTAAGAACCACATCCTGAGAGAAGGCACTGGGGGAACAGGGGTGTGTCCAGACTGAAGGTGCAAACACCAAAGAGTAAGCAAGGTAGCCATTTTCAAATACTCAAAGGCTGCTTTGTGGGAAGGCACAGGTAAGTTTTGCAAGAGCCAGAGGGCATTAGAGTCAGAAGTGATGAGAGAGTGACACAGGGTGAGCAGCACACAGGTCGTGCCCTGTTCCAGGAAGAGTGCAGAAACTGTCTGAGCCCTTTGAGAAGAAAAGGGGCTGTCTCAGAGGTAGGACTTTTCCATCACTGGGTATTATTCAAGCATGAACCTGATGGCTGAGTTTCTGTTGGGGACGTTGTAGAGGAGATTCTGGCTCTCTACATGAAGTGGGTTAGAAGGCCTCTTAGGCCTGTCTTTAACTACTTATTTGCATATTCATAACTAAATTCATATTCCTACTACCTCTACTTCTTCTAGCATAGGTGCTAAAAGATTTTGCCTTTAAGTACATTTGATATGTAGGTGCAGACATTATTTTCTAGGAATTCATTTATTCATTCATTCATTCATTCATTCATTGACTTTTTAAAGCACACCTGTTATGTGCAACTCACTTCGCCAGGCCCTGGGAATTCAACAGAGAATAAGTCACACACAATCCTTCCTCTAGGAGCTTGTAGATAAACAGGGAAGAAGACATGAAATAATAGAGAATCAGTTATCTAATCTCAAGTATAGTAAGTGAAAAAATATCTGGGGCTATGGCAGCATAAAACAGGTAGATGTGATTTCATTTCCGAGAGCGTTGAGGGATCTCACTTAGTTCTCATAAAACCCTATAAGAATGTACATAATATCATTCTCTTTTTTAAAGATAAGGCAACAAAAACTCAGAAAAGGTAGATAAATTGACTAATGTTACATAGCTAATAAGTATAAAAGTCAGAATTCAAACCCAGAACTGGCTCCAAAGCCACCCTTCCCAACTACTATACCACCTGCCTAACCAGAAGCTGCAGAAACTAAACATAACTGTGAGGTACAGAGCCAACAGGAAGAGAGGCACTGAAGAAAGTGGATGAGCTCAGCTTTGCAGAAGGAGCTGACAGATTTATCACCACAGGGGAGCAAGGAGACTAAAGAACAGTTTCTGCTCAGGGCTGATCCCGCAGAGGAGCAGCAGCATGGGGCTGGGGGCTTGGAATAGCTGCCAAATAGACTAAAACTTCCAATCTAACATTCTACAGGAGTTAATCTGCAAGCACATGGCAGAAATGGCCAACTGTCCTGGTTCCCAAGTACCCCGATAAGACCTGGAATGGGCTAACTCCGTCATCTCTTCCTCAGCTTCTGTCACACTAGAAATAATAATTTTAATAAAATTCCATCAATGTAGTTGTAGTTCTTACCTTTGTGACTCACCAGAAGCAAATCTTAGACCAAATGAGTGTTTCTCAAAACAGAGGACCTGTGGACCTCTGTGGTGTGTCTGTAGAGCCAGTTTGGAAAATGCGGCACTAACAAGTGAATGCTTCAGTGCCACTGCGATTGCCAATATGAGTACCTAAACCATGGAGTAAATGGTGAGACAGATGTCCAATGGGAATTTGAGAGCCTGGGTTGGAATGTCAGATCTATTGCTGCTACTGTAGACAAGATTTAAACTCAAGCTGTCTTGTCCAGGACAACCCCCTCTCTTTCCTGACTCTTTCCCCAACTCTCCCTGTCCAGCACTCACATGGCACGGTAATAAGAACACAAATTTTGGGATTCCATGGCCCTTGAGGAGAAGTGCAGCTCCATCACTTTATATGTTTTGTGACTGTGGAAAAGTCAACCTTTCTGAAGCTCTGTTTCTTCATCTGAGGATAATATCAACCTCAAGGGCTATTGGGAAGGTTTAATTGACATGCATTTAAGTGTTTATCATAGTGTCTAGAATGTAGCAATCAGTCAATTGTGGAAGTTATTGCCATTGTTATTATTGTTGTAATTTATTAGGGGTTTAAGGAATTCTAATTCAGTGACTCAAGTGTCTCAGCATCAGGTTAGCCTGATCATCTTATTCTTATGCCCACATCTCTTGGTTTTTGTCATATTCCTGACAGCCAAACTCCATTAATTAGGTTCCTGTCTTTCTCCTCTGCAGCTCAGTCATGTAATGTCTCAGCCTCAGTTCCCACATCTGTAAAATGGGGATGATGAATTCCACCTTGTTTACTTCATAGGAGTATTATGACATCCAAAACCCGGTAGTATGATTCATACAGAAATATCACATAAACTATAATATGGTATAAAAATGAGAGAGATTGTTGATATTACTATTGTTATTACTCCTCTAGAAGGCACCATATTGTTCACACTGGTCAATGTTGTCCAACAAATTCAATATTTTTCAGACAGGAGTCTGCTGAAACCTGTGTAAATTCTCCCAATCTTCTAGTTCTCTATGAGAATTTTAAAATATGTGCTTTCATTCCAGTAAAATTCTAAATACCAGTATAACAATCTGACCATTTACTCCATGGTTTAGGTACTCATATTGGCAATTGCAGTGGCACTGAAGCATTCGCTTGTTGGTGCCACATTTTCCAAACTGGCTCTACAGAAACACTACAGAGGTCCACAGGTCCTCTGTTTTGAGAAACACTCATTTGGTCTAAGATTTGCTTCTGGTGAGTCACAAAGATAAGAACTACAACTCTGAAGGACTCTGGCTGCCAGATGTCTGCACTCCCCACAGTCTCAGAGCAGGGAGTGAATGCACAGTCAGTGTTAGGGTTTGGAGGACCACTGGCAGCCAGGCTCAGCACTTGTGTGTTCCAGGACCCAGGCACATCTGTGAGAGATAGTGGCATAGCTTTCCAATTTCTGCATGGTTCAAGTTCATCTTATGCCCACACCAATGCTATGGAAATAAACATACATATCTCTCCTATAAAATATGGATATATATGCAAGCATATATATGCATATGTACATACACACCATATGTGAATATGTACAGATGGGCGGATTTAATATGTGAAGTAAGAATTTTCCATTTGTGCAGAACACTTTTAACTTTTTAAAGCATGGTGCATTTGGCAACATATTTGGTCTCCCCAGTGACACTATGAGTAGGTAGAGTAGGAATTATTGTTCTCAATTGACAGATGAGGAAACTGAGGATTGGAGAGTTGTCCAAGAATACAGAGCCAGCTAAAAGGGGCATCTGGACAAAAAACAAGGTTTTTTTTTTGTTTGTTTGTTTTTGTTTTGCTTTGTTTTGTTTTGACTCCTTGCCTATAAGTTGTCTTCTCTAACCTACAATCTCCTCCCCTCCTCTCTTCCGGCAGCCCTTCAAAGGTGGCTATTTGAACCCCAGAAGCATTCCTCCGAAGTGATCTGCTAAAAGAATGCTGCTGGCTACTTTGAAGCTCATGCATTCCGACAGGGACAGAAAGAACTGTAAAATAAAAGTGTAGCTCCCTCCTTTTGTTAAACCTTTCAAAGCCTTCCTTGGTCTCTAACTCTATAATTACACCCTAATCACAAACATTCCGAAGGAGTGGGTCAGTTCTATGCAGCAGTAGGCTAATTATGTGGCAGAAATTCTAAAAATTATCGTCTTATGAATTGCATTATTCCTCTGAAGGGGGAAGAAAACACACCACATACTCGACTATGTTTCAAACTGAATTAATTAGTAATTTGAAGCCTAATTATCAACTAATCTATCGAAACATGCAAGTCTTTTTTATTTGGATGGTATATGCAATTTTCATCCTATTAGCTGGCAGCTGTAAGCATTTGAGAGGTCATTAGGTCAGAAGAAGAAAAATGCAGATCAGAAGGATACAACAGCCCAAGAGGCTGACTTGGTGATGCTGTGACTGAGGGGTTACTTGGCAACAGATGGAGGCTGGCAATGTAATTACCTGGGGTCTTTCAGTGTCTCTAAGGCCACTGGCATGCAATTTCTATCTCACCCCAGAGAGGTAATTATGCCTATCCCCACCCTTGTTCTGTGTATTCTTGTTCTATGTATTGTTCTGTGTATTCTTAAGCAGCAGGGTGCCTACAAAGTTTCACTGAGAGATGACCTGGAGTTATAGAAAAGGCCTGAATACTGCCTGCTACCCTTGGTGACAGGC